>NC_000009.12:128220552-128534369 GCF_000001405.40 Homo sapiens
AGCCCTGGAAGTCCCCAACACAGAGAAGGCCAAGACCTATGTGGAGGGTGTCATGGGGAAGAGCTTGGGTTTGGGGGCCAGGATTCAAGTATACTCGGCTGAAGACCTTGACAGGGAATCCCAGGGGCTTCCCCAGGACTTTTCTCCATCTGGAATGGGGCATCCAGAACTGAAGTGCGCGCGCGCGCGCGTGTGTGTGTGTGTGTGTGTGTGTGTCTGTCTGACTGTCTGTCTGTGTAGGCAAGACCTGGTTTCCAATCCCAGTTTTGTCACTCCCCCTCTGAGACACTCTCTCTGGCTCTCTGAGCCTCTATTTCTTTTTTCTTTATTTGTTTTCTTTCTTTCTTTCTTTCTTTCTTTCTTTCTTTCTTTCTTTCTTTCTTTTCTTTTCTTTCTTTCTTTCCTTTCTTCTTTCTTTCTTTCTCTTTCTTTCTTTCTTTCCCTTCCTTCCTTCCTTCCTTCCTTTCTTTCTCTTTCTTTCTTTCTCTCTTTCTTTCTCTCTTTCTCTCTTTCTTTCTCTCTTTCTCTCTTTCTCTCTTTCTTTCTTTCTCTCTTAGATGGAGTTTTGCTCTTGTCACCCAGGCTGGAGTGCAATGGTGCGATCTCAGCTCACTGCAACCTCTGCCTCCTGGATTCAAGGGATTCTCCTACCTCAGCCTCCCAGGTAGCTGGGATTACAGGCACACACCACCACGCCTGGCTAATTTTTGTATTTTTAGTAGAGACGGGGTTTCACCATGTTAGCCAGGCTGGTCTCGTACTCCTGACATCAGGTGATCTGCCCGCCTTGGCCTCCCAAAGTGCTGGGATAACAGGCATGAGCCATAATCGTGCCTGGCCTCTGAGCCTCTATTTCTGCATCTGTAAAATGGAGACAATGGTGATCAGACCTGTTTCATAGGATTGTTGTAAAGGTTCAGGGAGATACTGTGTGGGGGCACCTAGTGAGCATGAGTGCTAGAACTTGAGAATGACCTTAAAGGAGGCTTTAAACCCAGAGGGTCCAAGGGGCAGCCCTCTGGCCACCCCTGCCTCAGACGCACGTCTAAAAATATTAAATTGGGATGGTATGGTGGTTCATGCCTGTAATCCCACCACTTTGGGAGGCTGAGGCGGGTGGATCACTTGAGGCCAAAAGTTCGACACCAGCCTGGCCAACAAGGCGAAAACCTGTACTAAAAATACAAAAAATTAGCTGGGCATGGTGGTGCACGCCTGTAGTCCCAGTTACTTGGGAGGCTGAGGCAGGAGAATTGCTTGAAACTGGGAGGCAGAGATCGCAGGTTGCAGTGAGCTGAGATCACGCCATTGCACTCCAGCCTGGGTGACGAGTGAAACTCCGTCTCAAAAAAATAATAATAATAAATAAAAATAAAAAGATTAAATTGGCCAAAAATCAGGAAATTCCAAATACAAATCCAGATTTCTGGCTTTATTGAAAATTATGCACTCATTAATTCAACTAATACATCTCTGCAAGCTCCTTCTATGAACCAGTTTTCTTGCTAGTGGCCCGGGCAGCAGTGGCAGGGCTGCCCTCCATAGCTCTCCACCTCACCACGTTCACACAGTCCCCTGGCATCCAAGTCCCTTCCTGGCCCTGTGACCATCTGTCCTCAACCCTTTCCTCACCCTTACCCCCAGCAACTGACGAACCACATCCGGGACACACTGCCGGGGCTGCGGAACAAGCTGCAGAGCCAGCTACTGTCCATTGAGAAGGAGGTGGAGGAATACAAGAACTTCCGCCCTGATGACCCAGCTCGCAAGACCAAGGCCCTGCTGCAGTGAGGCTCCCCCAGCTCCTATCACTGAATCCCCGCCCCCAGCCTCTCAGCGTGGGGCTCTCCCAGGGTTCCCTTTGCTGGGCTGCTCCTGCCCCCTCAGGCCACACCACTCTCCCACCAGGATGGTCCAGCAGTTCGCCGTAGACTTTGAGAAGCGCATTGAGGGCTCAGGAGATCAGATCGACACCTACGAACTGTCAGGGGGAGCCCGCATTAACCGAATCTTCCACGAGCGCTTCCCTTTCGAGCTGGTCAAGGTAGGTCAGGCAGCCCTGGGGACAGGATGGCTCAGGACTCCCCCCACCCTCACTCAGGACTCTCTCTGCGTGTGTTTTTGCTGGCCCCCACCCCACAGGCCCTGATGCCCAGCCCTAGGTGTGGGGTGGGCCCTGTCTTGACCTCCCAGGTAGTAGGACAGGCCCTGACCAGGCTTTTCTCTGCTTTTCTACACAGATGGAGTTTGATGAGAAGGAACTCCGAAGGGAGATCAGCTATGCTATCAAGAATATCCATGGCATTAGGCACGTATTGGGGCCTGGGAGGGTGGCTGAACCCCAGAAGTAGGGGGTCTGGGACAGAGGCACAGGGAGTGATGAAGTGGGCCTCCCTCAGGAAGGACTGAAAGCTCTGTTCCCCAGTCCTCTCGACCCCAACTTTCTGGCTCCCTGCATGACAGGCTCCAGCTTGGGGAGGTGGACCCGGGCCACCCCGCCTACTGCAACTTGCTGGGCCAACTGGGCACAGCCCAGGGCGCAGGTGGCCGGGGAAACACCCTCTGGGGCTGGGCCCATCCCCAGGGTGAGATAGCTCCCCCAGTGCCACCCAGGTAACCGGACAAAGATGTCCAAACCACTACGAGGGCCTGGGGTGGAGCATCTAAGTATGAGGCTGTGTCCTTTTATGACGGCCGGGGACTTTGCAATCCTCCACACCCTCCTGTATTCACAGTAGCCCAGAGTCAGTCCCATTCCACCCCACCGCCCTCCTTCTAGGCAACCCGTGGAGTAGGAAACAGGATTGGGAGGTGGAATCTGTTCCTTAAAAGCTTAGATCCCCTTCAGGGACCCAGATCTATGCTGTGTTCATCCAACAAATCCACTGGGCCGGAAAATTTAAAGCACCTACCCTATGCCAAGCAGTGAACAAGACCCAGTGTCCCCTTGCTCTCATGCAGGTTCATTTCCAAGATTTGGCATGGAATTTACTTCCTGATAACTGCACTGGCCAATTCACAGAAAAAAGATCTCTTTCCTAGTCTTAAAACAAAACACTCTATTCCTGGAAAGGCTCTTATGGAGAACCACGTTTGGCAATTTTCAAGCCATTTCTGGCCATAGAACTTCCTATATGCACAGACCCTTACGAGGAAGCAGGACTTACATATCAGATACTCAACCACCTTGTCTTGCCCCAAAGAGCCTCATTAGGGCCGGGCGCGGTGGCTCACGCCTGTAATCCCAGCACTTTGGAAGGCCGAGGCAGGCGGATCATGAGGTCAGGAGATCGAGACCATCCTGGCTAACACGGTGAAACCCTGTCTCTACTAAAAATACGAAAAAATTAGCCGGGCGTGGTGGCAGGCGCCTGTAGTCCCAGCTACTTGGGAGGCTGAGGCAGGAGAATGGCGTGAACCCGGGAGGCGGAGGTTGCAGTGAGCCAAGATTGCGCCACTGCACTCCAGCCTGGGCGACAGAGCAAGACTCCGTCTCAAAAAAAATAACAACAACAACAAAAAACCCTTCATTAGAACCCCTCCCTCCCATTTTACAACTGGGGACACTGAGGCCCAGAGAGGGGTAGTGGAAGGGCCCCTCAGGCAGAGTTCGTGGGCTTGGGGAGGAGCCTCGGCCTGGCCCTCCTGGCCGGCACTGGCCTGTGACACTCTGCCCTTCTCCCGCTCCGGGCGTTCAGAACGGGGCTGTTTACCCCAGACATGGCCTTTGAGACCATTGTGAAAAAGCAGGTGAAGAAGATCCGAGAACCGTGTCTCAAGTGTGTGGACATGGTTATCTCGGAGCTAATCAGCACCGTTAGACAGTGCACCAAGAAGGTAACCCGGAGGCCCGGGCCAGCCCCCACCGCCTCTGCCCCGCCCTGCACTGCTGCCAGGCGCTCCTTCCCCATGTCCCCCCCTGCCTCCTCGGTAGCATGTACAGACCTCAGCGGGGTGGGGAGGCAGGCCACCACTGAATAGGAGACAATGTGCCTCTGAGAGGGCCTCACCCACCCCTGGCCCCCAGGTCTGGGGACCCAGGGATTGGACATGGGTGAGACGGGGATGATGGCTGGCTGTTTACCCCAAGAGCCCACCAAGAGCTCCCCCAGCTCAGAGAATAGGGCTTGAGGGGACCCTGAGCCCCCTCCCTGTCCTCGGAGGTGTCATCTTTGGGAGCTCCAGGGAGGGGTCTGGGGAAACCTTAGCCTTGGAGACAGGTGAAATGCAGGGCCTTCTCGGGCACTGCTCGGTGGGCCTGGGTGGCCAGAGGGGGTGCAGAGGACCCAGGACTAGCAGGTGCCCTGGCTCCCCGCTGTCCTTCATCCTCCCCATACTCATCTCACCCTCACTCAGGACCCTCACACAGGATGCTCACGTAAGACCCTCACTCAGGGCCTCTCCCTCCCTTCCATCCACATCTGGCTTTCCAGGGATAGAGCCCTTCTCCCATCTGCCCCACCATCCAAGCCTCACAGAAGCACGCAGGGAGGCAGGACAGGGAGGACGGTGCCCATTTCACAGCACGAACACTGAAGCTCCAGGAGATCAAGTGGCTTGCCCAAGTCACAGTAGTCAGGAGGTGGCAGAGCTGTTACTTGAAGCCACGGCTCTGGACTCCAAGTCCAGTGCTCCTCGATTCCACCCTCCAGCCTCCCTTCCTTTCCTCTCCCCACTGCTGTCCCGGCCCCTCTCTATCACTACCTCTACTCTTTCTGTCTTTCCTCTTCTCTTTCTGTCTTTTGGTTCCACCAAACCCCTGTGGAGGAGAGGCCAGGAATGCCCCTTGAAGAGAAAGGGAGGGGCGGGACTAGAGCAGGGAGCTGGAGAGGGAGGTCAGGCTGCTATACTGCAACCCTAGGAGGCAGCCTCTGCGCCACGGTTTACGGGAATGGACCCCCCTGGAGTTGTGCAGTGCATGGCCTGGGCAGCTGGATGCGGCAACCCTAGAGATAGGGAATGGTACTGAGGTTTGGAGTCAGGATGAAGCAAATTCTGGGACACTGGGAAACGTAGAATTGAACAGGATGGGTGGATGAGGTCCTGGCCTTGTCCTGGCCTGGGTCAGCTCCTTAGGAGAACCCAAGGCTGTGGACAAAGACGGCACTGGGAGAGAGCAGGCAGCCTCAGTGAGGCCGAGGAGCAGGGGAGCATCCCTGGGAAGAGGATCTGAACTCAATAGGGGTCTTGTACGGAGCAGGGGCTTGGTCCCTCGTACCTCTGGCCATACCTATGGAGCCCAGGGGATGCTTGGCAGCACCTGGGAGGTGCCAACCCCGGGTGGCAAGGGAGGGCCGGTCCCACGCTCACATTGTCTTCTGTTCTCTCTCTCTCTTTATCTGTGTCGATGTCTCTCTCTCTTCCCCCGTGCCCGTGCCATCCTCTCCACCCCTGGATTCCTGTCTCTGCTTGGCTTTCACCCACTTCTCCTCCCCACCCACGGCTGCTCCTCCTCCTGTCCCCACCTCCTCCCCGGGTGCAGGACGGGCCTCTTCACACCTGACCTCGCTTTTGAAGCCACAGTGAAAAAGCAGGTGCAGAAGCTCAAAGAGCCCAGTATCAAGTGTGTGGATATGGTAGTCAGTGAGCTCACAGCCACCATCAGAAAGTGTAGCGAAAAGGTATGACGGCCGCCTGGGCGGGGCTGGGCCTGGCCGTCCATTCCTTGTGGCCACAGCCTCCCGTGGGCAGAAGGATCTGCTGAGCCGGCCTCACGGCTACCCGCAGGGACCCAGCCCTAGTGTTTCCTGCCAGTTTCTAACCCTGGGTACTTGCACTCATGACCCCTCCAGGCCCCCATCCCAGAAGACTTGACTCCAACCCAAGCCTCCTTGGTGGCACCTATGCTAGTGATGAAGATGATGTTAAGGAGATGGCAGCTGTTTACTGAGCACCTACTATGTGCCAAGCACACGCTAAGTGCTTGCCCTTACTATCTGACTCAGTCCTCTCAACCACCCTAAGACGTGGGTAGTGTTGTTATTCCCATTTTGCAGATGGCAAAACAGAGTCTCAGAAAAGAGAAGCAGAGTGTGATTCAGTTTTAGGAAGGACAGAGGAAGGGGTCTGAGGTCAGGGCCTCCTGGGCAGGGGGAGCTGTCCTAGTTCCTCAAAACCAATTTGCCTGAAAGCATATTGGATTACTCACTTTACAGTAATCCGTGCGTGAGAGACAGGGGCGGTCTCTTTTGAGTTGTCTGTGACTTTTTAGATGCCTTTTTCCTATTTGTCTGCTTTTGGGCATTTTGAGGATTTTTAGCCAGGTTGTCTAAAGCAGTTCTTCCCAGGGGAGTGCGAGAGAATCAGTTGCCTGCAGGAGCTTCTCCAGCAGGCTAAATCAGAGGTGCCAGGGGTGAGCCCAGCCTCACCTATATCTGAAGGACTTCCCTATGCTGGTGGGTGGAGGCACATCCACCTTAGCATTGAGTTTCAAATAAGCATCAATCATCTCCATTCCTTTTTTTTTTTTTTTTTTTTTTTGAGATGGAATCTTGCTCTGTCGCCCAGGCTGGAGTGCAGTGGCACCATCTTGGCTCACTGCAACCTCTGCCTCCTGGGTTCAAGTATTCTCCTGCCTCAGCCTCCCGGGTGGCTGGGATTACTAGCATGTACCACCACACCTGGCTAATTTTTGTATTTTTAGTAGAGATGGGGTTTTGCCACGTTGGCCAGGCTGGTCTTGAACCCCTGACCGGAGGTGATCCACCTGCCTCGGCCTCCCAAAGTGCTAGGATTACAAACATGAGCCACCGCGCATTCTTTTTTACTGAGCAGTGTGTTGTGTAATCCTTGTATGTTGCTACATAAAGATTGGTCTCATGCCTTTTTTTTTTTTTTTTTTTTTTTTTTGAGACAGTCTCACTCTGTTGCCTAGGCTGGAGTGCAGTGGCACGATCTCAGCTCACTGCAACCTCCACTTCCTGGGTTCAAGTGGTACTTCCACCTCAGCCTCCCAAGTGGCTGGGACTACAGGTGAGCACCACCATGCCTGGCTAATTTTTGTATTTTTAGTAGAGACGGGGTTTCACCATGTTAGCCAGGCTGGTCTTGAACTCCTGACCTCAGGTGATCTGCCCACCTTGGCCTCTCAAAGTGCTGGGATTACAGGTGTGAGCCACCACGCTCAGCCAGTCTCATGCTCTTTAACTACTGAGTTGTATTCCACTGTAGAAATGTGGCATGATTTATATGTTCAATGTCCTCTTGACGGACATTTAAGTTTCAATTTTTTTTTTTGCCTTCACAAACGATGTTACAATGAACATCCTTATAGATGTATTTGTAGTATTTATCCCATTGTTTTTTCTTTCTTTTTTAGAGACGGGGTTTTGCTGTATCTCCCAGCATGGAGTGCAGTGGCACAATCATAGCTCACTGTAGGCTCAAACTGGGCTCAAGCGATCCTCCCGCCTCAGCCTCCCAAGTAGTGGGACTTCAAGCACTAACCACCACACCCCACCCAGCTAATATTTTTGTTTGTTTGTTTGTTTGTTTTTGGTTTTTTTTGAGACAGAGTTTCACGCTTGTTGCCCAGGCTGGAGTGCAGTGGTGCCATCTCGGCTCACTGCAACCTCCACCTCTCAGGTTCAAGCGATTCTCCTGCCTCAGCCTCCCGAGTAGCTGGGATTACAGGCTCCTCCCACCACACCCAGCTAATTTTTCTTATTTTCAGTAGAGATGGGGTTTCATAATGTTGGCCAGGCTGGTCTTGAACCCCTGACCTCAAGTGATCCTCCCACCTCAGCCTCCCAAAGTGCTGGGATTACAGGCATGAGCCACCCCTCCTGGCCTAATAATTTTTTTGTTAAGACAGGATCTTACTATGTTGCCCAGGCTGCTCTTGAACTCCAGGCCTCAAGCAGTCCTCCTGCTTCAGCCTCCCAAAATGCTGGGTTTATAGGCATGAGCCACCATCTGGCAACAGTGGCTTCTTGATGGACATTTGGGTTGTTTCCAAATTTTACCATAATCACTGCTTTCCTTTTGGAATGAGAGTCAAAGTGTTTCATGGTTTTTAAATGTTTATATCTAGTAATCAATCTTCTAGGAATCTATCCTAAGGAAACAATCGCAGAGAAAGAAAAGCAAAACTATCCACAGAGATATTCATTGTCAGGTTATTTAGAATATTGAAAAACTGGAAACTATCTGGCCAGGCGCAGTGGCTCACGCCTGTGATCCCAGAACTTTGGAAGGCTGAGGTGGGTGGATCACAAGGTCAGGAGTTCAAGACCAGCCTGACCAATATGGTGAAACCCTGTCTCTACTAAAAATGCAAAAATTAGACGGGCATGGTGGCACGTGCCTGTAGTCCCAGCTACTCAGGAGGCTGAGGGAGGAGAATCGCTTGAACCTGGGAGGTGGAGGTTGCAGTGAACCAAGATCACACCACTGCACTCCAGCCTGGGCGACAGAGCCAGACTCCATCTCAAAAAAAAAAGAAAGAAAGAAAAAGAAAAAGAAAAACTGGAGACTATCTAAATATTCACCAATAGGAAAATGGTTAAGTAAACTGTGATAAATCTATTCAATAGAATATTATGCACCCATTAAAATGTTTATATAGGCTGGGCTCACACCTGTAATCCCAGAACTTTGGGAAGCTGAAGCGGGAGGATTGCTTGAGGCCAGAAGTTTAATACCAGCCTGGGCAACATAGCAAAACCCTGTCTCTACAAAATTTTTTTTTTTAATTAGCCAGGCGTGGCAGTATGCACCTGCAGTCCTTGCTACTTGGGAGGCTGAGGCAGAAGGATGGCTTGAACCAAGGAGTTCAGTTGCACCACTGCACTCCTGGGTTATTTTAGAGACCCTGTCTCTAAAATAAATAAAAAAGAAGTTAGAGACCAGCCTGGGCAACATAGTAAGACCCTGTCTCTACAAAAAATAAAAAGATTAGCTGGGCATGATGGCACACGCCTGTAGTCCCAGCTACTTAGGTGGCTGATGTGGGAGGACTGCTTGAGCCTGGAAGGTCGAGGCTGCAGTGAGCTCTGATTGTGATCACACCACCATATTCCAGACTGGAAGACAGAGCAAAACCTTATCAAAAAAAAAAAAAAAAAAAAAAAGCTTGGCCAGGTGCAGTGGCTCATGCCTGTAATCCCAGTCCAGTACTTTGGGAGGCCGAGGCAGGTGGATCACCTGAGATCAGGAGTTTGAGACCAGTCTCGCCAAATAGTGAAACCCGTCTCTACTAAAAATAGAAAAATTAGCCGGGTGTGGTGGTGGGCACCTGTAATCTCAGCCACTCGGGAGGCTGAGGCAGGAGAATCACTTGAACCTGGAAGGCAGAGGTTGCAGTGAGCCAAGATCACGCCACTGCACTCCAGCCTGGGTGACAGAGCGAGACTCCGTCTCAAAGGAAAAAAAAGGGAGGGTGGGTGGCCAGGCGTGGTGGCTCACACCTGTAATCCCAGCACTTTGGGAGGCTGAGGCGAGTGGATCACGAGGTCAGGAGTTCAAGACCAGCCTGGCCAACATGGTGAAACTCTGTCTCTACTAAAAACACAAAAATTAGCTGGGTGTGGTGGCGGGTGCTTGTAATCCCAGCTACTCGGGAGGCTGAAGCAGAGAATTGCTTGAACCCAGGAGGCGGAGGTTGCAGTTAGCCAAGATTGAGCCATTGCACTCCAGCCTGGGTGACAGATCGAGACTCCGTCTCAAAAAAAAAAAAAGAAAATTAAAAATTAAAAAAAAAGATGGGATTCACTTGTCCCTCCACAGCATATTGTTGGGAAAAAAAAAAAGCAGGTTTCAGAAAAGAACGTATGGTATTTTGGAGAAAAAATAATATATGTGAATGATAAAATCTCAAAGGCGTATTCACCATAGGAATCTTTTTATTTTCTCTTCACAAATTTTATTTATTTATTTATTTCTTTATTTATTTTTATTATTACTATTTTTTTTTTTGAGATGGAGTTTCGCTCTTGTTGCCCAGGCTGGAGTGCAATGGCGCAATCTCGGCTCACTGCAACCTCCGCCATCCAGGTTCAAGCAATTCTTCTGCCTCAGCCTCCCAAGTAACTGGGATTACAGGTGCCCGCCATCACACCCAGCTAATTTTTTGTATTTTTAGTAGAGACGAGGTTTTACCATGTTGGCCACGCTAGTCTCGAACTCCTGACCTCAGGTGATCCACCCGCCTTGGCCTCCCAAAGTGCTGGGATTACAAGCATGAGCCACCGTGCCCAGCCCACTTCATAAATTTTAGTCATGCTCTAATCTTTTACAGTGAGTCTGTGTGATTTCTTTTTCTTTTTTTTGAGACAAAGTCTTGCTCTGTCACCCAGGCTGGAGTGCAGTGGCACGATCTCGGCTCACTGCAACCTCTGCCTCCTGGATTCAAACGATTCTTATGCCTCAGCCTCCTGAGTAGCTGTGATTAAAGGCATGTGCCACCACACCCAGCTAATTTTTGTATTTTTGGTAGAGATGGGATTTCACCATGTTAGCCAGGCTGGTCTCAAACTCCTGACCTCAAGTGATCTGCCTGCCTCGACCTCCCAAAGTGCTGGGATTACAGGCATGCGCCACCATGCCCTGCCGTCTGTGTGATTTTTATGAGCAGAAAAAACTGATCAACAAATATTTGGAAAGGAAAGCTTTGGTCTAAAAGGAGGAAACTGATACTTTTGCCTTTTTTTTTTTTTTTTTTTTTTTTGGAGACAGAATTTCGCTCTTGTTGCCCAGGCTAGAGTGCAACGGCACGATCTCAGCTTACTGCAACCTCCACCTCCTGGGTCCAAGTGATTCTCCTGCCTCAGCCTCCGAGTAGCTGGGATTACAGGCATGTGCCACCACGCCCGGCTACTTTTGTATTTTTAATAGAGACGGGGTTTCTCCATGTTGGTCAGGCTGGTCTCGAACTCCCGACCTCAGGTGATCTGCCCACCTCGGCCTCCCAATGTACTGGGATTACAGGTGCAAGCCACCGCAACCGGCCACTTTTGCCTTTTGATTGGTTTAGTGGATCATAATTATTTTTTTCCTTATAGGCAAAACTCACCTTTGCCTATCTTTGTGTATATATTTTTTCCTCCCCTCGAGTTTTCTAAGGTTATCAAGTCACTCCTGCCAGAAGTTTAATGAGTGTTAATAAGTGAACTCTCATTACTGCCAGCCCTGCTGGGATTAGACTTGCCATCTCTGAGTGAAATGAAGAGTTTAATGTTGGGCATGGGATGTGCTGCTCAGTTCTCTCAACAACTCTAGGAGGGAAGGTGTCATTACTACCCCATTTTCCACATGGAGAAACTGAGGCCCAGAGAGGTCTGGTCATTTTTCTAAGGAGAGTCAGCGGACAGCGGCTGGCTTTGAACCCAGGGCTGAATGGCTCCAGGGGCTGTGTCCCTGACTGCTAACCCGGTGGGCTCCAGGCTGATCGCCCCCTCAGCCAAGGGCTGAGAGGGGAACGTTCCTTTTGAAAAGCTGGCGGAACATCCTGGAAATGTTCAGAGGCAGCCAGAATGGAAAAAGATGCTCAAAGGGGACAGAACTTCTCAAAGGGGTGGAGGCTGCCCTGCCATGGGTGACACGTGGAAAACTTGAGACATGTGACATCCAGGCGGTTAGTGGGAGAATTGGTCATGCTCTTTGGCAAATTGCGCCCTCCTCCTCCCTCCTTCTCCCTGCTCCTCCAAACTCTACCCTGGGAGGGAGCACTTGGGACCACCTCAGAGGAGGCCTGGTGGCTGTGACCCAGTCCCAAATGTCTGCCCAGACTTGGAGACTGCAAAGAGCGGGAGCCCTTCCTTGAGCCTCAGGAGCAGTGGGGTTCACAGGGCCCCTCTAGTCACCGTTTTTAAGCCCCTGGTCTCAGACTGCCCCTCCCTCAGGTCTCCTGAGCTTAGCCACATCATCCACGCCCTTGGCACAGCCACGGGATGATGGGTGTGATGCGGGCATCCCTCGTGTTGGCATCCTGGACCGATATCCAGGGCCCTGCTTTCTCCCCATCCTCCTGCCTCTCCCATGCCCCTCCTCAAAACTCCTTGGCCTCCATCCTGCCCTCAGAATCACCACCTGTGACTCAGGCACACCAATCCCTGGGCCTCTTCCTCCACTGGGGGACCCACCTGAAGGGCCTGACCCAGCCACGGGAAGAAGGACGAGGAGCGCTCCCAGCTTTGCCCCATCGTGCTGCCTGGGCCCCAGGTGGCCACCGCGTGGAGAGGGTGGGCCCACAGGACTGGAGCCCCTGGGGGTGGGCTCCCACCATCAGAAATGCACTGAGTCTCCTCCCCGGAAGAGCTGATCATGGGCCAGAGGGCTGAGGACCCTGTGCCACTCACCCTGGCATCCATCCTTCATTCATTCCCTCATTCTCCAACACGCCCTCTTCCAGCACTGGCCATGGGCCTGGCCCTGCCCCAGCCCTGCCTCGGGGACAGTTGCCACCCAGTTGATTGGAGGAGGTGGAGTGGGAGAGGAGTGGAGAGAGGCCCCTAACTCAGCTCTCAAGCAGTCGGGGCAGGCTTTCTGGAGGAGCTGAAGTCCGGCAGAACCTTGTAGTCAAGTGAATCACCTGGGCTGTGCCCAGAGCCCGACTGAGCTGAGGGCACGATTCGCAGGCAGAGGGGGACGGGTTTGGAGCAACTTCCCCTTCAGCCTCCCTTCATAAGAACTGGGGGGAAAGAGGTGCTGCTGAGCTCCTACCCCAAAGGAGTGGGGTCGAGACAGTGTGGCTGGCCAGAGCCGGGCAGATGTGGCTGGGGATGGTGGTGCCGGGCAGGGGCATGCAAGGGAGACAGAGCTGAATGGATTCCACCAAGAGGGCCAGGGCCCAGCCAGGCCCCGCGGGGTACTGCTCATGCTGCTGGCCCCCGCCTTGCATGTCCCCCAGCCCTCGCATGCTTTTGCTTGTGTTTCCTGCATGTCCTCTGGTGTGACTGCTGGTTTTCCCCTGAACCCCCTCCCCAGCTCTGACAAGGAGCATTGCCTGTCCCAGCCTGACTCAGGAGGCCAACTGGCACCTTGGGCCCTGTCCTCCCCCGATTCCTCCTGGATAGGAATCCAGAGGCTGTCCCCTGCCTGATTCCCCATCTAGCTGTCCCTCCACGCCTTTAGGAAGGCACAGGGTAGCCCTGAGTATGAGGGAACACCTTGGGAGCTAACGGTCCCCAGAGGCCTTAACCTAACCAGTCTGCGGGGCAGGCTCATTCCCATGGCCTTTCTCCCACGGGAACCACCCCTCTGCCCTGAAGTTGCCCAGGTAGGCCAGTGAAGAGGGCCCGGAACCAGGAAGACCCTTGAATCACCATTTGGAACCCACACTTGGGGGAAAGGGGTGGCCGTGGCTTGGTGCCATCAGCGTCCTGGGACCCTAGGTCTCTCTTCCCCGCGTTGTGGGCATTCTGTGTGTGCCTCCCACCCTGCGCCGCGGATCCCTGGACTCGTGGGGTGTGGGTGCTCCCTGCCCGTGCCCTCTGTGTACGTGGCTTTCTGCCCTCCTGCCCTTCCCCAGCTCCAGCAGTACCCGCGGCTACGGGAGGAGATGGAGCGCATCGTGACCACCCACATCCGGGAGCGCGAGGGCCGCACTAAGGAGCAGGTGAGCCCCGCAGCACCCGGCCTGGCCGCGCCTTCCTTCCACTCCTGGCCGCCTGCGCCTTCCACTCCTGGCCCTGGGGTTGCTTCCTTCTTGTTTTGTCTCTTCTGTCTCAGTCTTCCTCTGTCTCATACTGACTCTCTGCTTCTCTCTCTTTTTTATTGCAGTAAAATACACATAACATACCACTTTAGCCATGTTTAAGCGCACAGTTCAGTGGCACTAAGTACATTTGCGCTGTTGCACAGCAACATCCATCCACAGAACTGTTTTTTTGAGACAGAGTCTTGCTCTATCGTCCAGGCTGGAGTGCAGTGGTGTGATCTCTCAGCTCACTGCAACCTCCGCCTCTTGGGTTCAAGTGATTCTCTTGCCTCAGCCTCCCGAGTAGCTGGGAGGCTACTGGGAGGTGGCGTGCGCCACCATGCCCGGGTAATTTTTGTATTTTTAGTACAGACAGGGTTTCACCACGTTGGCCAGGCTGGTCTCAAACTCCTGACCTCAAGTGATCTGCCCACCTCAGCCTCCCAAAGTGCTGGGATTACAGGCGTGAGCCACCGCGCCTGGCCCACAGAACTCTTTTCATCTTGCAAAACGGAAACTGTCCCCATGAAACACTAACATCCCATTCCCTGCTCCCCCAGCTCCCGGCAGCTGGCAGCCACCATTCATGTTTCTGTCTCTATGAATTTGTTGTTTGTTTGTTTTAAGACGGAGCCTCACTGTTGCCCAGGCTGGAGTACAGTGGCATGAAATCGGTTCACTGCAACCTCCGCTTCCGGAGTTCAAGCGATTCTCCTGCCTCAGCTTCCCGAGTAGCTGGAATTACAGGCACGCACCACACACCCGGCTAATTTTTTATATTTTTGGTAGAGATGGGATTTCACCATGTTGAACAGGCTGTTCTCAAACTCCTGATCTCAAGTGATCCACCCGCCTCGGCCTCCCAAAGTACTGGGATTACAGGTGTGAGCCACCGTGCCTGGCCTGTCTCTATGAATTTGACTTTTCTAGGGACCTCACGTAAGTGGAGTCATACAGTATCTGTCACTTAGCATAATGTCTTCCAGGACCATCCGTATTGTAGCATGTGTCAAAAGCTGCTTCCTGGCCGGGCGTGGTGGCTCATGCCTGTAATCCAAGCACTTTGGGAGGCCAAGGTGGGCGGATCACGAGGTCAGGAGTTTGAGACCAGCCTGGCCAACATGGTGAAACCCCGTCTCTACTAAAAATACAAAATTTAGCCGGACTTGGTGGTGGGCGCCTGTAATCCCAGCTATTCAGGAAGCTGAGGCAGGAGAACCACTTGAACCCGGGAGGCAGAGATTGCAGTGAGCTGAGATCATGCCATTGCACTCCAGCCTGGGCAACAGAGTGAGACTCCGTCTCAAAAAAAAAAAAAAGCTGCTTCCTTTTTAAGGCTTGAATAATATTCCATTGTATGGATGGACCACACTTTGTTTATTCATGTGGGTTTTTCCTACCTTTTGGCCATTGTGAATCACACTGCTTTGAAGATGAGTGTACAAATCCCTATCTGAGTCCCCACTTTCTACCCTTTTGAGTATATACCTAAAAGTGGAAATGCTGGGCCATAGGCTGGTTCTATGCTTATTTTTTTTGGAGACAGAGTCCTGCTCTGTCGCCCCTGCTAGGCAGGAGTGCAGTAGCATGATCATGGTTCACTGAAGACTCGACCTCCCAGGCTCAAGCGATCCTCCGACTTTAGCCTCCCGAGTAGCTGGGGCTACAGGTACATGCCACTACGCCTGGCTAATTTTAAAATTTTTTTGTAGAGACGGGGGTCTCACTATGGTGCCCAGGATGGTCTCAAACTTCTGGGCTCAAGCGATCTGCCTCAGCCTCCCAAAATGCTGAGATTACGAGCATGAGCCACCGTGCCCAGGCTGGTCAGGCTTTCTTCACTTTCTGGCAGTCTATCCTTGTGGTCCTCTCTTTGGGCCTCTCTTTGTCTATTTGCTGTTTCTCTGGGTCACATTATACCCCTCATAGCCACCCCCACCTTTTATGTCATCGTTCATCAAATATTCATTCATTTCTTCCTTCAATCACAAACATAGCCACTGAACGCTACCTCTGAGCTGCACGGAGCAGAGGTGAGCAGGGCCCATCGTGGCCCTCACGGAGCTCGGAGGCTAGTCCTCCTTTCTGATCCCTGTCTGCCATGCCCCTACATGTCTGTTGTAGCCCCCTCTGGCTCCCATTTCCCATTTCCTGTTTTCACACATCTCTCCATGATGCTGCCATCTCCATTCATTCATGTTTTTGTTGTTGATGTCATATTTTTAAATCCTTATTGATTGCTTTTTAATTACAAACATCATAAATACTCAATAAAACATTCAATCAGTATCGAAGTGGTTAAATTACAAGGAGATAGCCCTCCATTCACTCTTCCCCACCCCTAGTTCTTCCTGAAAAATAACCATTACTAACAGTTTGGGGCTCCACACAGTGGCTTATACCTGTAACCCCAGCACTTTGGGAGGCCTAGGTGGGAGGATTATATGAGCCCAGGAGTTTGAGACCAGCCAGGGCAACATGGCAAGACCCCGTCTCTACAAAAAATTTAAAAAACTAGCTAGGTGAGGCGGCATGCACCTGAATTCCTAGCTACATGGGAGGCTGAGGTGGGAGGGTCGCCTGAGCCCAGGAAGTGGAGGCTGCAGTGACCCATGATCATGCCACTGCATTCCAGCATGGGCAACACAGTGAGACTCTGCCTCAGTAATACCCCAAAAAGCAAACCAGTTTAGTGTGTCACCTTGCAGGCATTTTCTTATGCGTGTGCACTCACACACAAACACACACAATCCAGATTCCATCTTTATCCTAAACCACAAGCCTGCTGTGTGCCTTGCCTTTTTCCTCTGAAGATAATTGTAATATCTAACATCTGTTGAGTATCTCATCTCCTGTGTCTTCACCAGTTCTAAGAGGCAGAAACGCTACATTTGTGGACTTTGAGGCTAAGTGAGGACAGACCCCAAGCTCACAGGAAGCAGTGGGGCTTGGGTCTGAACCTGGAAGTCTTTGTCCCATCTGGAAAGTCATTCTCATCACTACTGAATTCCAAATATGTTCACATTTAATCGTTTGCAAGGGTCTTCCCAGGCCGGAACCTGGACATTATCCTTGTTCTTTTTTTTTTTTTGAGACGGAGTCTCTCTCAGTTGCCCAGGCTGGAGTGCAGTGGCTCAATCTCGGCTCTCTGCAACCTCTGCCTCCCGGGTTCAAGCCATTCTCCTGCCTCAGCCTCCCAAGTAGCTGGGACCACAGGTGCATGCCACCATGCCCGGCTAATTTTTGTATTTTTGTAGAGACAGGGTTTCACCATGTTGGCCAGGCTGATCTCGAACTTGTGAACTTGTGACCTCAAGCGATCTACCTGCCTCGGCCTCCCAAAGTGCTGGGATTACAGGCGTGAGCCACCCCGCCCGGCCTGTCCTTGTTCTTTTGAACAGCTGCAGGGTGCTTTCTTGTCTAGAGAGTGTCATAATCTATTTCACCCTCAGATGGCCACTGGCTTGCTCCCAATTTTTCTCTATTACAAACTGTACTACTTTGAATACTCTGGCTCATGTATCTTTGCTCACTTGATGAGTGTATCTGTGAGATACAATTCTGGAAGTGAATATGTGCATTGTTTGTTTGTTTGTTTGTTTTGAGATAGGGTCTCGCTCTGACGCCCAGGCTGGAGTGCAGTGGTGCCATTATGGCTCACTGCAACCTCTGCATCCCTGGGCTCAAGCGATCCTCCCATCTTAGCTTCCCAAGTAGCTGGGACCACAGGCGTACACCACTACACCTGGCTAATTTTTCTATTTTTTGTAGAGACAGGGTTTCTCCATGTTTCCCAGGTTGGTTTTGAATTCCTAGGTTCAAGCAATCCTCCTGCCTCGGCCTTCCAAAATGCTGGGATTACAGGCATGAGCCACCATTCCCTGCCCTGTGCATTTTAATGTTGTTAAATATTGCCAAATTGCCCTCAGAGAAGGTGATACTGATTTACACTTCCATCAACAATATATGAGAGAGCTCATTTCCCAACACTTGTGTCATGCTGATCATTTAAAAAGCCTCTGTTTGTTTGTTTGTTTGTTTGTTTGTTTGTTTGTGACAGAGTTTCGCTCTTGTTGCCCAGGCTGGAGTGCAATGGCACAATCTCGGCTCACTGCAATCTCCACCTCCTGAGTTCAAGTGATTCCCCTGCCTCAGCCTCCCAAGTAGCTGGGATTACAGGCATGTGCCACCATGCCCATCTAATTTTGTATTTTTAGTAGAGACGGGATTTCTCCATGTTGGTCAGGCTGGTCTCGAACTCCTGACCTCAGGTGATCCGCCCACTTCGGCCTCCCAAAGTGCTGGGATTACAGGCATGAGCCACTGCGCCTGGCTAAAAGCCTCATTTTTAACTTACATTTCTTTATTAATGAGAGTAAGGATTTTTTACACATCCTTAGTGGATGTATGCATTTCTTCTATGAATTATTCATCATGTTCTTGACTATTTTGATTTGTGATTTTCTTTTTTTTTTTTTTTCTTTTGAGGTGGAGTCTCACTCTGTCATCCAGGCTGGAGTGCAGTGGTGCCATCTCAGCTCACTGCAAGCTCCGCCTCCTGGGCTCACACCATTCTCCTGCCTCAGCCTCCCAAGTAGCTGGGACTACAGGAGCCCGCCACCACGCCCGGCTAATTTTTTGTATTTTTAGTAGAGACGGGGTTTCACCGTGTTAGGCAGGATGGTCTCGATCTCCTGACCTTGTGATCCACCCACCTCGGCCTCCCAAAGTGCTGGGATTACAGGCGTGAGCCACCGCACCTGGCCAATTTGTGATTTTCTTTCTTTCTTTCATCCTCTCCTCTCCTCTCCTCTCCTCTCTTCTTTTCTCTCAGGGTTTTGCTCTGTCTTCTAGGCTGGAATGCAGTGGTGCAATCTTGGCTCACTGCAGCCTCAACTTCCTGGGCTCAATCAATCCTCCCTCCTCAGCCTCCCAAGTAGCTGGGACTACAGGCACATGCCACCATGCCTAGCTACCTTTTGTATTTTTTGGTAGAGACAGGTCTCCCTATGTTGCCCAGGCTGCTCTTGAACTCCTAGGCTCAAGCAATCCTCCCACTTCCACCTCCCAAAGTGCTGGGATCACAGGTGTGAGCCACCACGCTCAGCTTTTGTCTTTCACTGATGGTAGGGACTATATTTATTATGGATACTAACCTCCTATATGTGCTGCAAGTACTTTTCTCCCAGCTTGCCCTGCATTTTAAAACTTTGTGGTGTCTTTTGCGCTTGCCCACCAACCTATGTATCCTTGAAGGTCATGCTTCTCATCGATATCGAGCTGGCTTACATGAACACCAACCATGAGGACTTCATAGGCTTTGCCAAGTGAGTGCTCCCCCAGGCAAAAAGTGAGTGCTCCCTGGGCAGAGAAGGTAACGTGTGTGTGTGTGTGTGTGTGTGTGTGTGTGTGTGTGTGTGTGTGTGTGTAGAGCCCAGGTCTGCTAGGTTAACCCTCTGGGTCCTGTGCCCACTAAGCAGTGGGCAGTAGAGCTGGGCCTCTTGAGAAGTTCTGAGACTCCTCCCCTCCCTCCCATTAGTGCTCAGCAGAGGAGCAACCAGATGAACAAGAAGAAGACTTCAGGGAACCAGGTGAGTGGGGCCCAGCACCCCAGCCCGAGGGATGGAGGGTGCCGGACGGACACCAGACTCTGAGAGCCCCCTCCCCTGAGGGGAAGGGTCCCACGGGGGCCAGGGACCTGTCAGCTGCCAGCCACAAGCCTCCCACTCTGCCTCAGTAACCCTCTCTCCTCTCTCCCCGATGCCTCTCGTGGTTGCTATGGTTACCTCTTTGCAGGATGAGATTCTGGTGAGTACCAGGACTGGGGCTCTCGGCTTGTGTAGTGAGGGGGCGGAGGGTCCATCGGCAGTGGGGATCTGCAACGGGTAGGAGGGCACCCTTTGGCTGAAGCTGCTTGTACACACCAGCCCCTGGCATTTCACACCTGCCCTCAGGCCAGAGGCAGGCCCAGCCGCATCCACCCGTCCATCTGTGTGCACGAGCCAAGCACCTACTTCAGGCAGAGCTAGACCGTGTGGGGCTGGGTGGGTGAGAAGGCTGGGCCTGGCACGGAGTAGGTGCTCCTTAAACATCTGCTGGATGGAGGGATGCACGTGAGCAAGACACATTTTTAAGAAGCTGACAGCCATCGCCTCCGGACTTGAATGAAGAGACGAATGAGAAGTCAAGAGAAGTCAAGAAGTCACTGCTCACCTGGCCTCCTGCTCTCTGTCCTTAGATGTCTGCGGAAACATCCCTCGTCAGAAGCGCTTGCTCAGTTGTACACATGAGCCCGAGGGTCCTCAGCTTTTCTTTCCATAGGTTCCAGAGGCCGTAGTTTCTTTGTAAGACTCTAGGTGTTTATGTGATTATTGGCTTAATGTCTATTTCCTTCCCAGGCCCCATAAGGGGAGGGCTGAGTCTGTCCCGTTTATCATTAAATCCTCAGCTCAAGCCCCTAGCCTGGCACGCAGTAGGTGCTCAACAGAATGAAGGGAGGAATGAATGTAGTATCAGGACAATTCAATTCAGCCAACACTAGCTGGTGCCTACACGGTGCTGGCCCCTGGACAGGACGTGGAGACCTGGGCCTGCTGGTAGGGCCCAGCTAAGGCCCCTGAGAGCTCCATGCAGGGTGGGAGTTGGGAGAGCAGGAGGTCCCTGGTGCAGGGCTGCAGAGAGGGCTTAGGATGAGCAGAGAGGAGTTCAGGGCTGGGTGTGGCCAAGGGGGAGGACAAAGACTACAAGTTAGGGTGGGGAGCAGGTGGCAAGATCTGCTGGTCACATCGTGGGACACAGTGGACTCAATTCCAAAGACAGTGACAAGACCCTGTGGGGATCCTCGCCTGATCAGGAAGGGGTGAGAGAGGCAGCTGGTGTTCTCCCCTCAGCTCAACTGCTGCTGGGCTGTGCAGCTTGGGTTCTCAGCGAGGTTCTCAGGGAACCAGAGAGGCATAAGGAGGGCTCCAGAAGCAAGCCTGGCCCCAGAGGGCTTTGCCGCCAGCCCCAGGCCTCCTTGGGTCTTCTCTGGATGCTCAGAGAAGAAGCTGGGGAGGTCAGCGTCCAGGAGGGAGCAGAAGCAGCTGCCTCATCCTCTCGATCTGACCCATGACCAGTACCTGGCCAGTGACCCTACCCCTGAAGTAGAATCCACAGGCCCTGGACCGTGGCCATGGCTCTGGACAGTCCTGGGGACAGCTGCTTCCTGCCATGAAAAGGGACCTTAGCTTGTTACTCTAGGCACTTTGTGGCTCAGCCCTTGCCCCTGGGGACCTGGAGCCAAAGACCCTTAGAACCGTACTATCATAGCTTTTATTTATTCATACTACAAATATGTATTGATCACTTACTATCTGCCAGGCCCTCTGCAAGGTGCTGGGATGTACTAGTGACCAACAGTTCATGATTTAGCAGGGGAGGCTGCATCGACAGATAATCACACACACGCACGTAGAGAAGTTAATTAAAAATCGAAGCCCTTGTTACAGAAGTCGACTTCAGGGAGTGATCAAAGATCATTATGGGAATCCTGATTTATACTGGGGGACAGGAAGGGGCTGCCTGAGAATGTGAATCCTGAGCTGATACTCAAAGGCTGAGTAGGAATTTGCCAGGCAAAAAGGAAAAAGTGCTTTCTAGGCAGAGGCGGCAGCAGCATGTGTAAAGTCAGAAACACATCTCAGAACAGATGAGACCTTAAGCTTCCAAGACTCGCAGTTGGCTTCCCCAATCGGCCCCATAAACTCTGCTTGCATACTTTTAGTGACAGGGAGCTCATCCCCTACCCAGGCCTCCAGTCCCTTAACTCGGCCAGGTCTGCCTGTCAAAGGCTCTTTATCCTGAGCTGATCTCTGCCTTCCTCTGTCTTCCACTCTGTTCACTTGTGGTTCAAACCAAGGCAGGTCTGGCCCCCACCCTCCCTGACTGCCAGGCCTCAGAGAGCTGGGAGAGGGGTGGGGTTTCGAATGCCTCTCTTTGCCTACCCCATCCCCCATGGGGAGGCTCAGGCCCTGTCCACTGACCTCCTGCCCCATCACCCTCCAGGTCATCCGCAAGGGCTGGCTGACTATCAATAATATTGGCATCATGAAAGGGGGCTCCAAGGAGTACTGGTTTGTGCTGACTGCTGAGAATCTGTCCTGGTACAAGGATGATGAGGTGAGTCAAGGGCCAGTGGTCATCAAGGGGCTGGGCTGGTGGACAGAGTCAGGCTCAGACCCTCCCATGGGCTTGGAGTGGGCTAGACCATGGAATAGGGTTTTAAAATGTCTCGTCAAAGATCCGTGGGCAGGCTGGGTGTGGTGGCTCACACCTATAATCCCAGCACTTTGGGAGGCCGAGGCAGGTGGATCACCTGCGGTCAGGAGTCCGAGACCAGCCCGGCCAAAATGGTGAAACCCCATCTCTACTAAAAATACAAAAATTAACCAGGTGTGTTGGCGGGCGCCTGTAATCCCAGCTACTAGGGAGGCTGAGACACAAGAATGCCTTGAACCCGGGAGGCGGAGGTTGCAGTGAGCCGAGATCGCACCATTGCACTCCAGCCTGGGCAACAGAGTGAGACTCCATCTCAAAAAAAAAGGATCCACGGGTGGAGTTGGGATGCAAGGGTCCAAGGCAGGTGACCCTGGGGGTTCAGGGGGAGGCACCCTCTCACCCAGGTTGGAAGGAGAAGGTAGCTTGGCAGGACTGAGGAGCCTGGGGCTAAGCGCCCTGGGGAGGGTGGGCAGGGGACTTGGGTGCCCCTCCCTGACCCTGCAGCCCAGCAGCCTTCCTGTTTTCCCGCTGCAGGGCGTGCCGCCTCCTCTGTGGCCCCCACAGGCCCATGACACACACAAGTCTAGCTGCCAGACACCCGGTTAACCCCTGCACCCCAGTCCCCTAGACCCCTGCAGTCCAAGGGAAATGACCAGGGTGCCCTCAGGCTGAGGGGCAAGGAGTGTGGGGGCCCTGCCGAGGTGCCACAAAAAACCCCTCCCCGCCCACTAGGGTGCACAGAAGCCCCTGCCACCTCCTTCCCCTGTTGCTGGTCTCCTTTAAGAATGAGTCTATTTGGCTTTCACATCTGGATTCCAGAGGTGACCAGAGAGAATGGGGAGGGCTGGGGGTGGGCTTGTGGTAATGAACTCCAGCTGGCCAAGGAGTGGGGGAAGGGACCCTCTTCTTCCTGAGGGGGCTGTTGGAGGCTACAGCATCCTCAACGGGGGAGCGGGGCTCTGGGTGGGGCCTGTGATTTTGGCCTCCAAGCCCCCTCCCAGGTCCCTGTCTCCTCCAAGTTTGTCCTGGGCAGGGGCCCCAACTCTCCACCTTGGGAGGGGCCCTCTGTCGTCACTGGCGGGGGCGCCAAGCCATCTGGACCTCATTACCCCAACCCTGGCCTCCCCCACCATGGGGGCCCCTGGAAGGGATGGAGTGTGCAGTGGCATGGGGTGCGGGTGGGGGGTGGCTTCCTGCCGGTCTCTCTGCAGGCTCCCTAGATGCCCCCATGGGTTTGGGGTCTCCCATGTTGAGGTTCCTTACTCAGGGCCAGGGAGACCATGTGACCTGGGGCTGAGGGCCGGAGACCGGGTGACACTGTGGGGGAGGGGCACGTGCCACTGAGGGGGTCCCCTGATCTCATGCCTGAGCCTGCAGGCCTTTCTGGAGCTTTTGTGTACATCTGAGTTAAGTCGTGTGCGAAAACAGCTCTGAGAATCATATGTGGGGAGATGGGAGTCAGCTGTGGGCTGTGGGTGCTGGGAGGCGGGGTGTGTTTGTGTGTGTGTGTGTGTGTGTGTGTGTGGCTTGTGGGTCTGGTGTGTGGGTGTTTTTTAGGAGTGTGATTGGAGTATAAGCATCTAGGTGTGTTTGGAATATGTGGTCTGCATTTGCATCTGGGGGTGAAATCTGTGTGCCTGGGGAGTGACTCTGGGCACCTGCCTGTGCTTGGGGTGTAAAAGCAGGTGTGTGTGGGGAGGGGGCTCTAGGAGGGAGGGTGTGAGTATGGGGTGTTTGAGAATCTGTGTATGTCTTTGGGATGTGAGGATGGGGGGAGTGTTCCAGTTGTGAGGGTGTGTATGGGTGTGTGTGCATGCACTTGTGTGTGTCCGTGTGGGACATGGGTGTGAGATTGAAAGTGTGGGGGTGCTCATGTGTGTGAGTTCTGGGGCTGTGAGTGTCAAGGTGCGTGTGTGTTGAATGTGAGTGGATTCTTGCACTAGGACCACTGGGGATGTGGAGGTGGTCCAGGCTGGTGGGAGAGTGGTCTGTACTTCTCTACTCAACCACCAGCCCTCAGGTTTTGGGGTGAGGGAGGCTCTTTGGGCAGACCGGCGGCTGCCCACATCCCCAGTCCCCATTGACCCCCCCATCCTCTCAGTCTTCCTCGGCCACCCTTCCCCCATCACCGCTACCCCCAACCAGTCCCACACAGGGTGGCACCCCCATCCATCTGTGCCTCCTCCCAGCCCGCCCTGTGCCCCAACCCCCTGGCTCCAGGCTCCGGTTCTGGGATGGCAGGCAGGGGTCGGTCCAGCTCTCCAGTGGCGGCGGTGCCGAGGGTCTAACCCAGCCCAGCCTAACCAATGTGCAGACTACTGTACAATTTGGGAGTCCTGAACAGATAGTCTAAACACTGGGTAGACGGAGTGGAGGTGTCCTCTGGTCCATCCAGGCAGCAGTGTCTGTCCATCCGGTGGGCGCTTCAGCCCCATCCCCTGGAGATCCGAGAACCCCCCAACCCCAGCCTGTGTCCCCCTAGCCCCAGACCAGCCAGCCCGTGGTCCCCTCTCTGCTCCCAACTCCCCTTCTGCCTCCTTTGACGTGGCAGGGGTGAGCGGGAGCTGGGGCTGAGAAGGAGGGGCCTGAGGAGGGGGCCGGCCGGCAGGAAGGGAGGGGTGGGGGGAGGAGGCCGCTCCTACCTAGTGTCCAACCCCGAAGCACAGGGCGGGTGGTGGCGGGGCCTCTCTCGAACGGTTCCAGATGTTCCCTGGCCGTGTGTGCAACTTCCTCCTCTCCTCCCCCAGCCGCCCTCTGGGGCTCCCGGCCACCCGCCTGGCATAAAGAGGGCTTTATGTGGCTGCATGGGCCAGGGGGGCGTTGGGGGCAGAGAGGGGTGGGCGGGATGACGCCAGGACGGGGGAGCAAGGTCCCCCTAAACCCAGCCCCCCACCTGAGATCCTAGGCAAGGCTCATGCCCAACCTCTTTGAGTCCCCGAGGCCCACACAGACGACCCCCGTGAACAAGTAGGGCATGGGTGACAAAAACCCCTCCCCTCTCCCAGAGCCCCATCCTGGGGTACCTCCTCCCTAGATCCCTGAACCCCTCCCCTGGGACACAGCAGCCTACATACACATGTGCCCACACCGAGCACACACATGGGCCTAGCACCCCACACGCCTGTGCACAGATACACATAACTCCTCCCAGACAGCTCTAGATAAATCAAACACACAGCCCATTGTACCACGGTGTGCAGGTAAGATGTGTACCCCAGTATAAGTCCACAGGCATGGCTCTGCAAACATGTAGGCTCGCACAATTGCCACACACATCCACAAAGTGTGCACACATCCACACTGAGATGCAGACACGCTGACACCGACACATGGTTCATGCTGGGCACCTCCCCAGATACACATGTGCACACACACACAATAGCTGATAGGATATGTACTTGGGCTTGCATGTGTTGGCACAAACACACAACTACACACATGTTGCACACACAGGCACACCATCTCCAGGCTTGTGCTGGCTGCCTTATTGCTAACACATGGGGAGCTCGGGGGAGTGGGCTGAGCCGGCCCTTTGAAGCCGCCGGGTCTGGTGGCCCCCCTTCCTGGTCTCTGCAGTCAGGAAATGAAGTCAGAGGCGGCCAGGCCGGGGGTGAGAGAGGCCTGAGTGTGCGGTCCCTGCCTGAGGCTGGCCTGGCTTGTATCCAGGACTTGCCTGGGGAGGGATTTTGGGAGCCACTCTCAGCCTCCCCACCCCTCACCAGCCCCCTGGCCCCCGGCATATATGCAGAGCTGGTAGGACTGGCTCTGCGGGGGTCGGCGGTGCCCAGGAGGCCTACGGTCCGTGGCCAGGCTTTTATCTAGCTGCACCTTCGCAGTGGGAGGGGGCTGATGCTTAGAAGCCCTGGGCCAGTCAGGGGGACTCTTAGAGAGTGAGGTGTGGCAGAGAACAGTGCCAACCTCACCCCATTGCTCCTACCTGCACCCACAGGAGAAAGAGAAGAAATACATGCTGTCTGTGGACAACCTCAAGCTGCGGGACGTGGAGAAGGGCTTTATGTCGAGCAAGCATATCTTTGCCCTCTTTAACACGGAGCAGAGGTGCCTGCCTGCCCCTGGCTGTGGCTGCTGCAGCCCCAAAACCACCCTCACTGAGTAGAAGCTGGGTACAGGGATCCAGGGAGGAGAGGAACCTCCCCTAGGCCCCACAGCAAGCCATCCACTGACAGATGCTTATTGAGTTCCTGCTTTGAGCTAGACATCATGTCAAGATCTCCCATCCCCTCCCCTTCCCTTCCCTCCTCCTTCCCTCCCTCTTTTCCTTCCTCCCTTCCTTCCTTCCATCCTCCCTCCTTTCCTCCCTCCCTCCCTTCCTCCCTTCCTTCCATTCTCCCCTTCCCTCCCTCCCTCCGTCCCTTCCTCCCTTCCATAGTCACTGGTATAGTGCATGCTCTTCATGAGACACTCTGCCAGGCACTGGAGCCAAAGGGCCCTAGTCAGGCCTGGTCCTCTTCTCCTGCTCTCTTTCCTATAGGGTGGTGGCAGTACTAGTCCTCTTCCTTCCTGACCCAAGGCTGACTCTAGTGGGCCCTCTGCTACTCGGAGATGAGAGTTCAGTCCAGCGGCCATCAGAGGGGTCCTTAGAGAGCCACGGAGAAAGCTGGTGGGATCTGGGCCCCAAGCTAGAGACTTCACTGACTATGGTTGTCCTCTTGTCAAAGGTCCAGTCCCCTTCTAAGCATTTTACCACTCACTTCACTGAATCCTCAGTGACCCAAGGAGGCAGGAATTATTATTAACCCATCTTCCCAGTGAGGAAACTGAGGCTGAGAGGAAGGGACTTGCACAGGGTCACACAGCTGGGAAATGAGCTGGCCTCAGGCATGTTGACCCCAAAGTCTGGGCATGCCCTTAACCCCCAGGGAGGGTCAGACTTTGCCCATCTGCCCTCACTGCCTGCCCTATCTTGCAGGAATGTCTACAAGGATTATCGGCAGCTGGAGCTAGCCTGTGAGACACAGGAGGAGGTGGACAGCTGGAAGGCCTCCTTCCTGAGGGCTGGCGTGTACCCTGAGCGTGTTGGGGTGAGTGGCAGGGCAAGGAGAGGAAGGGCAAGCATGATCCTAGGGCCCCTGGGGCACCATCCTCAGTGATGCCAAGTCATGCCATGTTTCCGAGCCCTTATTTGGCTCAGAAATAATAGGAATCCTCCCCCCTACCCACTCTGGGGGTGGGAACAGAGATAAGTCTCCTGGTATTCCCATCCTTCTCCAGTGGCAGTTTTGTGTCTCTGTCTCTGTTGCAGATGGCATTTCCTCCATCCCCTTTCTATGATGGTAGTTTCTTGTGACTGCCTTCTCTTTTCTCCCCTATTTCACTGTGGCGATGTCTAGAGTAGCCTGAGAGTTGGGGTGCAGTATCCCAGGTTCACTCAATCTCTCCCCTTTTCCTCTCTGTGTTTCCTTCGGCTGTGCTCCCTGGTGGTGGCGGCGGTGGCAATGTTGGTGTGTGGGCCTCCCAGGACAAAGAGAAAGTGAGTGTGCCCTTCTCTTGCCTCCTGCCAGGCATCTGCAGCCTGGCACCAGCTCCAGCCAGGTTTTCAAGCAAGGGACCTGGAGATGTTCTTTTCTAATTTCTGGATTGGGGCCAGGCGCAGTGGCTCACACCTGTAAACCCAACACTTTGGGAGGCCGAGGTGGGCGGATCACAAGGTCAGGAGTTCGAGACCAGCCTGGCCAACACGGTGAAACCCCACCTCTACTAAAAATACAAAAATTAGCCAGGCATGGTGGTGCGCGCCTGTAATCCCAGCTACTCAGGAGGCTGAGGCAGGAGAATCGCTTGAACCCAGGAGGAGGTTGCAATGAGCCAATACAGCACCACTGCACTCCAGCCTGGGTGACAAAGCAAGACTTTCTCAAAATAATAATAATAATAATTTCTGGATTGGGAAATTGAGGCAAATTCTAGGCACTAGAGTCAGAACCAAGACAAGGCTGAATCAGGGGAGTCTAGGGTCCTGAGAGGCACAGGGATGCGGAGCCAGGTATGTATTCAGGCCAGTCGCTTCTCTCTGTGCCTCAATATTCTGGGTACCCTTGGAGGGGCTGAGATCCTGGGGATGCCTGGAGCCTGGCTGCATGGCCTGGCCACCTGATGCCCTTGTGTTCTCCATGGCAGGCCAGCGAGACCGAGGAGAATGGCTCCGACAGCTTCATGCATTCCATGGACCCACAGCTGGAACGGCAAGTGGAGACCATCCGGAATCTTGTGGACTCATACATGGCCATTGTCAACAAGACCGTGAGGGACCTCATGCCCAAGACCATCATGCACCTCATGATTAACAATGTGCGTGCTCCACTGCATGGGGGCAGGGAAATCCTGTGGCACTGGGGATGCAGGTGGCCATGTTGGCCTGGGGGAGATGCCAACCAGCCCTATGGGACCAGGTCCAGGGAGGGAGGCACGGTCCAGACCAGAGCTGTCCAATAGAAATATCATGAGGGGCTGGGCGCGGTGGCTCACACCTGTAATCCCAGCACTTTGGGAGGCCAAGGCAGGTGGATCACGTGAGGTCAGGAGTTTAAGACCAGCCTGGCCAACATGGTGAAACCCCATCTCTACTAAAAATAGAACAATTAGCCAGGTGTGGTAGCGTGAGCCTGTAATTGCAGCTACTCGGGAGGCTGAGGCAGGAGAATCACTTGAACCCAGGAGGCGGAGGTTGCAGTGAACCGAGATCCTGCCACTGCACTCCAGCCTGGCCGACAGAGCGAGACTCCATCTCAAAAAAAAAAAAAAAGAAGAAGAAATATAATGAGGGGCTGTGCACGGTGGCTCATGCCTGTAATCCCAGCACTTTGGGAGGACAAGGCAGGAGGATCACTTGAGCCCAGGAGTTCAAGACCAGCTTGGGCAACACAGTGAGACTTTGTCTCTACACAAAAATTTTAAAGAATAGCGGGGGTTGGCCGGGCGCGGTAGTTCATGCCTGTAATCCCAGCACTTTGGGAGGCCGAGGTGCGCAGATCACCTGAAGTTGGGATTTTGAGACCAGCCTGACCAACATGGAGAAACCCCATCTCTATTAAAAATACAAAATTAGCCGGGCGTGGTGGCACATGCCTGTAATCCCAGCTACTCAGGAGGCTGAGGCAGGAGAATTGCTTGAACCCGGGAGGCGGAGGTTGCGGTGAGCTGAGATTGTGCCATTACACTCCAGCGTGGGTAACAAGAGTGAAACTCCGTCTCAAAAAAAAAAAAAAGAATAGCTGGGGTTGGTGGTAGCACGTGCCTGTAGTCCTAGCTACTGGAGAGGCTGACATTGGAAGATAACTTTGAGCCCAGGAGGTTGAGGCTACAGTGAGTGGTAATCTCCCCACTGTACTCCAGCCTGGTGAAAGAGCGAGACCCTATCTCCAGGAAGAAGAAAAAAAAAAACAACTGAGTAGACAAGAGTTCTGGTGGCATGATAGGTCCTAAGTCCCCTCCCGGTTCTGTGACCTTGGTCAGATGACTTTTCCTGTGGACCTCAGTGTCCTCATCTGAGTGAGAAAAGCGCGGTGGGGAGGTGAATCTTCCAGTCTACGCAGTGTAGGAGCCGCGTCTGAAAAGCCACACCAGCTCACAGTCCCAGCAGGGCCCGGTGGGGCGGCCAGGGCGGCACAGGCATCAGGTCCCCACCTCCTTCCCTCTTTGCCTACTCGCAGACCAAGGAGTTCATCTTCTCGGAGCTGCTGGCCAACCTGTACTCGTGTGGGGACCAGAACACGCTGATGGAGGAGTCGGCGGAGCAGGCACAGCGGCGCGACGAGATGCTGCGCATGTACCACGCACTGAAGGAGGCGCTCAGCATCATCGGCGACATCAACACGACCACCGTCAGCACGCCCATGCCCCCGCCCGTGGACGACTCCTGGCTGCAGGTGCAGAGCGTACCGGCCGGACGCAGGTACCAGGGCCGGCCCCCACGGCCCCAAAGCCCCCCAGCCCGGGGCCCGCGGGAGGAATGCCGGGACCGGGCAGTGGCGCGCCCGCGTCACCGGGGTGGCTCCCACCTGGAGCGAGGGGCGGAGCTTAGAGAGGGCGGGGCTTGTCGCGGGGCGGGGCTTGCCGTGGAGAGCTGGCTGCAAGGCTGGGTGGAGCTGGGGCGTTGGCGCCGCTGGGGGCGGGGCTTAAGCTCCGGCGACCGCCTTAGGGGTGCGGCAGGGAGGGGCTTGCGTGCATGGGCGTGGCCAGCACTGGGCTGGGGCGGGGCCTCTGGGTGGGCGGAGCTGCTCATCTCGCCTCTCCTTGTTCCTCGCTCCCTGTCGCCCTCAGGTCGCCCACGTCCAGCCCCACGCCGCAGCGCCGAGCCCCCGCCGTGCCCCCAGCCCGGCCCGGGTCGCGGGGCCCTGCTCCTGGGCCTCCGCCTGCTGGGTCCGCCCTGGGGGGGGCGCCCCCCGTGCCCTCCAGGCCGGGGGCTTCCCCTGACCCTTTCGGCCCTCCCCCTCAGGTGCCCTCGCGCCCCAACCGCGCCCCGCCCGGGGTCCCCAGGTGAGTAGGGGCTGAATGCGGCTGGAGAGGCTGCCGGACGGGCGTGGCCGGGAGGGAAATGGGGCTGGATTCCAGAGCATCGGACCTGGCCGCCAGAACCGGCCGTTTCTATCCCAGGCAATCGGACTCTGGGTGCCGGAGCCACGCCACGTGTGGCCGAGGGCTGGCGGAGCCTGCCCCCGAGGGAGCGCTGAGTCCCGGAGGTGGTCGTTTCTGGGGAGGGGGCTGTGGGGCTCGTCCCACCTGCCCCCTTCTTTCCAGCACTTGCATGGCGCTTCCCTCTATTTTCACTCTTGGCGGCCGCCCACACGTTGCATTCCTCCTCCTTTCTTCTTCTTGCTGTCCTCCATCCTCCATTCCGTCCAATTCCTCTCCCAGCCCCTGGGGAGCCTACCTTAGGTCTGACTCTGAACCCCGATCTGCTCTGAGTGTGTGGATTTCCTTCAGCTACCCTGATGTCCCCACTTCCCAGCCCTGACTCCTTTGAGCCATCCCAGGGGGTGTCCAGCCACTGGCCCACAGGAGCAGAGGCCAGGCTGTGACTGTGTGACTAGAAAGGTGTGTGATGTGTGTGTGGGCGTGCACACGAGTGTGAGAGTGTAAGCATGGCACCCAGGCCCGGGCTAGGACAGGAGCAGCTGGGGAAGCAGCCTGGGCCGTGGGCAAACTGATGGCTTTTTTCCTCCCCCCAACCACCCCCTCCGCGACTTCTGGCCCTACCCAGTCTAAACCAATGTGGTAGGGGTGGCGGCAGGGGCAGGGATGGGAGTGCTTGAAGCCTGCTTCATTCCCAAAGATTTCTAGGGAAAAGCTTTCTACTACATCCTTTGGCTTGACCTTCTTGACCCATGACTCTCTTTCAAGGAAGTTCACTCCAATTCCCAGTCTGCCCTGTTTCCACTGGCCACATTCTCTAAGGAAGAACACAGCAGAACAATAGCATCTGTTTTGTTTCTGCATGGCTGGAGGGTAGGGCTGTCGGTCTAGCACCCATAAACCAAAATGAGGCAGGGATTGGGGCTTGCCCTATGATGCTCTGATGACCAAAGCAGATGCGTAGAGGCAAGCAGCATGGTATTGGGCAAGAGGACTGGACTGGGAGTCCAGAGATGCTGCTTCACCCTGGGCCTTTAGACACGTCTCTTTCCCTCCCAGAGCCTCAGCATCCCTTCTATCAAATGATGACATTCTGCCTTTTTCCCAGGGCGGTTGTGGGGATCGAGGGAGACAGTGGCTATAGGGATGCTGTGTTAACTGCAGATGCAGCCGTAGGAGCACTTTGCTAACTGCCAACGTGAGTTCAGATTCTTCAGGGTATTTGGCACCCAGGTCTATGGTGCGGTGTGAGATCTGTGATGTAAGGTTTGATGCCTGCCCCAACTCCAGTCTTGCTAACACACATGAAACATTTGGCAAATCATGACCCTACCTTGGGGAAAAGAGCAGTCTGGGAGAGCTTCTTCAAGGCAACCTGACTTCAGTGCAGTCTGAGGCATGGCTGAGATAGGCTTACGTGGCAAGGAATCAGGAGGGTATCTGGGCCAAGAGCTGCAGTGTGGGCAGAGGTGTAGTGTGGGCTGCAACGAGGACAGCCACTGGACAAAGCAGAGAACAGAGACAGAATGAGGAAGAGCTCTGTGGGCAGGGTGGGGCGCAAGGTGGAGAACCTTCAAAGTCTGAAAAGTTTGACTTGTTGGGGCTCAATGCTGTGGGCAGTAGGGAACCACAGAAGGCTCTTAGGTGGAGAAATGACAGCTGGACTTTAGCGAGCAAGCCCTATCTCCATGAGCAGCACGGGTGATCCTCTAAGCACACCAGGCACGAGTGTGCAGGGAGCTGGTGCAAATGCCTCTGTGTGCGGGTGAGCTTCTGTGTTGTGACTCTGCCCACACGTGTGCTTCAGTGTGCTGAGTGGCTGCATGCCCCAGATCCATGCTGCACGCGCCGCCGGCCAGTGAGGGTGCTGGGCACTGGGAGGTGGCGGGGAAGGAGGCGTATGCGTGTTGTTTGTGGGCATGTGTGTTAGCGTGTGCATGTGGGCCATGGGGCCTCACAGCATGTGTGTGCACGCCCGGGCGTGTGCGTGTGTGTGTCCCCCACCCCCAGGCCGGCCCCACCCGTGCGTGTGAACTGCCATGTTGATTTCGTGCTGTCTTTCAGAATCACTATCAGTGACCCCTGAGGAGCGTCAGCCATGGTAGGTACATGCCTCACCGCCTGCTGCATGAACGGTGTGTCTGCCCCGCTGCACTAGCTCCACACGGGGCGCGCACCTGGGACCTCAGAGCCAGGCTCCCCGCCCCTCCCTTCTGCAGCTGCAGACTTGCTCTTTCCTCTTTCTGTCCTTGTGCCGCTGGCTCTCTCACCTCCCTTCCCTGCGAGCCTCGGGACTCAGTGCCACTGCCCAAGGCCTCCATGGCTGAGCCTGGAGGCTCTTGGAACAGGCTCCGCGCCCAAGCTGGCAGACATGGGTGCTCTCTGGAGCCGTCAGAGAGGGCAGAGAGCTCGTGGTTTATGGTGTAAAGGCTGGGAGCTTGGAGGGGGTCGTGTGTGGGGCTGGACTCTGAGGCGGCCAGAGGCCTAGGAACGTTATCCTGGGCACACCGTGCGTGGTGTGCAGTCTGAGTCATGCTCCCTGGGTAGGGCATCCAGCTCCCAGCCTGGGAGTGCTGAGAGCCAAATCCACCGTAGAGCAGGGGTGAGAGTCAGGGTCCCACCTCCTCTATCTGCCGGCAATCCAGTGGTGACCTAGGGTAAAAGCTTGAGAGTCCCATACACACGGTCATCCCACGACATACCTCACAGGCCAGGCAGGGACACACAGCCCCCTTCCCTCCCTCCCAGGTACCGTCATAGCTGCTAGTGTGACTGAAGGCAGTGTCCCTGGCCCCAGCTGAAGCACCGTAGCCAGCCAGCGGGCTCACGCACCTTGGCCTGTTGCTCCTAGGGTCACTTGTGCCATTCAGCCAAGGGGACGACCGTGCCTGCTGGCCCAGCTGAGCTCCGCCCAGTGAGCCCACCCCCCATTCTCCTGCCACTGACTCTCGCTCTTCTGCTTTTCCCAGCAGGAAGGGCCCAGCCTCACCTACGAGACCTGCAGCCCCCCGACCAGCTGAGGCTCCCCTCTTAGACTTATAAGTCTATGGCCACTGGCATCCGGCTGCCTGCCCTCCCTGCCTCCCCCAGGGTCCCTTCAGAGGGTCCTGGGTTTTCTGAACACCCAGAGGGGCCTCCGGCGCTCCCTCCAGCCATCCCTTTTAGTTTCACCCTCCTGGTTCAAGCAGTGTTCTTTCTCTATCAGGCCTGGTGGCTGTTGCATGGGGCTCCCCAAGGCAAGGGGTGGCCCCAGGCCAGTGGGTTGGAAGACAGGGTGACCAGAGAAGAGGGAAGCCCGAGGGGGCCGAGCATCAGCCTGAATTGCGGGTGCCCTGCCTGGGTGCCGTGTGAGAGGCCAGCGTGTGTGGGGTGGGGAGGGCCGCCACAGCCCCCAGGCGCTATCTGTGAAGCTACGGCTCCTCCCTCCATCTTCCTCCCCTTTCCCTTCCAGCCCCTTTTCCAGGAACCTTGCCACACCCACACCTGCAGCCTCCCCTCCCCGGCCCTCCCACCACTGCTGCGGCGCGGCCGGCCCCGGCCGTGTGCTGCGCTTGCCTTACCAGCTCTCTCCTCGCTTTTCTCTCCCGTTTTCTCTCTGCTTTCTCTCCAACTGCCAGCCGATCGGGTCAGGCAAGTCCATCCCGTCCTGAGAGCCCCAGGCCCCCCTTCGACCTCTAAACAGATCCCTCCTCTTCTCGGAGACCTCCCTTTCCAAGCCTGCCTGGACGGCTGTTCTGTGACTTGACAGTGGCTCCCCCAGCCCCAAAGCCAGCCCCCTTCATCTGTGACTTAATCTGTTGTAGTGGTGAGCTGATACATTCAGGTGTGACCGTTGGTGAAAACTTGTGCCCCTTCTGTGGTATGCCCTTGCCCTGTTCTATAAATATCTATAAATACTCATATATATACACACCTACACATGGCCAACCGCCTCGCCTCTAGCGCTGGGAATCAGTCACTGTGCTATCCTTGTGGAGTCTTGTGGCCCAACTACCAGAGAACGCTGTCCCCCGACATCCCACTCCAAAGTGTGCCACCTCCAGTGAGCCTCCTTGTCATGCCCGGCCTGTGGACAGCCAGCCCCCGCCATCCCTCCCACCCCCTACCAAGCATGGGGGTGCTGTGCAGGCAGCCGTGTGGCCTGACAGTTTCTACCAGTCCTGCTGTCCCTCGGCTGAGAATAAAACCCATTTCTGGATGATGGGGAATGTCTCCTCTGCTGGTTGTGTTCTCTCTGGAGCTCAGGGGAGGGGAAGGGCTAAGCCATTACTAGGGTGCTGCTGGGGGTGGTGAAAAGACCACATCTTTTCCAAGGGACATTTTTCCTGGAAAGCCCCTGGAGCTTAGGGGGCTCTCATCCTGTGAAGCGGGCTCTGGCCACTAGGGGGCAGGGCCATTAACTCAGCCTGGAGGGCGCCGGCAGGGCGGCTGGCATTCTGGAGGGACAGACAGAACAGGCCACCAGGCTCAGGCAGGCGAGGGAGGCAGGGGGACAGAATGGAAGACACCTGGGCTGGATGGAAGTCAGTGCCCTTGGGTGCTGGCATCCTGTCTTCCTGGCCACCGCTAGATCAGGCTTCTGAGCCTGTTGGCCATCGGGGCCAAACTGTCCCCATAGGTACCATGGTAGTCCCCGTGTAATCCCCAAGATGTCACCAGGCAGCATACAGGTAACAAGCCTGGAAGGTCCCAACAGCCCAGCTGCACATGCTCAGACACTCTGGGGCTCCCTGTTCAGTGGCACAAACTCCAGGACCCAGTGAGAGAAACAGGAACACATCAGGCAGAGCAGTATGGCTAAATCCATTTATTCCGAAATAAAAAGCAAAATAAACAGGAGTCGCATCACCAGGGCGCCACGACCCCATCCCCGCCTCCTTCCTCTGTCCTATGCTATCAATAAATAAGTTTCCCAGCCCCAAATAATTATTAGAACCTCCTCCCCATGTGCCAGCTCCAACCTCTGCTAGGTATGATACAGGGGGCGGCCCTACCCCTGGAATATACAAAATGTTACACAGATACAATATGTACACTGGGGAAGCAGGGCCACCCCAGCAGCCCGTGCCCTCGCCTGGTCTACAGTTAGCCCCACTGTCCTGCCTCAGCTGCCTCTCTGTGTAAGAAGATGGGAGCCCCCCTGAGGGAAAAATTGCTTTGGTGAGAGTAAGGAGGCCATGAGGCCTCTTCCAAAGAGGCCAATTATATGAGCCTCTGGCTATTAAATAACAATCATCATCATCCAGAAATTTAAGGAGTCAGCCCTGGCCAAGGTGGCTAAGGGTCTACACATTTGTCTCCCCCCATTAGACAGGGGTCTTATTTGCTACTGTAAGAGTAAAGGGATGACTGGGAAGGGGTGGCAGGCACATGATGGGGGCGGAGCCTCCGGCCCCACTTCTCCAGGCTTTGCTGACAGTGGCCTGCTTTTTAAAATTTTTATCCTGACTTTCTTTAATCCCATAACTTTTTTCATAATTTTTTTTTTTTTTGAGACAGAGTCTCACTCTGTCGCCCAGGCTGGAGTGCAATGGCGTGATCTCAGCCCACTGCAACCTCCACCTCCCAGGTTCAAGCGATTCTCCTGCCTCAGCCTCCCGAGTAGCTGGGATTACAGGCACGTGCCACCATGCCTGGCTAATTTTTGTATTTTTAGTAGAGACACAGTTTCACCATGTTGACCAGGCTGGTCTTGAACTCCCAACCTCAGCCTCCCAAAAGTGCTGGGATTACAGGCGTGAGCCACTGCACCTGGCCTTTTTTCATAACTTTTATACCATAAGTTACCCATAACCTTTTTTATCCCATAACTTTTTTTAATCCCATAACTTTTAATTTTTTTTTAATTTAGTGGCCAGCTTTTAGATGACAGTGATCTTCACCTCATCTGCACCTGTCTACCCCCGTTAGACAGGGGTCTATGCTTGCTACTGTAAGGGTAAAGGGTTGACTGAGAAGGGATGGTAGGGATATGGTGGGGGCAGGGTATCCAGCCCCACTTCTTCAGGCTTTGCTGACAGTAGCCGGCTTTTAGATGACAGTGATCTTCACCTCATCATTCTCGTCAGCCCGGTAAAAAAAAGGAATGCAGGGGTTGCTGCCCAAGCCTGGGCGCTCCCGGGGGTTCTGCATCTCACGAAGCAGCTGCATGATCTGCTGTGCAGTGGGGTTGTCACGGGGAGAACCCTCCCTGGCCTCTCCTTGGGCAGGCTCCACACTGCCGGCGAGGCTCACCTCGCAAAGATCTTTGGAGAGAGAGAGGCAGGGCTCTGAGTGCCACGCGAGCCCTCCCTTACTCCTGCCTGCCCACCCCTCCCGAGGGCTCTACTCACCACCCTGCTGGTTGGCAGCCCCAAGTTCCTGGGGGGCTGGGGCCCCTGAAGTGGGCTCATCAGCAGGGTTCTGGGCAGCTGCCAGGAATCTGCCATGCCACTCGTTGCGGTCGCCCACAAGCCGTAAGACCAGCTCCTGCAGCTCCAGCAGCTTCACCTGGAGGGAGGGGTGCTAAGCTGCCATGCCCATGCCCGTGCCCACCTCCACCCCCAGAGATGTTCCACACCCTACCTTCATCTCCTCCTTGTCTTGGGCCAGCCTGCTGATGTACTCCTCCTTCTCCCGGTGCCGCTCCTTCAGCACTGCCCTCTGGCTCTGGTACAGTGCAATGTACTCTCCTGCGGGAGGACAGGGCTCAGATGCTGGGTTCCCTCCGACCGCTGTGCAGCTCCTCCTGCCGTGCCCTGGCCTCCCACTCACCAATGGTGTCTGTCTCTCCAGAAAGCTGGATGCAGCGATGTTCCAGTTCCTCTACCCTCTCCTTCAGGTCTGCCTTCTCCTGCATGAGCTCCATAAAGCGGCTCTGGAACCAAAATAATGGAGTCATATATCGGCAGCGACCTGCCCCGCCCCCACCCTTCTTGACCCATGCCAGGAGAGACTCATTCACCTGCAGCTTCTCCATGGCCCCCTGCAGGGCCCGGTGGGTCTCCCCACACACAGAATCACCCCCGGTCCCTGGGGCTGGGGCTGCTGCCTCAGGCTCCTTCTGGGCCGAGGCCAGCAGGTGAGCCAGGCGCCGGCAGCGCACCCTTTGCTCCTTCAGCTGCCCACGTAGCCTTGCCTGCTCCTCCTCGGCACTGGCTACAGCTGAGTTGAAAAATGCCACCTGCAGGCAAGAGGGGTGCATTCTTGTAGGAGGATATATAGGATGAACAGGGCAGGGAGGTAGAGAGCAGCCCTTCCCTTGGGGCCTCAGAGGGTGCACTTGTTGGTCCCAAGTGAAATGGTGTCTCACCACTGGCTCCCAGGAAAGGGGTGAGGGTCCGAAGAAATCAGAAGGCCGGGAAACCAAGAGCAGAAGGGGGTCTGGGAGGGACCACAGAGGGAGGCAGCAAAGGTTGGGGAGGGGGAGTCAGCCTCACCATGGCTTCCCGGCTCTCCAGGTCCTCCGGGATGCTTGGCATGGGCTGAGGTACTGCCACCGCCTCCTCCTCCTCCTCCTCCTCATCCTCCTCCTCCTCCCGGTCCAGTCCATCTCCTATGGGGGTGGCCAGAGGGGTCATCAGACAACCCAACAAGGGTACAGTGGGCCCACCTCTGCCCCCACCCTCACTGTGTAACCCTGGGCCAGCCCCTCCCCAGAGGGAAATAAGCATCTGTTCTTTATTTTTATTTTATTCTTTTTTAAGAGCCAAGGGCTCGCTATGCTGCCCAGGTGCAGTCCCACTACCGATCAGCATGGGAGTTCTGACCTGCTTCATTTCTGACCTGGGCCAGTTCACCCATCCTTAGGTAAGCTGGTAGTGCCCTGCTCCCAGGAAGTCACCATATTGATGCCGAACTTAGTGTGGACACCCAGTTGGCATAATGACCAGCTGTTCTAAAGGTCTCTTCCAACTCCTCAATTCTACGCTGCTAACAGTCCCCCCTTCTTCCTGGGGCTCTCTCCTCTTCCTGTGAGCAGGTTCCCGTACCTTCCCCAGGGTGAGCCATGAGGCTCAACTGGGCCCGTAGCTGCTGATTCTGCTGGGTGGCAGCTTCCAGGCGCTCCTAAGGGGCCAGAAAAGAGAGTGAGAAGGCATGGAGGTTGCCAGGTTGTCCCCCTCGGGGCCCTGCCCTCACCAACTCCCTCACCTGGGTTTCCTGCAACTCTTGGCGGGCCATCTCGGCCACCGCTTTGCCCTGAGCTTCCTGCTGCTGCAGCTGGTCCACGAGCTGGGTCTGCAGCAGTAGCTGATTATGCAGCACCTCCTTCTCAGAGGTCAGCTGCTGATAGGCGGCCACATACTGCTGCAGGTGTCCCAGGTACTGGTCTCGCTGCTGCTGCAGACTTTGAGCCTCTTGGCTCTTCAGCTCCACCTGTAGGAAGACCCTGGGCGTGAGGGCAGGTGGTGGCCTGCTTCCAGATTCAGGGCCCATAAATAGGGTAGCGAGGGCTCTGTCACCTGCCCAGACCTCTGGCCCCTTGCTCCAGGCCTAAGTGACTGCCTCCCTTGTCTAGAGCCTCGTGCCTCCTTCCCCAGCCTCAAATTTCACATCCTTCTTCCCACCATTTAAACCGTAGGCCACAGACTGGTGGAAACGCAGAGGGAGCCAACCACCATCTGCTAAGTGTGCTACATGCCTAATGCTTTCCACGTATTATCTCATTGAATCCTCAGCACCTCTGCAAGGAAGATGCTAACTTCCTTTTTAAGTTAAAGAAACTGGGGCTTAGAGATGCAAAGTAGTTGAATGATGACCAGTGGAGCAAAGGCCAGAATCCAGTTTGAATCTAAGGAGCCTCTTATGCCGCTGTCTCTTCCCCTGTGATTGGGAGAAATCCATGCCTCTAGCTGGGACGATGATGTCCAGACCTGAGAGGAGCCCAAAGCTATCCACCTCTAAAAGTCAGAGGGCAGGGAGCAAGAAACAGTCACAGGACTGCCCTGGAGGGTGCTGGGGTCACCTGTGCCCCAGGCTGGAGCTGCCTCTGGCCTCACACCACCCCTCCCCAGAGGCTGGTGCCCGCCTCCCAGCCCTTCTTGGATGGGGCGGGGTTACCGTTTCCTTCAGCTCGCTCAGCTTCTCCTGCAGCTCGCCCAGCTTCTTTCCCAGCTCCCTCTTGACGTGCTGCTCCGACTGCAGTGCGCTGGTGATCTCCATGTTCTCATTAGTCTGGACAGAGAGAAGCAATCAGCGGCCACCCACTGCAGCTGGAGACCCCAGAACTTGCTGCCTTGGTGTCTGCCTCCCATGGCACCGGGAAGGGTGGAGGCAGGTTAGAAAAATCATCCCCTCTCCCCCACAGCCATCGGAGCAGGGCTCTGGCTCACAGATGCCTCCAGAAGTACCATTTCAAGTGAGGGCTACACTGCCCCACTTTACAGGTGGGAAAACAAAGGTCTGGAGGGCTAGGGAGGAGGGCGGGCTCTCCAGGTGGGGCAGCGCACCAGCTTTACAAATCCGCTCTGCAGCTCAGCCAGCTGCTCCTTGAGCTCCCGGTTCTGGGAGAGTGCGCGGCTGATGGTAGTGCGGTCGTTCTGCATGGTCTCCAGGATTTGCCTGCGCGCCTCCGCCTGCTCCCCCCAGAGCTCGGCCGCCCGCTCCAGCTCCAGCAGCCTCTCCTCCTGCTCCCGGTTCAGGCGACTCAAGCCCTCATTGTCTTGCACCTGGGCTTGAAGCTGTCCTGCCAGACCCTCCAGCTCCTTCCGCAGGTGCTCAGCCTCCGCTTGTAGCTGCTGCTCCACCTCGGAGGGCCCTGCTGGGGGCTCTGGGGGCGGGGGTTCAGCTGAGAAAGGACGCAGACAATAAAAGCCTCTGGATTCTCAAAAAAACCCTCCTCTTGGTCCATACCTCCTCTCAAGCTCCCCAAACTTGGCCTCCCTGCTGATGATTCCTCGCACCCGGATGTTAGCCAATCTTCCAAACCACTTTCCGATAGCGACAACTGTGGGTGGCTGACAACGGGCACTCCTTCGTCTTTGCTGATGGGGCACTGAGGCTCATGGAGATGACGAGACTTGCCATCTCCTGGCACAGACCTCTTTCCCTCTGCCTCAAAGCCATTCCATCCACCCAACTCCCTGGGGCATTCTAAACCACCCCCACAACCCTCTGACACCATTCCTGCTCCCAGGTCACCCCAGCCCCAGCTTACCCATCTGGTTCCTCAGTTCAGCCAAGCTCGTCTCCAGCTCCTGTACCCGACTCATGCTACATTCCTTCTCCTCTCTCAATGTGTGCACCTGCCCAAAGCACAGCAAGAAAGGGCCCTGGAGAGGGGCTGGTGGCTGGACAGGCTACCATCTCCCTCTGCCCCCACCGCCACAAAGCCCAGACCCATGACCACCTCTGGCTGTGCTCCTCCCATTTCGCAGATGCCCAGAAAGATCAAGTGACCTATCTAAGGTTGAGGGGGAGCTGAAGGGTCAGGTCTCACCTGCTCTGACATCTGCTGCATCCTCTGCCGCCACATGGCGCTCTCTCCTTTGAGATTCTCCGCATATTTATCTCTCTCCATTTGTAGTTGTCTAACCGACTCCATTACCTGCAAGAATGGCCACAGAAATGAGGAAGGACTGTCACTGGTTGTCACCTACTCCTGGCCACCTGGGGTCATCTTCCTTCTACATCCCTCCCCTGCAAAGCCTCACCTGCCCCAGGTGTGCTTCCAGCTGTGCCCGCTCCTCCATGGCCTGCTGTAACTGCTGGTTAGCATCAGGGGCTTCACACCGGCTTGAAAACTGGATGGTGAAGAGCGAGAAGTTTAGATCTGGGGAGCCCAGGCCGTTCCAAATAGTGCCCCTTAAAAGGGCTAGGGCTAGGCTCAATGTGCAACTCAGTCAATACAACTCTGCTGTCAAGTTTCTTTGCTTTAGAAATAAAAAATAATTTTAAAAAGATCTCAGGCCAGGCATGGTGGCTGATGCCTGTAATCTCAACACTTTGGGAGGCTGAGGTGGGTGGATTGCTTGAGCTCAGGAGTTCAAGACCAACCTCGGCAACATGGCAAAGCCCCGTATCTACAAATACAAAAATTAGCCAGGCATGGTAGTGTGCGCCTGTAGTCCCAACTACTTGAGAAGCTGAGGCAGGAGGATGGCTTGAGCCTGGGAAGTAGAGGTTGCAGTAAGTATCACTCCAGCCTGGGTGATAGAGCGAGACCCCGTCTAAAAAAAAAAAAAAAAAGATCTCTACTCTCTATTATTAGTGAAAGTGTTGGCTTGAACCTCAGAAGGAAATAAACAGACTCATGAGCTAGCCATATAAATGTAATCTCTAAAATAATGGTTTTCACCCATGATGCTTTAAAACAAAACAAAACAAAACAAAACAAAAATTGTCTTAAGCCCTAACCCTAAGATTCTGATTCCCCAGGTCCCCAATTTGTAGATTTTTAGCACTCTCTAGAGGATTTTATGCCAGGACCGGAACAAGGACCCAAATTTTCCAGCTCTTGGCTGGAGTCTCCCCATGCCCTGCATGATCCCTAGACCATGGCCCCAGCTGGATGGCGCTCCCACCACCCATGGGGCTGCAGCCTCTTGCCTGTTGAAGCAGGAGTTCCGTCATCTCTAACTTCTTTTGCAATTCTTCCAAGTTAAGCTGCATGCCAGCCTTCTCAGTCACTAGGACCCGAAGCTTCTCTTCCAATTCTGATTTCTCTTGCTTCAGGTCCTCATTGCTTTGGCTATGGCCAGAGGCAGTAGAGAAAGGAATGAACGAAGAACAGAAAGGACTGCTTTGGTGATCCACCCTCTACCCTTGCCCCACAACCACAGAACTGTGGCACTGGAAGGAACCCCAGGAATCAAAAGTCACATGTACAGGCCAGAGAAAAGATACGAGTTACCCAAGGCTACACCATGAGTCAGTGGCACAGCTGGCACTAGAGCTTTGCTGGGCACACATGCACACCTCTATGACTACCTCATCATGCTTACCTGTACCCCCCACCTCCCAGCACACCACCCATGCTGAGGGCCCCCAGACCTCCCATCCCACCATCCCCCATCCTACGTGTTCTTGTATAACTCCAGCCTGAGGGCGTCTCTCTCTTTGGTTAACTCCTTGTTGTACTGTAAATACAGAAAGGTTAAGTCAGGATATAGCAGGCAGAGGAGCAGCTGGCCAACCAGTAACAACAGCTACAGTAAGTACTCCACAGTAACACTTCCTCACTCTCAATCACACTTGACATGTTTTCAAGGCATTTCCAAGCCCATGGTCTCATTTTGTTGTTGCTGTTGTTGTTTTTGAGACAGAGTCTCCCTCTGTCACCCAGGCTGAAGTGCAGTGGTGAGATCTCAGCTCACAACCTCTGCCTCCCTGGTCCAAGTGACTCTCCTGCCTCAGCCTCCTGAGTAGCTGGGACTATAGGCGTGCACCACCATGTCCGGCTAATTTGTTTTGTTTTGTTTTTTCTGAGATGGAGTCTCTGTTGCCCAGGCTGGAGTGCAGTGGCGCAATTTCGGCTCACTGCAAGCTCCGCCTCCCGGGTTCATGCCATTCTCCTGCTTCAGCCTCCTAAGTAGCTGGGACTACAGGCCCCCGCCACCACACCCGGCTAATTTTTTTGTATTTTTAGTAGAGACGAGGTTTCACTGTGTTAGCAAGGATGGTCTCGATCTCCTGACCTTGTGATCCGCCCGTCTCAGCCTCCCAAAGTGCTGGGATTACAGGCGTGAGCCACCATGCCTGGCCTAATTTTTTTATTTTTAATAGAGAGGGGGTTTCAACATGTTGGCCAGGCTGGTCTTGACTCCTGACCTCAAGTGATCCGCCCGCCTCAACTTCCCAAAGTGTTGGGATTACGGCACCCGGCTGGTCTCATTTGTTTTTAAAAAAACTTGGTAAGGGTGGCCGGGTGCGGTGGCTCACGCCTGTAATCCTGGCACTTTGGGAGGCCGAGGGGGACGGATTACGAGATCAGGGGATCGAGACCATCCTGGCTAACACGGTGAAACCCCATCTCTACTAAAAAAAAAAAAAATACAAAAAATTAGCCAGGCGTGGTGGCAGGTGCCTGTAGTCCCAGCTACTCGGGAGGCTGAGGCAGGAGAATGGCATGAACCCGGGAGACAGAGCTTGCAGTGAGCCGAGATGGTGCCACTGCACTCCAGCCTGGGCAACAGAGTGAGACTCCGTCTCAAAAAAAAAGGACTTGGTAAGGGTGGAAGGAACAGGGAGAGAGAGCGAATTTATGTATGTACGTATGTATGTATATATGTATTTATTTGAGATGGAGTCTCCATCTGTCACCCAGGCTGGAGTGCAGTGGCGCCATCTTGGCTCACTGCAACCTCTGCCTCCCGGGTTCATGTGATTCTCCTGCCTCAGGCTCCTGAGTACCTAGGATTACAGGCATGCGCCATCATGCCTGGCTAATTTTTGTTATTATTTATTTATTTATTTATTTATTTATTTATTTTCAGACAGAGTCTCCCTCTGTCACCCAGGCTGGAGGGCAGTGGCACGATCTCAGCTCACCGCAACTTCCGCCCCCGGGTTCAAGCAATTCTCCTGCCTCAGCCTCCCAAGTAGCTGCAATTACAGGGGCACGCCACCACACCTGGCTAATTTTTTGCATTTTTAGTAGACACAGGGTTTTGCTATGTTGGTCAGGCTGGTCTCGAACTCCTGACCTCAGTTGACCCACCTGCCTCGGCCTCCCAAAGTGCTGGGATTACAGGCATGAGCCACCACACCTGGCCAAGATCGAATTTACAGCTGGCTAACAGAGGCCCAGAGAGATCAGATAATATTGCTATTGTTATTATCATTATTACTACCACTGTTTGAACCTTTATTGAATGCTTCACCAGGCACCATGCTAACAATCCCATTTAATCCTCATAACCACCACATGAGACAGTTACTATTATTACCTCTATTTTGTAGATGGACAACACGGAATATTAGAGGTTAAGTGCTTGCCTAAGATCACTTAGACAGAGCTCGGATTTGAACACCCAGGTATATCTGACTCTCTAAGCTCATTTGTTCCCCGAGGGTGGGGGCACAAATAGGAAGGGGGAAATTATCTTTTGTTCAGTTTTTGAAAGGATGATATATTCAGATAGTCCAAAACTCCGAAAGGGCAGAAGGGAAATATCTTCCAGCCGTGCTGTTCCTCTCTCCTGAGTTTGTTATGAATCCATGCAGACACGTTTTATGTATATTGTCATAGTACATAGGTACACATACACACACACGTTCCCTCTCTCTACACAAATGGTAACATACTAAAGATACTCTTCTGTACCTTCACAGTACAAGTACCATATTCCCCCACCTAGGACTTGACCAAGGCCACAGCCAGGTAACGGCACAGCGGGCACTTGGCCTCCGAGCTCTGCGTCCAGTGTTCACTCCCCACAGTGCCCCCAAACTCACCCACAGCAGCTGACTCAGCCCCAGGATGCCTCTAGCAACCACACACAAAAGCAGTGATAAATGGCCCATGCTGCCTTCTAGGCAGGACAGTCAACCCTGCAGAAGGGACCTTTAGGCTCACTCCTCCATCTGGGAAGCCAGTATGCCAGGGGACGGGGCAGGCAGTTGGACTCACCCTGTCTGCCTTCTTCTGCTGCGTGGAGACAGCAGAGAGAGCCCGCTCCAACTCTCCCACACGCCGCCGGGAATACTGCAGGCGGCTGGCCAGATCTTCAGACTCTCCTGGAATGAGAGAGGTTGAGATGGGGCCCAAAGGACTCCCCCTAAAGGCCTGTCAAAGTGCCAGGTTGAAGGATGATGGGGTGCCCAGATTCCCACCTTCTTTCTGCCTGGCAGCATGCTGAGTGTGAGCCAGGGCTGTCTGTAACTCAGCTTTCTCTGATACGAGGATCCCTATGGTCTGAATGTGAACCTTTGGGAGGAAACCCAAGCAAGTGCTGAAAAAGAAGGAAAGAAACATTCTCCAGAGGACAGGACGGAACTTCACACCCTCCACTCACCTGTAACTGCTCCCTTAGGGCTCCCTGCTTTTGGTGGCATTCTTTCTTTTCCTATAGGAAGAGGAAGACAGAGCTCTTACGAGGGGGAGGCAGAGACGGCACAGCAAGGGACATGCCCCCAGAATGCCACCAATGTCCCAGGACAGGCCCACCCATGGGACCAGGTTATCAGGGACCCTGTGGGGATGGGGTGGAATCTGGGGGGGTGAGCCTTCTTCCCCAGGCTGGGAGTGGGTGAGACGAGACTGAGGCCTCTACATTTGAATGCCCCCCAAACCCAGCAGTCATGTTGTGAGCAAACAAAGAAATCACGTTACTTCTTCCAACTGATCCGTAATTTCTTGGTTCTGTTGTTTCTGTGGGGAAGAGTCAAAGGAAGGTGACTGAGGGTGGCCCCCTCAACTCTATTCCCCAGACCAGGAACGGGTAGGCAGGGGCCAGGAATGGATTTTAAAGGCAAAGTTCTCAGACCCAATGGGAACACGAACTGGTAAACTCTCCTCAGGCTCTCAAGGAAAGGGGATTTGTGTCTTTGTTGGTTTTTGCCCACAGCCACAGAACTGAAAGTCTGAATCTCGATTCTCTTGAAAGGACAGTAACATAAACCTCTAGAGATGGAGTGTGAGAAAAGCCCACCCTCTGCCAGTTTGTGATTTAGAAAGGTGTAATCATTCAACAAACATTTGCTGAGCACACACAGGCCAGGTACGGTTCTTAATAGCAGGGATACCAGACAGAAAAAGACAGACAGGAGCCCTTGGCCCTGAGGTTTACATTCTAATGGGCCTTTAAATCTTGGACTCTCAGAGCTAAGAGACCTTTGATACTCTCTAACTCTACCTCCTCAGGAAATGCAAGCCCAAGGAGGAGAGGTGGCTTGTCCCAAATCAAAGAGCAAATTAAGGACTGAGTCAGGGCAGAAATACAGGGCTCCTGACAACCAGTCAGGCTAGCGCTTCCCCAAGAGGCAACAACCCCAGGGCGTGTGTGGCAAGGACTCGAGCAGGGGTGTCTAGAGAAGAGAGAGTAGGCAAAGAGGGCAGCAACAGAAGAGCCATGCTGCATGCTCCGTGCTCTGGGGTCCCTCCAGCTGAGGCCTGGGCCCCCCAGCTCCCCATTCGCCCTTGGCACCAGGGGCCCCCTGCCCCTTTCTTCAGGGTCCCAAGGGGAAACTGGAGCCCAGGATTAGCAGCATGGAATCAGGGGACCCCACTGGACTCTTACCAATTTCTCTATCGTGATATTGAGTTGTTTGTTTGTTACATAGCTGGAGTCCAGGGCTACCGCTAGCTGTTGGTACCGGCTCTGAGGCGCATGCAGAGAGGAGGAGTTGGAGGAGGATTGGGGGGAGAGGTAGAGAGAGCAATCATTAGGGTTGGGGGGTGTGTGGGCTGTCTCAGCTGGCAGAGGGGCACCCAGCCCCCGCTGTGGGAGGAGGTTGGAGGGCTGGCCTGCAGGGTCACTGGGCCACGGCCCAGGGCCTCTTACCTCCAGATCCTTCAGGTTAGCAGACGATGCAGGGCCCTCCCCATTGACACATGTCGCAGACTATAAGAGACGAGAGTGCACATGGAGATGTTCTGTCCCCTCAGTGTCTAAGCCCTCTAACTTCGTTTCTTCCCCAGCAATTGGCAACATTTTCTTTTCTAACTTGGACCCTCTGTCCCGTAACCCCTTTGTGCCAACTTCTCTCATGGTTCTTATTTCCCCACCATCCTTTCCTCCCGAGCAGCTCTCATCCAGTGCTTCTGCAGCAGGATACAATGATGCAACCAGTCATGGGGTCCAACTCCTTCATGTGCACAACTTCAAGGGAGAAGGCTCAGGGAAAAGGCGACTTCCTTAACATTGCCCAGCACATTGGCTGGTCCCAGGATCTTCCCTCTCTCTTGTGAATCCCTGCTTCAGTTTCTATCATAGTTCCCTTCCCCCCACCCCGCTCTCGGCCTCAGTTCCTGAGGTACCTCACAAACAAGACCATTGAGCTGTTGGGAGAGTTGTCGCAGGCTCTCGGTTGATGAGAAAGTCCTAGGGATGGAGACACAGGGGTCAGGGGTGCAGGTGGCTCAATGGGAAAGAAGGTCATGGGCAGTGGCCTCCCTGACTCTCTCAGCCTAGAGACTGCTGCCCCAACAGGAGACACTCACTTGGTTTCATCCATGAGATTAGGGACATTGTCAGCATCATGATTCTGTTTGGGAAGAAACGTGTGAGATGGTCATTCAATTTCTGGTAAGAATCACCCAGGATGGGGTGAGTCAAGCTCCCAAACTCATTCTAACAATCTTCAATCTCCCCAGGCCTCAAGGAAAAAAGCCCAGTCTGAGCCTTCCCCCGGCCCGGTCCCCAGGAAGGGCCCTTGACCCTAGGGAACAAGCTGCCTGTGAAAGGAGAAGATAATGCATAATAGGTACAGGAGGGCAGTGGGCAGAGGGGGAGGAGGCACGAACCTGAGATGCCGCCATGCTAGTGAGACTGGCACCAGGGGAAGGGACACCGCCAGGTAACACGGTGTCATCAGATGGTTGTAGAGTAGCAGCATTGTCCTTGGGTGTCTGTCACAGAACAGAGCAGGGGGTTAGGGGGCCATGCGGGAGAGGTGCCTCAGTACTATGAACACAAGGGTGTGGAACAGGTAGGACAGGTGTTGCTGCAGTCAGAGTGACAGTCACACATGCTAGGAGCCACTCAGGGGTGTGGATTGGTTGCCCAGGCCTTGGGCTGCTAGGCAGCATTTCAGATGGCCAAAGCTCAAAGCAGGGGCTGCACGGCCTCCTTCATGAACACGAGGACCTCGCTCTCCCTGGAGCTCAGCAAAAGACAGCAGCAGGCTCTGACCTGTGGCAGCCACAGCAGGCAGGAGGAAGGTGTGCCAAAGTCAGGGAGGAGAAAGGCACTGTTCTTCCAGAAGGCCAGTCTGTGCTGCAGAGTGACCCTCACTGGGCCCCTACTGGGCAGAGGATGGTGATGAGGAAGTAGTTGTCTGGGCAATGCACAATGTAGCTATCTGCCTGTCTCCTCCTTTCCTCCCTTCCCTTCTCCCCTGCAGTGGCACAATCATAGTTCACTGCAGCTTCCACCTCCTGGGCTCAAGCAATGCTCCCACCTCAGCCTCCCTAGTAGCTGAGATTATAGGTGCACACTACCATGCTCAGCTAATTTCTATAGAAACATGGTCTTGCCATCTTGCCCAGGCTGGTCTCAAAGTCCTGGGCTCAAGTGATCCACCTTGGTCTCCCAAAATGTTGAGATTACAGGTGTGAGCCATTGCACTTGGCCTACTGGCTGTGTTTCTGATTCAGGCCTTTTCAGGGGGAAAAAAAAAAAGCTGCCCAACTAGAAGACTCTCTCCAACTCTCTGGAGGTAAAAAGAGGATAAACCATGGCCAACACCCCCACCCCGACCTCTTACCTCCAAAAACATCTACCCAGCCAAGAAACCACCCAAGAAAACAGAGGTAAGACATCTTCCCTGTGGCTCTTGGCAACTTGGAAGTTGTAGGGCCTCTTTCCTGGGAATAGTACCTGAGGACAATCCTAGGATTCAGAACTTGGGGTCATGTGGAGCCTCTCCCTTGCCCCCAACTGGACCTACCTGCTTGATCAGAGCCCCACCCAGCCTCTCTCCAGGCTCTGACCTTACTCTTCGCCCAAGCCTCTGGTTCTAGAGATCTTCTAATATCTGACAAGCCAGATGGGCAGACAGTGGAAAAAGCTGGCTGACCAGCTAAGCTGGACAAGAGAAAAACACCAGGGAGCCAGGGCCTGGCCACGGAAGCTGGGTCTGGGAGAAGTGACTACACCTCTCTCCAGGGAAAGGACTGCGCGCTCACTGGACCCTTCAGCCCTGGCTTCTGAAAACCCAAATCTGCTTCCCTCCTTAGAGCAAGTGCTGCAGAGGCTGGTGGAACTGAAGATGAGCCAAGCTGCCTTTGCATCTTTGCAAGTTTACTGTGACCATGGAACCTGGTGTTTCCTTGACAATGCCTACAACTGAATCTAATAGGTCAGAGCAAGGGTTCAGTTGCTGGCCAGGCATTAGCCTTGAGGGAAGGCTGGCACTCCTAGCAATGGACCCTGCTAGGCTTTAGGGCCCTCCTGGCATCTTCGGTTCCCACTGATCTCTAGGATTAGACACAAGAATGCTCAGAGGAAGGGAATTTTTTTTTTTTTTTTTTTTTGAGATGGGAGTCTCACTCTGTCGCCCAGGCTGGAGTGTAGTGGCGAGATCTCCACTCACTGCAACCTCCGCCTCCTGAGTTCGAGATTCTCCTGCTTCAGCCTCCCAAGCAGCTGGGATTATAGGTGCACGCTACCACGCCCAGCTAATTTTTGTATTTTTAGTAGAGATGGGGTTTCACCATGTTGGCCAGGCTGCTCTCGAACTCCTGACCTCAGGTGATCCACCCTCCTCAGTCTCCCAAAGTGCTGGGATTACAGGCATGAGCTACTGCACTTGGCTGAAAAAGCATTTTTCTGAGGACTTTCTGACACACATAGCATGATTATTTTGTGAGCAACCAAGTTATTTCATTATTTTAAGTCTTGTAGCCAAGATGGAGTTTTTAAAAAAGCCTACTCTCCTCAAAATGTCCCATCCCATTAAGATATTTTTTCTCTCTCCATTATTCCCTACTTCTGGAAATGTTATCAGCTCCGCTCAGGATACTACGATCACAGGCCTGCATTCCTGGAGTAGAAAACTTACATGGTAATAAAAATGAGAAATTAAAAAAAAACAAAACCTACATTGGAAACAGTTACGGATATAGAGAAGGTATAAAAACAGCAAGGGGCTGGGCATGGTGGCTCACACATGTAATCTCAGCACTTTGGGAGGCCAAGGCAGGTGAATCACTTGAGGCCAGGAGTTCGAAACCAGCCTGAGCAACATGGCAAGACCCCATCTCTATTAAAAATACAAAAAAAATGGCCGGGCGTGATGGTGCAACATCTGTAATCCCAGCTACTTGGGAGGCTGAGGCATGAAAATCACTTGAACCCGGGAGGGGGAGGTTGCAGTGAGCCAAGATCACACCACTGCACTCCAGGAGAAAGAGCAAGACTCTTTCTCAAAAACAAAAACAAAACAGCAAGAAGGAAATACGGGGATCTAGGCCTTTGTTTCCAGAATAGAGGGACCTGGGCTGGCACAGAATCTCAGAGCATTAGGAAACAGGCTGAAGACCCCCTAATCCACTGGACCATTGGCAGAGCAAAAGCCAAATGCTTTTGGCTGCAGGTCACCTCTAAGCCTGTGCTCCCCAGCCGTACCACTCAGCGTCTCCTCTGAGCTGGCAAGGTGAGTCACAGCACCTGGACAGACCTGATCAACTGGAGGGTAACAGGTATGAGACTGGACAACTCTCTAACAGCAGCCAAGGCTGCTCTGTCTCAGTCCCTCTCCCCATACCCATCTCCAACAGGATCAGGCTCTATTCGTGCCCTGCTCCTCTGGCTTGGCAGGAAGGAGTCCCCCAGGTGAGTTAGAGATGGAAGAAATGCCAAATCACAGCCAGAGGAGGTTGTCTCCCAGCCCTGTGTACCTCCATGCCCTGCCCCCCACCAGGCTCCCTGTGTTCCTGAAAGGTGCTCTGTGAGTTCACACTCTGGCCACGGCCTCACCGCTCCCCCTGCCTCCCCCACTCCCCATATGGATTAATGTTACCCACCTTTAATCTTCAAGCCAGCTTCAAATGCCACCTTCTCCAGCCTGGAGTCCATTTGGAACCAACCTCCCCCCGAGCTGAGCATTTGGAATGTTCCAAAATTCTCTCTTGCCTCCTTCAGAGGAGTCTGCCTCCCTCGGTGTGCAGCCTACCTTGTTCATCTATTTTATCCACTGTTTATTTATCAAAGTGCCTTTGTTGTCAAGAGCCCAATGAATATGGCTAAATGTCCATTTGGAGAGATTAGGGGCAGAACGTCTTGGTCACTCATCTGTTTGGTTAACCTCACAACTTTTACAGTTAGTTCCTCTGAAAAAATAGCTTCAATCCTTCCAACTATAATGTGAACTCATTTTCTTTTAACCCTTTGTTCCCTACTCTTAAACCAAAGTGAATTAATTTAAAAAAAAAAAAAAAACACTAACTTCTAGGTGGTTTACTGATCTTTGCCTTTAGGGTAAAACCTAAAGGTCTGTTGGTTTTTTTGTGTTTTTTTTTTTTCATCTCTCCTAGTCTGAGAGTACCCACACTGGGCATTCAAAAGCCCAAATCCCAGAATCCCAGACTGGGAGCAGTGGCTCACGCCTGTAATCCCAGCACTTTGGGAGGCCAAGGTGGGTGGACCACTTGAGGTCAGGAGTTCAAGACCAGCCTGGCCAACATGGTGAAACCCCATCTCTACTAAAAATACAAAAATGAGCCAGACATGGTGGCAGGCACCTGTAATCCCAGCTACTCAGGAGGCTGAGGCAGGAGAAACACTTGAACCCAGGAGGCAGAGGTTGCAGTGAGCCAAGATTGTGCCACTGCACTCCAGCCTGGGCAGTGAGACTCCGTCTCTGAAAAAAAAAGAAGAAAAAAAAAAGCCCCAAATCCCACACACCTGCTCTAAAAGTTATTCCCAAATTACCTTTAAACTTTTAAACTTTAAGATATGTCTCACCTTCTCCAAGATGATAAAAGATTTGGGGGAAGAATAAAAACCCAATCAATCAAGCAGGTGAAGAAGCGGACATAAACAGGCGGAAGGTTAATGGCAGCAACATAAAATAAGCCAGAGGCAAAGTATCCCCCAAACCAGAGAAGCCTCAGGGGCATGCACAGCTGGAGAGAGCAAGCCAGAGAGGGGTCTCGGCACTGCCTCACCTTCCACTTGTCCAATGGGGGGAGCGCTACCCCATTGGAACGGTTAAGGTCGGACACCAGCACCTTCAGAATGTCCTGAATCTACAGGAGGCGAAAAGGGAAAAACAAGGGCAGGGGGAGAAAGGTAGAAGTGGCTTAGAGAGAGGCAAGAAAGTCAGGGAAGGAGGAAGATGTGGGTTCAGGGAAATGAAATAAGAAGAGTGGAGGAGATCAATACCATGGCCTGTGCCATCCTTCCAAATGGCCACCTGCTGCCTTGCCAGGGGCAGAAACAAATAGATGGAAAAGTCCCCTGAACGATGCAGTCACACAGAGTGGAGTCACCTGACCAATGCAGCTCTTAATATCCTGTTTGGACCCTTCTCCTTAGGCCCAGGATGTGGGCAATGAATCTAGTAGAACTACAAACCTCCACCTCCATTTTAAAAACCAGACTTCTGAGTAAGGGTTCACTTGAACAAAGGGGGCTCCAGCTAAAAAACAAGTTTGAAAGACACTGATCATATCCAATGTCACCTCACAGAGGAGGAAACTGAGGCCCAGGGGAAGAAGTGGTTTTTCTGTGGTCACGCAGCAAGCTGGTGGCAAAGATGAACTCAAAAGTTAGATCTTCCCCTAATCCTAGCACCTGGGACTCTCCTCACCACACCCTGGGGCCCTTTCAGTGACTCCTAAAGGGATAGCCTGATGGCAAGTAGCTGTTCTCATTGGCCTGGCTTCCCTTTGAGACTGGAGATGAGGAAAATGAAACAGCAACTACCATTTCCTGGGTGTCCTGGGTGTTTAGGACAGCAGGCCCTGTACTAGGGATTAACATAAAAACAACAATAACAAATCTCATTTAAACTTCACAAGTGTAAGTAAAACAATACTTTATAGTTGTGAAAAGAGAGGCCCAAAAAGCTCAAGCAATTTGCCCTAAATCACATCCCTAGCAGATGGACAGGTAGGATACAAACCCAGAACTCTTAATCAGTACCCAACAGTTCTTCCACAATCATAACAATTACCCTCTACTGCCCCTTGGGCCCCCTGTCCCCAGGAGCCTGGCCATCCAAGACTCACATCCTCAGGTGAGTGGCAACCACCAGAAGTGGTTGTCTCAGGGTTACTGCCATTTTTTATTTTCTTCTTCTTTTTCGCTCCTGTAGGAACACCAGGGCTATTCCTCTGCTGATATTCTCTCAACTGTGGAAAAGAAGAGCAATAATATTCATGAGATCTACAAGCCCCCACAGTTACATCCTACTTTACAATTTTTCCAAAATACTCTTATATACCATCTGATTTAATGCCACTAACAACTCCACAAGTTCTTGTCACAATCACTTAGTGACTGAGAGGGATTGATACCATGGCTTAAAAAAGGCAAGAATTGAACTTAAACTCAGTCTTCTGACTCCAAGCTCTGGGGTTTTGCCACAAATCAGCAGCTGCCAGGGGCCAAAACCAGAGGCAGAGGTACTTTTCCACCTCTCATCCCAGAAACGGGATGAGAACACTTAGGGATTGGGTCCTAAGATCAAAAGCTGGTTTCACGCACTAATTACGGTTCCGAGGGGGACTGCGACATCACTACATTCCACTCCACCAAGGAGAATTCAAATATGAGGTGGAGAAGTCAAGCCTGGAGTCCCAGCTACCTGGGAGGCTAAGGCAGGAGGATTACTTAAGGCCAGGAGTTCAAGGTCAGACTGGGCAACACAGTGACACCCCCTCTCTAAAAATAAATATGTATCTTAAAATGTGGGCCGGAACATTAAGTCGGCAGGAACTGTACACTGTGTGGTTTAGAGTCATACATCCTCACACGTTTGGTAATGTTAAGAAATGCACCAATGCCTCTCAAACTTTTACATCAATGTATCCACATGGCAGAAGGCAGCCTTTCTGTTGAACCTGGGAATTTAACAGAAAGAGGACAACCCAAGCCTCATTTCAGAGAAAAGTCTGGTATACTCTTAGAAATTTATGTGACTGTCATCCCTAAGTACATTAATGTTTTTTCTCTCTCAAGAGAATAAAGGGAGACTGATGCTTCAGAAAGATGCCCCGTATTTATCCTGTGGCACTCCAAGTACCCCAGGTTGAGATGATATGAGGAAGATTCAAGCTGTCAAGTTCAGTTTCCCAAGACCTGTTCCACAGAAGATAAGCAGATCTCATTCCAGAGACCACTGAAGGGCACTCTGGTCCCAGAACCATGGAGAATTCGAATATGAGGTGGAGAAGTCAGAAAAAAATGTTAAAGTCTCTCTGGAGAGTAGAAGCCTGGGGGAAAACCAAACCAATCCCGTTCTCACATTGCCACCCAGAGATACTGCCAATGTTTTCAGTTCACGGGTGAAGTGTAGGCTTTTCACACTGTCAATGTCTATGTTAAGGGTGTAAGGCAGCCTGAAACCTCTCCCTCCTAGGTCCCATAGTCCCCAATCCCCTTCCAGCTGGAAATTTATGCTGTGACCAGAGGAACCAGAAGCGGGATGAGAACACTTAGGGGACTGGGTCCTAAGATCAAAGACTGGTCTCGCGCAACTAATTACGGTTCCGAGGGGGATTGTGACGTCACTACATTCCACTCCTAGGGGGAACATCAGCGCGACGTCCAAGTCGCCGCTCCGCGATGGGGGAGGGGACCGCAGGGCCAGGACCCAGGTCCTTGGAGACCCGAGACCAAAGAACCCCGGGAGGTCCGGTTTGGGGCGGCAGGAGGTGAGGGTCGAGTCTGGAGCGGGGGGCCCCGGGAGTCACGGGCCCAAAGTCACTGGCGAGGGCAGGGGCTGAATTGCTGGGGTCCTAGGTCCTTGGAGACGCCAGCCCAAAGAGCCCAGGGAGGTCGGACTTCGGGGGGCAGGAGGTGAGGGCCGAGTCTGGAGCGGGGAGCCCCGGGAGCACCAGCCCAAAGTCACCCGGGGGCGACTGGCGAGGGCGGGGGCTGGGCGGCTGAGGGGGCGGGGCTGGCTGACAAGACTTTGGTGGAGGGAGCCCGGACGCGCCGTGGGGAGCCCAGCCCGGTGTGCCTCAGGAGTGGCAGAGACTCTGGCCATGGTCCTGCCATCGGAGTGGGGCTGGGGCTGGGTCGGGGGGCCGCGACCCGGTGCACTTTACCTTTTTCTTCGCTGCGGCCAATTTGCTCTGTCGGGTTTCTTCCGACATCGCGGGGCGGGGAGGGAGGCGGGGTTGGGGCCACATCAGCGCGATCCCGGCAACCACTGCGGAAGTCAGTCAGCCACCGCGCAGCTGTGCGACGGAGCCAGAGGAGGCGTAACCAGGGCGATACTGGAGCGCAGAATGGGGGCGTGGCCTCAAAGATCAAAGCCCATTGGTCAATGAGAAATATGAAGCGGAAGGGGGCGTGGCTATGCAGCGGCGTGGCCAGAGGGACCTGTGGCGTCACAACAAAAGCTGCGCACGCAACCGCTGTCCCCGCCCACCTCGGGAGAGGGGCGGGGCCGGCTTTCCTTGGGTGCGCGCGCAGCTTTCTGTGCGCCAGTTCACACTCCGGGTCAGAGTTCCTGGCCCGGTGCACCTGAGAGGTCGCTCTCCGACTCCCGCGCTGGACCCTCTTGCGCCATTGAACCCCCTGATCCGGGGGCCTCGGACCCCAGGGCTCAGGAGGTGGGCGAGGAACGGACTCCACAGTTTCTTTCCTGACTCCTCACAGCCCTGCCCCAGACTCTCCCTTCCCAGAAATCACCTCCAAAGACTCCCATCCAGTGCTCCAGACAACCCCCGTCTCAGAACGCCCCCTTCCTAGAGGGTCTCTACCCTGATCCTGAGAGCGTGTCTGCCCCCTTTCCAGATGGATCCAGTCCCTGGCGCTCCTACTTCCCAACTGCTCCTCCTCCCGCATCCCCACAGTACCCCGTCCTCACAGCGGGCTGTGGGTCCAATCAGACTTTCCCCTCGGATTCCTCTCTAGGACTGAACCAAGACTTACCCGAAGTTGCCGCGGGGCCTTCCGATCCCCTGTGAGTATTTCTTCCCCCACACCCCCTTTCCCATCCTCGACCTTCCCTTGTGCGCTCCCGGCCCCACTCCCCATCCCAACAGCAGCCAATCCCCGCTTGGCCCTCTTCCATATCTTCTCCCAGTCGACTGAGAACCGCCAGGTCATTCCCGAATCCCTCCCCTTCCTTTCCTCATGCCCGCCAGTCTTCAAAGAAGTGTTATCCTGTCCTGTCCTAGGCTAACTCCTCTCCCTCCCCATCCTGTCTCCTGGCTCCTCAGATGCCTTTCACTCCAGTCCAGCACCAGCCATCTCTCCTCCTCGCTCTTTTCACCCCTCACCCAGCCCTGCCTTTAAACAAACCCATAGCTCCCCAGTCAGGAAAATGCTTGGCGTTCACCCTGGCCACTCCTTTCGTTGCTAATAGTCTCTCCTCTTCGCTGGCAAGCCACCCCCAAAACGCAGCCTACTCCTTCTCTCATCCCCCAGATGGAGTTGCCACTACAACTACCACCACTCTTAAGGTAGATCGTGAGGGCCGGGTGCAGTGGCTCACACCTGTAATCCCAGCACTTTGGGAGGCTGAGGCGGGCAGATCATTTGAGGTCAGGAGTTCAAGACCAGCCTGCCCAACATGATGAAACCCTGTCTCTACTAAAAATACAAAAAAATCAGCCGAGCGTGGTGGTGCAGGCCTGTAATCCCAACTACTCAGGAGGCTGAGGCAGGAGAATTGCTTGAACCCGGAAGGTGGAGGTTGCAGTAAGCCGAGATTGCACCACTGCACTCCAGCCTGGACAACAGAGCTAGACAAGTCTCAAAAACAAAAAAGAAGTTAGATCGGGAAAGACTTGGTATTTGTTCATTGATTTAGCAACTGCTGCAATGCAGGTGTATGCCAGATAGCCCCCTGCCCTCCAGGAGCCACAGGCAAAAAAATAATTCCAGGACAAGTATGCACATGGTTCTGAGATGGGGAGCCCAGGCTTGGGCTTGCAAAGAGGGCTCTCCAGAGATGGCAGGGTCAGAGGCAGGGCCTGAAGGGCAACTCACAGTGAGCTCAGATGACGATGACGGGGTGGCAGCCATAGTTTGCCAAAAGCACTGGGCTGATTGAGCTTCTCTCTGCAAGTGGGTTGGTATCCACTGTCTTTGACCATGCGGTAACTCACTGCAGATCATGCCTTTCTCATTCATGCTAATTCATTCCTTCTCTTTTTTTTTTTTTTTTTTTTTTGAGACACAGTCGCACTCTGTCGCCCGGGCTGGAGTGCAATGGTGCGATCTGGGCTCACTGTAACCTCTGCCTCCCAGGCCCAACCCATCCTCTTGCCTCAGCGTCCCAAATAGCTGGAACCACAGTTGTGTGCCATGACGCCTGGCTAATTTTTTTGTATTTTCAGTAGAGACAAATTTTCGCCATGTTGCCCAGGCTGGTCTCAAACTCGTGAGCTCAAAGCAACCTGCCCGCCTCGGCCTCCCAAAGTGCTGGGATTACAGGCATGAGCCACCATGCCCAGCTTCCATTCCTTCCATTTTTAAAAACAACGCTCGACCCGGCACAGTGACTCACGCCTATAATCCCAGCACTTTGGGAGGCTAAGGTGAGTGGATCACCTGAGGTCAGGAGTTTGACCAGTCTGCCCAACATGGTGAAGCCCCATCTCTACTAAAAATACAAAAATTAGCTGAGCATAGTGGTACATGCCTGTAATCCCAGCTACTTGGGAGACTGAGGCAGGAGAATCGCTTGAACCCAGGGGGTGGAGGTTGCAGTGAGCCGAGATCACCCTGCACTCCAGCCTGGGCAACAGAGCGAAACTCCATCTCAAAAAAAAAAAAAAGGAGGCTCTATTGAGCATTGTCCCATCAGCTTACTTTACATGCATCATCTTTCCAGTTCCTTCCAGCAACCTTTGAGAAGACGCTTTACTGTCCCCATGTTGAGGTGAGGCCTGTGAGTTCCAGAGAGATGAATATAGCCAGGACGTGGCAGAGCTGGGGGCTTTAAACTGAGAAACTGAGTTGTTTTTGGTTTTTTTTGTTTTTTTTTATTTGAGACGGAATCTTGCTCTGTCGCCCAGGCTGGAATGCAATGACACGATCTTGGCTCACTGCAACCTCTGCCTCCCAGGTTCAAGTGATTCTCCAGCCTCAGCCTCCCTAGTAGCTGGGATTACAGGTGCCCGCCACCATGCCCGGCTAATTTTTATATTTTTAGTAGAGACGGTTTTGCCATGTTGGCCAGGCTGGTCTCAAACTCCTGACCTCAGTGATCCACCCGCCTCAGCCTCCCAAAGTGCTGGGATTACAGGCATGAGCCACCGTGCCTGGGCTTGAACTGAACTCTTAAGCGGTACCTTGGGCTTGCTCCTCTCTGGGCCTATTTGCAGGAGCACCCTCCTGACCTCTCCTGCCTCTTTTTCTGTGCCCGCTCGGCTGGCTCCTTTGCTTCCTGCCACTCCTGAGGTAAATGTGGGCATTTCTGTAGGATCCAGCCCTACGGGGCTTGGTGGGCGTTCTCCCCATGTGCGGAGACAAGAGATTGTAAGAAATAAAGACACAAGACAAAGAGATAAAGAGAAAACCGCTGGGCCCAGGGGACCACTACCACCAAGACGTGGAGACCGGTAGTGGCCCAGAATGGCTGGGCACGCTGATATTTACTGCATACAAAACAAGGGGGGCAGGGTAAGGAAGGTGAGTCGTCCAAGTGATTGATAAGATCAAGCAAGTCACATGATCGTGGGCCAGTGGGCCCTTCCCTTCTAGGTAGCCAAAGCAGAGAGGGAAGGCAGCATACGTCAGCATTTTCTTCTATGCACTTATCAGAAAGATCAAAGACTTTAAGACTTTCACTGTTTCTTCTACCACTATCTACTATGAACTTCAAAGAGAAACCAGGAGTATGGAAGGAACATAAAAGTGGACAAGGAGCGTGACCATTGAAGCACAGCCCCACAGGGAGGGGTTTAGGCCTCCGGATGACTGCGGGCCGGCCTGGATAATATCCAGCCTCCCACAGGAAGCTGGTGGAGCAGAGTGTTTCCTGACTCCTCCAAGGAAAGGAGACTCCCTTTCACGGTCTGCTAGGTAACGGGTGCCTTCCCAGACACTGGCATTACCGCTTGACCAAGGAGCCCTCAAGCGGCCCTTATGCAGGTGTGACAGAGGGCTCACCTCTTGCCTTCTAGGTCACTTCTCACAATGTTCCTTCAGCACCTGACCCTATACTTGCCGGTTATTCTTAGGTTATATTAGTAGTGCAACAAGGAGTAATATTAAAAGCTAATGATTAATAGTGTTTATACTAATGATTGATAATTGTCCATGATCATCTCTATATCTAATTTGTGTTGTGACTATTCTTATTCTATTTTCTTTATTATACTGAAACAGTTTGTGCCTTCAGTCTCTTGCCTCAGCACCTGGGTAATCCTTTGCCCACACATTTCCGGGTGGCTCTGCTCTCCTCTTGCCATTCTCTTTCTACACACCTGCTCCAAGTTCTGACTCCCACTCCCTCAGCCCACCCCAGTGCCCACAACCCTCCTATCTCTCTCCAGCCCTGACCTTTCTTGGGACACCCAGAGCTGCCTGCAGAATCTTTGCCTTCCCACTTGCCAAGTCTGAAATCACACTCAGCCTCCTAACCAGGACCACAAAACCAACTCCTCCAACTGCCCTTGCATCATCAGAGGAACCCCAAGCTCTTGAAGTGTGCTCTGCCTCTTCTCCTTTCTAATAGCACTACTCATGGTTGCATCTGTTCTTTTTAAAAAAAAAAAAAAAAAAAACAAGAGTCTCGCTCTGCCACCCAGGCTGGAGTGCTGGAGTACAGTGGTGCAATCTCGGCTCACTGCAACCGCTGCCTCCAGGGTTCAAGCGATTCGCCTACCTCAGCCTCCCGACTAGCTGGGACTACAGGCGCCCGCCACCACGCCCAGCTAATTTTTTGTATTTTTAGTAGAGACGGGGTTTCACCATGTTACCCAGGATGGTCTTGATCTCCTGACCTCGTGATCCTCCCGCCTCCGCCTCCCAAAGTGCTGGGATTACAGGCGTGAGCCACCGTGCCCGGTCGCATTTGTTCTTTTTCACACCACTATCCCCTCACTCACCCATTCACACACGTGGAAACCACTTTCATTCCCCCGAACACATGTGCTGTCTCCTGCCTTAAGGCATTCAGATACACATTCACCCCTGGGTATCCACGGAGATTGCTGCCAGGATCCCCATGGAGTAATGACCAGGAAAAAAAGGCTACGTGTTCAATACAGATTCAACCATGCTTTTTTTTTTTTTTTTTTTTTTTTTTTTTGAGAGAGTCTCGCTCTGTCACCCAGGCTGGCGTGCAATGGTGTGATGTTGGCTCACCACAACCTCCACCTCCCAGGTTCAAGGGATTCTCCTGCCTTAGCCTCCCAAGTAGCTGGGACTACAGGTGCGCACCACCATGCCTGGCTAATTTTTGTATTTTCAGTAGAGACAGGGTTTCACTATGTTGGCCAGGCTGGTCTCGAACTACTGACCTCGTTATCTGCCTGCCTTGGCCTCCCAAAGTGCTGGGATTACAGGTGTGAGTCACTGCACCTGGCCAACCATGCTTTTTTTTCATCAGATATTTTCATTGTGAAACCCACTGATACAGAGGGCCAACTCTTTTGTCCCCTCTGTCTGCAATACTTTCTTCCACCTTTCTGCCAAGCTAAAGCCTGCTCATCCTTTAAAATTTAGCTTCCTCGGAGAAGCCTTATCCCCACTTCTGGGTCAGTCCAGTTGCCCTGTTAGACTCTCCCATAGCACACTGTACTTCAACTTCAAAGCATTTTCCAGACTTATAATTCGTTTATTGGTTACTTCATTCATTGATAAATATTAATATTGAGTGTCTACTATGTGCCATGTACTGTTGTAGACACTATGCAATCAGCAGTAAACAAAAGTCCCTTCCCTCATGGAGCTTACACTTCAGTGATGTAAAGCAATGTAAGGCAATGAAAATAATGAAATGCATAACTTGTCGGGTGACGAAAAATGCTATAAAACATCAGGAGGCCAGGTGCGGTGGCTCATGTTTGCAGTCCTAACACTGGGAGGCCAAGGTGTGAGGATTGCTCCAGCCCAGGGTTTGAGAACAAACTGGGTGACATAGCAAGACCCCATCTCTACAAAAAAATAAAATTTTTCAAAAAAATTCGCTGAGTGTGATGGCACATGCCTGTTGTGCTACTCAGGAGGCTAGAGTGGGAGGATTGCTTAAGCCCAGAAAGTTGAGGCTACAGTGAGGTGTGATTGTGCTACCGCACTCCAGCATGGATGACAGAGCGAGACAGACCCCATCTTAAAAGAAAAATTAAATTTAAAAAAGGCCGGGTGCGGTGGCTCACGCCTGTAATCCCAGCACTTTGGGAGGCTGAGGTGGGCGGATCACGATGTCAGGAGCTTGAGACCAGCCTGACCAACATGGTGAAACCTTGTCTCTACTAAAAATGGAAAAATTAGCCGAGTGTGGTGACATGCGCCTGTAATCCCAGCTACTCAGGAGGCTGAGGCAGGAAAATCGCTTGAATCCGGGAGGCGGAGGTTGCAGTGAGCTGAGATTGTGCCACAGCACTCCAGCCTGGGCGACAACGCGAGAACTGTCTCAAAAAAAAAAGAAAAATTAAATTTCAAAAAATATTAAAAATCAGGAAAAAGGGATAGTGAGTGATTGAGATGTTACTGTTGTAGACAGGGCTGTCAGAGAGGGCCTTTCTGATGGGGCGATAGGTAAGTAGAGCTTTAACTGGAAGCATCTGGAGGAAGAACTTCATCGTTGGGCGCTTTCTCTTTGGGGCTAGGCTATGCCTTCTATGAGAGCAGTGGGCTGGGCTTGATGTCTCATTCATTGCTGCGCTCCTGGACCCTTTGTCAGTTCCTGGCAGAGAGTGCTCACTCATTCCTCTGAGTGACTGGTTACAAGCCACTAACCTAAAACCAGGAAGACCGTCTTCCTCGGTCCCTTCTTGTATCATGTGTAGACAGCTCATCCAACATACATTTCCTGAAGATTGGCTGTGTACTAGGCACTGGCCTTCACAGCTTCTACAGGCAGAAAGGGCAAAGATGAAAGCCCCAAGGAAGGGTTTTATCCAATGAGATTATAAACCCAGTGACAGATGGGCATGGTGGCTCACGCCTGTAATCCCAGCACCTGGGGAGGCTGAGGCGGGCAGATCACTTGAGGTCAGGAGTTTGAGACCAGCCTGGCCAACATGGCAAAAACCCTGTCTCTACTAAAAATACAAAAATTAGGCCGGGAGCAGTGGCTCACGCCTGTAATCCCAGCACTTTGGGAGGCCGAGGTGGGTGGATCACCTGAGGTCAGGAGTTCGAGACCAGCCTGGCCAACATGGTGAAACCCTGTCTCTACTAAAAATACAAAAAAAAAAAATTAGCCAGGCATGGTGGTGGGCGCCTGTAATCCCAGCTACTCAGGAGGCTGAGGCAGGAGAATTGCTTGAACCTGGGAGGCAGAGGTTGCAGTGAGCCGAGATTGTGCCATTGCACTCCAGCCTGGACAACAAGAGTGAAACTCTGTTTTAAAAAAAAGTACAAAAATACAAAAATTAGCTGGGCATGGTGGTGTGCACCTGTAATCCCAGCTATTCAGGAAGCTGAGGCAGGAGAATTACTTGAACCCGGGAGGCGGAGGTTGCAGTGAGCCAGAATCATGCCACTGCGCTCCAGCCTGGGCGACAGAGTGAGACTCCGTCTCCAAAAACAACAACAACAACAACAACCAGTGACATTGTAAATGAGAAGAGAGCCCAAGACAGACCTGGAGCAGATTCTCTGGGGTCAGACTGGGGACAAGGGCAGGCCCATTAGTTAGGATTGGGTTTGACTAGGAGTGAAAGAAAACCCCAAATAACAGTGGTTTAAACAGTTCATTGGCACCCAGGCCTCCATCTGGTTCCACCACATCTTCAGTGTATGACTTGTACCTTATCATCCAAGATAGCTGCTCAGCTCCAGCACTGCATCCACATTCCAGCCAGCGGGAAGGGAGACGGCCAGAGAAAGGCATGCCCTCTTCCTGGGAGGACAATTCCCAGTCATTGGCTGGGAACAGTGGCTCATGCCTGTAATCCAAACATTGTTGGAGACTGAGGCTAGAGGATGGATCACCTAAGCCCAGGAGTTCGAGGTTGCAGTGACCTATAATCACGCCACTGCAATCCAGCCTGGGTGACAGAACAAGACCCTATTAAAAAAAAAAAATGTTGTGGGGTGGGGCTAGGCACAGTGGCTCATGCCTGTAATCCCAGCACTTTGGGAGACCGAGGTGGGCAGATCACGAGGTCAGGAGTTCGAGACCAGCCTGGCCAATATGGTGAAACCCCATCTCTACTAAAAAATTAGCCGGGCATGGTGGCGCATGCCTGTAGTCCCAGCTACTCGGGAGGCTGAGACAGGAGAATCACTTGAACCTGGGAGGCGGAGGTTGCAGTGAGCCAAGATCAGGTTACTGCACTCCAGTCTGGGCAACAGAGCGAGACTCCGTCTCAAAAAAAAAAAAAAAAAAAATCCCAGATGATTAAGTTCTACTTGCTGGAACTTAGTCATAGGGCCACATCTAATTCCAAGGAAGGCTTGGAAATGCAGTCTTATTGAGGGGGTTAGGGTGCCTATTAGCAAGCAGAAGCAGGGAGTGACTACTGGGGGACATGTAGGCTGTGAATTGTGGATAACTGGTCAGTCTGGCTGATGACTTTTTCTGCCTCTCAGAGGCCATTGCCCAAGTCTGGCCAGGCTGATGGGACCAGCGAGGAGTCTCTGCACCTTGACATTCAGAAACTGAAGGAGAAGAGGGACATGCTGGACAAGGAGATCTCCCAGTTCGTATCTGAGTAAGTTTCATTGGGTTCCCCATCATGGTTAAGATAACTTTGGGCTAGGCATAGTGGTTCACGCCTGTAATCCCAGCACTTTGGGAGGCTGAGGTGGGTGGATCACTTGAGGTCAGGAGTTTGAGACCAGCCTGGCCAACATGGCAAAACCCTGTCTCTACTAAAAATACAAAAAATAGCTGGGCACAGTGGTACGCGCATGTAGTCCCAGCTACTTGGGAGGCTGAGGCAGAAGAATCGCTTAAACCTGGGAGATGGAGGTTGCAGTCAGCTGAGATCACGCCACTGCACTCCAGCCTGGGCGATGGAGTGAGAATCTGTCTTTAAAAAAAAAAAAAAAAAAAAAAAAGGTTTAACTCTCTAACTGCCCAGTAACTGAAAAACCCAGTCGCACTGGCCTAGCATAGAAATACGACTGTGCGCTACTCAGGAGGCTGAGGCAGGAGAATCGCTTGAACCTGGCAGGCAGAGGTTGCAGTGAGGCGAGATCGCGCCACTGCACTCCAGCCTGGCTACAGAGCGAGACTTGGTAAAGAAAGAGAAAGAGGGCGAGAGGGAGAGAGAGAGGAGAGGAAAGAAAAAGGAAGGAAGGAAAGAAAGGAAGGGAAAGAAGGAAAGGGGGGAAGGAAAGGGAAGGAAGGAAGGGAAAGGAAGGAAGGAAGGAAAGGAAGGAAGGAAGAAAGAAAGGAAGGACTATGCTTCTGGATTCAGGACATAGCAGCAGCCTCTCAGGTAGGGAGATGCTCAGGCTGTGGGAGGGCCTGAACTAGGACTGGAAAGCTATCTGGGATGGAAGCTGTTGCTCTTCCAGTCTCCGGAGCCATGTTCTCCACCTCTGCTTCCCTCTGCACAGACTCCATTCTCTCCCTGCAGGTGGAGTTTTCAGTGTGTAGGGAAAGCTGGCTCTTGAACGCCTCCTGGAGTTCCCCACACCTCTTGTTCCAGCCACATGGCAGAGACTGAGCTGCCTTTGAATGTGCATTTCACACTTGAGGGAATCCACCTGGCTGTTTGGATCATGCGCCCATCTGCGAGTCCCTCAGCTGTGGCCAGGGTCACATGGTACCACTGTGGCTGGCAACCCCACCCTAAGGAGACAGGGCACATTTGCCAGGAGTGAGGACCTGGGAAGATCCCCTGCCCTGCTGTAAGCTTCATGAGGGCAGGGCCTATCTTGCTGTCACCATATCCCTAGTACCTATCACCGAGTAGGCCATTACAGATGCCTTATTACTATCTGAGCCTGGGGCCATCATCTGCTTTCTTAACTGGGCTGTCTTTCCCCCTCTCTCCATCGCTTATCCCAGAGGCTACAGTGTGGATGAACTGGAGGACCACATTACCCAGCTTCACGAGTACAATGACATCAAGGATGTGGGGCAGATGCTGATGGGCAAACTAGGTGAGTAGTTGGGACTCCAGAGCCACAAGCAGGCATCATAGGGTGTCGTCTCGCCTAGGGGTGTTGGGTTTTGCTCCTGGGCCTCCCAGCTTGCCAACCGTCACACCCTCAGCAGTTGGCCTGCTCCTAGGCTGCCCCAGCCCCTCTCCTGACCAGCCTCTGGTCTCCCTGGCCACCTAGGTTTGTTCCTCAAGTACAGAACCTGCTTTGGAGCCGCAGCCAGGTTTGAGCGGGGCTTGCCCATCTGCCAGACTGAGAACTCAGGGTCTCCCCAGTCTTCTGGGACCTACTCAGAGTGATCAAGATACCGTCCATGCCTCAAGTGGCTAGCTTGCTAAAGAGGCTGCAAGTGCAAGGGTGACCCTTTGTGTCTTAAGGAAGTATTTTGTTTCCTCCCTGAACAAAATCTTGCTATCTAGAGGGCTTTAGCCGAGGCACCAACACCTGTATGTCATGCTGGCTAGGACAGCCTACCTTGGAGGTGAGGAAATGTGCAGGCGGCCCCTACAAACCCTTCAGTTCCATCCCCTGGCTTGGAGTGCTGGGTACTCTGATGTTCAGCAGCCAGTGACTGCTGGGGTAGTGTTCAGAGCTGGGCTGTCTGCCCAGTTGCTGCGTGAGTTTTGGCACTTGTTGCAGAAATGCCTTCAGCATCCAGGATTCCACGGCAGGGAGGGCTTCTCTGTGTTTCACTGGACGATGGGCCCCAGAGGAGGAGAGGAAAAAACTGGAGGTGGGAACTATAGATGGATGAAAAGAGCGGGGTGATCAGGGCCCAAGAAGATGGGGGTGTGAGGGGAGTGTAGCCTAGTGGTTAAGAACACAAGCTCAGCCGGGCGCAGTGGCTCACACCTGTAATCCCAGCACCGTGGGAGGCCGAGGTAAGTGGATCACCTGAGGTTGGGATTTCAAGACCAGCCTGACCAACATGGAGAAACTGTCTCTACTAAAAATATAAAATTAGCCAGGCATGGTGGCACATGTGTAATCCCAGCTATTTGGGTGGCTGAGGCAGGAGACTCGCTTGAACCCGGGAGGCAGAGGTTGTGGTGAGCTGAGATCATGCCATTGCACTCCAGCCTGGGCAACAGGAGCGAAACTCCATCTCAAAAAAAAAAAAAAAAAAAAAGGCCGGGCTCGCTGGCTCGCACTTGTATCCCAGCAGCACTTTGGGAGGCCGAGGCAGGTGGATGACAAGGTCAGGAGTTCAAGACCAGCCTGGCCAACGCAGTGAAACCCTGTCTCTACTGAAAATACAAAAATTAGCTAGGTGTGGTGGCACATGCCTGTAATCCCAGCTACTCAGGAGGCTGAGGCAGGAGAATCACTTGAACCCAGGAAACCAGGAAGCGGAGGTTACGGTGAGCCGAGATCACACCACTGTACTCCAGCCTGGGCGACAGAGCCAGACTCCATCTCAAAAAAAAAAAAAAGAAAGAAAAAGAACACAAGCTCTTAGTAGCGAGAATCAGCATGAGGCCTGTCACTTCCAGGTCATATGACCTGGAGCCAGTGGCCTATCCCTTTTTTTTTTTTTTTTTTTCGTTAGACTGGGTCTCACTGTGTCACCCAGGTTGGAGTGCAGTGGCGTGATCTCGGCTCCCTGCAACCTCCACCTCCCAGGTTCAAGTGATTCTAGTGCCTCAGCCTCCTGAGTAGCTGGGACTGCAGGCATCCACCACCACGCCCGGCTAATTTTTGTATTTTTAGTAGAGACAGGGTTTCACCATGTTGGCCAGGCTGGTCTTGAACTCCTGACCCCAAGTGATCCACCCACCTTGGCCTCCCAAAGTGCTGAGATTATAGGCTGAGCCACCGCACCTGGCATCCTTTTTGTTTATTCAGTGAACATTTACTGAGCAGCTGCTCTGTGCCCAGCACTCTACAGAGTGCTGAGGACACTTGGGTGAACCAGACAATTTAAAGTCTCTTGCTCTCATGTGGTTTGTTTTCCTGTTAGGGGTGGAGGAATGCCCAGGAAGTCAGTGGACTCAGCAGTTAATTACAAAATGTGTTAGGTGCTATGAAGGCGACAAAGGGCAGAGATGGGGAGAATATTGAGGTATGAACAGAGGGGCGGTGGGGGTAAGATAGGTGTTCAGGGGAGGCCTCTGAGGAGAACCCTTCCTCAGGAGAAAGGACCAGTCTTTGTGGAGAACAGAGGAGGAATAGCATCATGGAGGCTGCAGAGGGGCAAACTCGAGCAGTGGGCCATACTGAGGAGTCTGGAATGTTCAGCAGGCACAGCATACAATCAGCTTACATTTGAAGCAGATGAATCCAGCAGCTCTGTGTGGAGAATGGAATCGAGGAAGCTCTGTTTCATTCCTCTGCAAAATGGGGTGAGGGTCCAAGGAGTCCTTGTAGGTCCATTGTTGAATACAGTGGCTGGCACATGGCAGAGCTCCAGCGTGGCCAGGTGGGGCCCGTGGGGGACAGCCTGGAAGGAGTAGCAGGGAGCTTACCTTGGCCAGTTAGGCAAGGCACAAGTGTGGGGACTGGCTTGAAGCCAGAGGTGGTCCTGGGTGGGTCAGGGCAGTGACACTGGCTCGGGGCATTGGCTGTACTCCCTCCCACCTCTCCCCACTGCACATTCAGCCTGCCTTCCTTCCTTTCAGCTGTGATCCGAGGTGTCACCACCAAAGAGTTGTATCCAGAGTTTGGGCTGGACATGAATGACTGAGCAGGCTCATCGCCCCTTGTCCACAGCTCCCAGGGACAGAAGGGTGTGGACATGATAAACACTGAGAGCCCAACCAGCACACCTACAGAGTTTCCAGCGAGACAATGCCAGAAGCACTTTTCTAGAGAGCCCAAGCCCAATCAGGAGGAGGCTAGAGAAGAGGCGGGCAGGGAGGAAGGGGCGTTCCCAGCTCCAAGGTTCCTGAAATGTCGCAGTGATACTTGTGTAGGGGTACATGTACTTTATTTGTCAATAAACGTATCTGTACACTGATTCCCTCTTCTCCAATAGCCCCCGATAGTACCTGGGATAAAGAGAGCGTGCCTTTGATTAGAACAGGCTTACATGAGCCAGGCATTGTGCTAAGTGCTTTATATCCATTGTCTCTGATGCTTAAAATCATCCTGTGAGGAATTAGCATAATTATCCCCATCTTACAGATGAAGACGTTGAGGCTCAGAGAGGAGACAAAGTGACTTGCCCAAGGTCACACAGCTAGTAAGTGGCAGAACAGGGATTTGAGCTCAGGTCAGACTCAAGCTCGTGCTTTGCAATACTGCCTTTCTGGGCTGGGAAGAAGCAGGCAAGAGCTTAGAGTGGGCCAGGTGTGGTGGCTCATGCCTGTAATCCCAGCACTTTGGGAGGCTAAGGCAGGAGTTCACTTGAGGCCAGGAGTTCAAGACCAGCCTAGGCAATGAAGAGAGACCCCCCCCACCGACCCCCACCCCACTTTCTTTTTTTTTTTTTTGAGATGGAGTCTCACTCTGTCACCCAAGCTGGAGTGCAGTGGCACGATCTCAGCTCACTGCAACCTCTGCCTCCCAGGTTCAAGCAATTCTCCTGCCTCAGCCTCCCGAGTAGCTGGGACTACAGGAGCGTGCCACCACGCCCATGTTGGCCATGATGGTCTCAATCTCTTCACCTCGTGATCCACCTACCCCGGCCTCCCAAAGTGCTGGGATTACAGGCATGAGCCACCGTGCCCAGCCAAGAGACCCCCTTTTTGTTTAAAAATTATGTTCTGTGTTCCCAGAGGTAAATTTTTTTTTCTTGTTAAAAATAAATTTTGGCCGGGCACGGTGGCTCACGCCTGTAATCCCAGCACTTTGGGAGGCTGAGGCGGGAGGATCACGAGGTCAGGAGATCGAGACCATCCTGGCTGACACTGTGAAACCCCATCTCTACTAAAAATACAAAAAATTAGCCAGGCGTGGTGGTGGGTGCCTGTAGTCCCAGCTACTCGGGAGGCTGAGGCAAGAGAATCGCTTGAACTCGGGGGGCGGAAGTTGCAGTGAGCTGAAATTGCACCACCACACTCCAGCCTGGGCGGCGGAGCGAGACTCCGTCTCAAAAAAAAAATAAATAAAATAAAATAAAATAAATTTTGCCAGGCACGGTGGCTCACACCTGTAATCCCAGCACTTTGGAAGGCCGAGGAGGGTGGATCACCTGAGGTTGGGGTTCGAGACCAGCCTGACCAACATGGAGAAACCCCATCTCCACTAAAAATACAAAAAAAAGTGACCCGAGATCGCACCACTGGACTCCAGCCTGGGCGACAAGAGTGAAACTCCATCTCAAAAAAATAAAAAGGTAGCCGGGCGCGGTGGCTCAAGCCTGTAATCCCAGCACTTTAGGAGGCCAAGGCGGGCAGATCATGAGGTCAGGAGATCGAGACCATCCTGGCTAACACGGTGGAACCCGTCTCTACTAAAAAAAAATACAAAAAAATTAGCCAGGCGTGGTGGTGGGCGCCTGTAGTCCCAGCTACTCGGGAGGCTGAGGCAGGAGAATGGCATGAACCCAGGAGGCGGAGCTTGCAGTGAACCTAGATCACGCCACTGCACTCCAGCCTGGGCAACAGAGCAAGACTCCATCTCAAAAATAAAAATAAAAATAAAATAAAAAATAAAAAAGCAGGCCAGTGCGGTGGCTCACGCCTGTAATCCCAGCACTTTGGGAGGCCAACGAGGTCGGAGACAAGGTCATGAGATCGAGACCATCCTGGCCAACATTGTGAAATCCCATCTCTACTAAAAATACAAAACTTAACTGGGCGTGGTGGCATGTGCCTGTAGTCCCAGCTACTCTGGAGGCTGAGGCAGGAGAAACACTTGAACCCAGGAGGCAGAGGTTGCAGTGAGTTGAGATCACGCCACTGCACTCCACCCTGGCGACAGAGTGAGACTCCCTCTCAAAAAATAAATAAATTTATGTATTAGGGTCTGGGTGCAGTGGCTCACGCCTGTAATCCCAGCACTTTGGGAGGCTGAGGCAGGTGGATCATTTGAGGTCAGGAGTTCGAGACCAGCTTGGCCAACATGGTGAGACCCCATCTCTACTAAAAATACAAAAAATTAGCTGGGTGTAGTGGCAAGCACCTGTAATCCCAGCTACTCAGGAGACTGTGGTAGGAGAATCACTTGAACCTGGGAGGCTGAGCTTGCAGTGAGCCAAGATCATGCCACTGCACTCCAGCCTGGGCAACAAAGTAAGATTCCTTCTCAAAAAATAAAAATAGGCCGGGCTGTAATCCCAGCACTTTTGGGAGGCTGAGGCAGGAGGATCATGAGGTCAGGAGTTTGAGACCAGCCTAACCAACATAGTGAAACCTCGTCTGTACTCGAAATATAAAAAATTAGCTACGCATGGTGGTGCGCACCTGTAATCCCAGCTACTCAGGAGGCTGAGGCAGGAGAATCTCTTGAACCTGGGAGGCAGAGGTCGCAGTGAGCCGAGATCACGCCATTGCACTCCAGCCTGGTCAACAGAGCGAGACTCCATCTCAAAAAAAAATAAATAAATAATAAAAATAAAAATAAATAAATAAATTTTAGGCCAGGCATGGTGGTTCATACCTGTAGTCCCAGCACTTTGGGCGGCTGAGGCAGGCAGCTTACGTGAGGTCAAGAGTTTGAGACCAGCCTGGCCAACCTGGTTAAACTTGGTTTCTAAAAACCAGCCATGGCCGGGCGCAATGGCTCACGCCTGTAATCCCAGCACTTTGGGAGGCCGAGGCGGGCGGATCACGAGGTCAGGAGATCGAGACCATCCTGGCTAACATGGTGAAACCCCGTCTCTACTAAAAATACAAAAAAATAAAAAATAAAAAATTTGCCTGGCGTGGTGGCAGGCACCTGTAATCCCAGCTATTCGGGAGGCTAAGGCAGGAGAATGGCGTGAACCCGGGAGGCGGAGCTTGCAGTGAGCCAAGATCGCGCCACTGCACTCCAGCCTGGGCGACAGAGCTAGACTCCATCTCAAAAAAAAAAAAAAAAAAAAAAAAAAAAAAAAAAAAAAAAAAAAAAAAAAAAAAAGCCATGCAAGTCAGGCCTGGATTTGAGTCTCAGCTCTGCCCACTTATGAGCTGTGTGACTATGGGCAACTGACGTGGCCCCAATAAAGCGGAGATAATAGTAGTGCTGTATTCACCAGGGTAATTAGCATTAGCCGACTCAGCAAACCACCACAAAACCTCTGTGGCTGAACACAATAAAGGTATGTTTGTCTCAGAGTCTAATGAGGGTCTGGTAGCCCTCCTCTATTTTGAGCTATACCATCAGAACATGTGGCCACCAGAGTGACCACAGCAGGGGAAGAGAGAGATGAAGACACATCAACTCCAAACCAACTCCCCCATATTTGGGAGACATAACTTCTACTCACAGCTCCTTGTCTATAACTAGTCACTTGGCCCAAACTAACCAAGAGGGAGGCTGGGAAATAAGAATGAGCACACAGATCTTTCACAGGGAGTCAGCTACAAGGACCCATCTCCAAAGGGTGCTTTGAGTATTTGGTGGGCAACTGCCCACAACCGGGCTCCTAGGGTTGTGCTAGACAGCGACTCATTACCCCCACACCCTGCCATCAAGTGTCCCATGCTTGTACTCTGGTCCTGGTCCAGACTTCAGACACTCTTCTGCATCTATCAGCTCTTCTAGATTAAACACACAGCCAGGTGTGGTGGCTCACGCCTGTAATCCCAGCACTTTGGGAGGCCGAGGCAGGCAGATCACATGAGGCTAGGAATTCAAGATCAACCTGGCCAACATGGCAAAACCCCATCTCTACTAAAAATACAAAAAAAAAAAAAAAAATGAGCCAGGCATGGGGGCACATGCCTGTAGTCCCAGCTACTCAGGAAGCTGAGGCAGAGAATTGCTTGAACCTGGGGGGCGGAGGTTGCAGTGAGCCAAGATCACACCATTGCACTGCAGCCTGGGCAACACAGCGAGATTCTGTCTCAAAAAGAAACACACACACAAAAAGCACAAGCCTCAGTGACAGTGGCCCCAGGCAGCAGGCATTCTCATTTCTGGGATTTCCTTGTCATTTCTTTCTCATTTCTGGGATTTCCTTGTCATTTCTTACACTTCCTACTTTCTCCTCATGTCAACAGGTTTTCACAACCACCTTTGAGCTAAGTCCCATAATTGTTCCCATTTGGATGAGGAAACAGGTTCCGAGAGCAGAAACAACCTATCAAAGTCCCACAGTGAGTCAGGGGCAGCTGGAACCAGCACCCAGGTCTGTCTAACCCCATTCCACACACAAAGCCTCACAACAGACTCTTACCAAACCAGATGCCCCCTGGGAACAAGATTTTGTCAGATTCACATCAGACGACATCCTTTCCACCTGCATCTCACACACGCTCAGCATTTGCCTTGATGAACGTGGCTCTGCTCCTGTTCCCTTAGGTCTTGGGTGAGTGCTAGTGGCCTCACTGGAGATAGATAGAACCAGGACTGTGAGGGGCTTCTGAGGCTCTCATGTATCTTAGGTCCCACCTAGCTTTTTTTAATTTAATTTTTTTTTTGAGATGGAGTTTTGCTCTTCTCCCCCAGGCTGGAGTGCAGTGGCGCAATCTCAGCTCACTGCAACCTCCACCTCCCGGGTTCAAGTGATTCTCCTGCCTCAGCCTCCCATGTAGCTGGGATTACAGACATGCGCCACCACGCCTGGCTAATTTTTGTATTTGTAGTAGAGACTGGGTTTCACCTTGTTGGTCAGGCTGGTCTCAAACTCCTGACCTCAGGTGATCCACCTGCCTCAGCCTCCCAAAGTGCTGGGATTACAGGCATGAGCCACCCCACCCTACCCAGTGCCGCCCAGCTTTTGCCTTGCCTGAGACAGTGAGTGCCTGAGTGCCTTACCTGCTCTCCTCCCTTAATGTTCTGGGCCACATGGGTTTGTCTTTTGTGTTTTTGTTTGTTTGTTTTTTAAGACAGGGTCTCACTCTGTTGCCACAGGCTGGAGTGCAGTGGCGCAACCCTGGCTCACCGCAACCTCCACCTCCTGGGTTCAAGCGATTCTCCTGCCTCAGCCTCTCAAGTACTTGGGATTACAGGCACCCGCCCCCATGCCTGGCTAATTTTTATATTTTTAGTAGAAACAGGGTTTCACTATGTTGGCCAGGCTGGTCTCAAACTCCTGACCTCAAGTGATCCATCCATCTCAGTCTCCCAAACTGCTGGGATTATAGGCATGAGCCACCACGCCTGGCCGGCCACCTGGTTTTATGGTGAAGGAGGAGGAGGAGAGGGAAGTGGCCAGGCTCTGAGTGGGTGGGAGCCCCTTGAGAGGTGAGCCCTTCCTTGAGGTTTTCTCACCTTACACCATGTTCTCTATGTGGAGAGCTGGCTGGTCTTGCCTCTTCCTACACAAAAAAACTGTCAGGGCCAGGTGCTGGGGAGCCCCAGTCTCTGGGTCCCTGCCACACAGTGCTCACCTGCCAGCGGGAGGTCAGAGACTCAAGCAGCCACGACAATACAGATAAAATGCTGCCACAGGGTTATGGAAGCATGTTGGAGCTGCATCCAACCAATATGGGACACTGGGAAACTTCCCAGGGGAAGAGACATCCATGTCTGTCCAGTAGGAGGCAGCCAGGTAAGAATGTGGGAGAGGGCTGCCTGCCTGTAATCCCAGCACTTTGGGAGGCTGAGGCGGGCGGATCACCTGAGGTCAGGAGTTCGAGACCAGCCTGGGCAACATGGCAAAACCCCGTCTCTACTAAAAATACAAAAATTAGCCGGGCATGGTGGCACACATCTGTAATCCCAGCTTCTCAGGAGGCTGAGGCAAGAGAATCACTTGAACCTGGGTGGCAGAGGTTGCGGTGAGCCAAGATGGCACCACTGCACTCCAGCCTAAGCAACAGAGTGAGCCTCTGTCTCAAAAAAAAAAAAAAAAAAGGCCGGGCGCGGTGGCTCACGCCTGTAATCCCAGCACTTTGGGAGGCCGAGGCGGGTGGATCATGAGGTCAGGAGATCGAGACCATCCTGGCTAACAAGGTGAAACCCCGTCTCTACTAAAAATACAAAAAATTAGCCGTGCGCAGTGGCGGGCGCCTGTAGCCCCAGCTACTCGGGAGGCTGACGCAGGAGAACGGCGTGAACCCGGGAAGCGGAGCTTGCAGTGAGCCGAGATTGCGCCACTGCAGTCCGCAGTCCGGCCTGGGCGACAGAGCAAGACTCCGTCTCAAAAAAAAAAAAAAAAAAAAAAAAAAATGTGGGAGAGTATTCCAGAGGCAGAAAACTTAGTTGGCCCAGGACACAAAGGGATTTGGTCTCGTTGAAAGGTGATCAGGGATGGTGATTTGCAGGTTGTGTCCACTTGGATTCTTGGTGCATGATGAAAGTCTCCCCCAAACACAATCGTAACCCAGCTCTGCATTTTGGTTCAATCTTGAGGCACCCAGGGAGGACACTTGGAAGGAAAGCATCCACCTTGGTCTGTTTCTCTTGTGTGAGCTCAGCTCTCCCAGGTGTCATAGTGGGCACGGCCTCGAGGGGGCAGTGTCCACTCAGAGATGTGCCCAACTGCCCTGGGAAGCAAGCCCTGGGAGGGCCTTGTTGGAAAGGTTCCAGCCTGCCAGGCCAGATTCACGAAGGCTGAATCCTCAGAACACATAGAAGAGGGGGTTCTCTGGCAGCACCCCTCTCAGGAGTTTGAAGCAACCAGGGGCAGTAAGGAGCAAGCAGCTGCGAGATGTGGATTCCTCAGGCCGTGCCCCCATGTGCTGGAAAACAGGTGGCAGAGGTTACTCTGCCTGGTGTGTACACATACATGGTTTGTTTGATCATATCCGGTATAAACCCTACTCGAAAATATTTGTCATCCGGCACCTACGGAGTTCAAAATACTAACACAGTACAGCCTGCACTGTTGTCCCTGGGGACTGAAAGGGGTCATTTTTGGGTGGCCTGACAGAAATGTGTCACAGAGCAGTGTCGCCAAATAGTGCCCCACTCTAGTTTTGCTCAGAAGGGGCCACATCAGCTGGGCAGGGTGTGGTGGCTCATGCCTATAATCCTAGCATTTTGGGAGGCCAAAGCAGGACAATCAATTGAGCCCAGGAGTTTGAGACCACCTTGGCAACATAGTGAGACCTATCCTCCACAAAAAATTTTAAAAACAGCCAAACATGGGCCGGGCACGGTGGCTCACGCCTGTAATCCCAGCACTTTGGGAGGCCGAGGTGGGCGGATCATGAGGTCAGGAGATCGACACCATCCTGGCTAACACGGTGAAACCCCGTCTCTATTAAAAGTACAAAAAATTAGCCGGGCGTGGTGGCGGGCGCCTGTAGTCCCAGCTACTCGGCAGGCTGAGGCAGGAGAATGGCGTGAACCCGGGAGGCGGGGCTTGCAGTGAGCCGAATTGCGCCACTGCACTCCAGCCTGTGCGACAGTGCAAGACTCCGTCTCAAAAAAAAGAAAAAAAAAAACAAAGCCAAGCATGGTGGTACCCAGCTACTCAGGAGGTTGAAGTGGGAGGATCGATCCAGCTCAGGAGGTCAAGGCTACCATGAACCATGATCACACATTGCACTCTAGCATGGGTGATAGAGTGAGGCCCTGTCTTGAAAAAAAGGAGGGGCCGCTTGGGGAGAGAGGGAAGGGAGGAAGCCCAGGCCAAGGGCCCAGTGCCTCTGTGGTTGGGGCTAAGGGATGTTGGGGCCCCCAACCCTGATTCTTCGGAGGAATTGGGAGGAAAGCTCCAGGTTCCACGTCATGTGGATGGGCCTGAGAATGAGGTGAAAGGTAACAATCACACACCCAAACCAGTTATGAGCCAAAGGTTTCACCAGATAAGGGATTGATGGCCACAATCACCAGCACATATGCAATTCTGTGGGTCAGACAGGGAGCTGAGTCACCATGCCCCGCAGTATCTCATTGACTGCCCCCAACAACAGAGAGTGGTTGAGAGTCCCCATTTCCAAATGGAGCAAACTGAGGCTCAGGGGGATGCAGATAAGTAGCGAAGCTATCTGATTCCAGAACCTGGCTGAGTAGCCACAGTGTGCTGCCTGCCTCCCCAGTGGAGCCTCTTGAGTCTCTTATCTGAGGTCGGGCATTACTAAAACAGGAATCGGAACTTGAACCCAGCACTCTCCAAGCCCTTAAGCCTCAGGTCTTAACCACAGAGCCCTGCTATGTTTGTTGTATGTTGTATCTGCCCAGGGCCCTGACCTAGCGGCCAGGTCAGTGGCCAGAAATGATCAGCCTCTGCCTTGGACTTGGCCTGGGCCCCTCCTTCCTGGTTCCTGTAGGTAGCCTGCTCGGCTTCCTTCCCAGTGAGCCTCCCATTCCTAACATCAGCAATTCTGGACAGGAGTAAAGTCCCTCTTGACCTTTGACTCCTTCAGCTTCTCATGTTCATCCCACAATCCCAAAAGTTCTTGGCGGAATAATCATTATAGCAGCTAATGAGCACATTCTAACTTGGAGAACATTCTCTGTGCCAGACCCTGAGCCTAATGCTCTGCCTATCACATGTGTTCCTCATGGCCACCCTGAGAGGTAGGTAGAGTTGTCCCCATTATCCAAATGAGGTAAATGAGGCTCAGAGAGGTTAAGTCACTTTCCCAAGGAAGCACAGAGAAGGAGCAGACTCAGAGTTTGAAGGGGTTTCAAACACTTGCTCTTTAAAGGCCAGGTACTAATTCCCAAACTTCTGAGTATCACAATTATCTGAGGGGGATGTTTTGTTTTGTTTTGTTTTGGAGACAAGGTCTTGTCTTGTCTCTGTTACCCAGCTGGAGTGCAGTGGTGTGATCAGGGCTTACTACAGCCTCAACCTCTCAGACTCAAGCCATCTTGCCAGCCCAGCCTCCTGAGTAGCTGGGGCTACAGGCACATGCCACCATGTCCAACTCATTTTTGTATTTTTTGTAGAGATTGTGTCACCCTATGTTGCCCAAGCTGGTCTTGAACTCCTGGGTTCAACCAATCCACCCACCTCAGCTTCTCAAACTGCTGGGATTGAGAGGGATTTTTTAAATAAAGATTTGGGGCTGGGTGCCTATAATCCCAGCATTTTGGGAGGCTGAGGTGGGAGGATCACTGGAAGCCAGAAGTTTGACACCAGCTTGGGCAACATAGCAAAACCCCATCTCTACAAAAAATACAAAAATTAGCCAGGTGTGGTGCCATATCCCTGTGGTTCCAGCTACTTAGAAGACTGAGGCAGGAGGATCCAGGTCGAGGCTGCAGTGAGCCGAGATCATGCCACTGCACTCCAGCCTGGGTGACAGAAAGAGACGCTGTCTCTTATAAATAAATAAAGATGTGGGTGTCCAACCTCTAGGAATCCTGACTTTGCAGGCCCAAAAATATATTTTAATAAACTCCTTGGGTATTGTTTTGTTTTGTTTTGTTTTGTTTTGTGTTTGAGACAGAGTTTCACTCTTGTTGCCCAGGCTGGAGTGCAATGGCACAATCTCAGCTCACTGCAACCTCCGCCTCCCGGGTTCAAGCGATTCTCCTGTCTCAGCCTCCCAAGTAGCTGGGATTACAGGCATGTGCCCCCATGCCCAGCTAATTTTGTATTTTTAGTAGAGACAGGGTTTCACCATGTTGGTCAGGCTGCTCTCGAACTCCTGACCTCAAGCGATCCACCCGCCTCAGCCTCCCAAAGTGCTGGGATTATAAGCATAAGCCACCGCGCCTGGCCCCTTGGGTGTTCTTGCTACATTGCTCTGTGCGCGTACCTTGATGGTTGATGAAATTGCTTCTTCTGACTACCAGTAATCACATCCTCTGAAATCCTGCCTCAAAACCAGCCCATCTTCAAACACATCTACACAGCCACCTGACCCTAAATGTTTGCTGTGGTCCGTGCTAGATCAAACCCAGGCATGATTTTTATCTGGATTCGCCCCAGAGCTGTCTCCCAGACCCTGGCATTTGCTGGCTCCATTCATTCCCTGGAGTTTCCTCGCTCCTCCACCCTCCACAATTGCACCAGCAAACCTGCGCAGCTGGTTTGCCAGGGAGGAGCAAGACCTGTTTTCCCATCTTAGGGCTCTTCTCGCTTCTGATTTCATAGGTGGTCAGAAAGTACATGTAGGGTTTGAGGTGGGGACTGCTGGAAGAAGAGTGCGGGCAGGAGGTCATTTTGACCGCAGCCTGCTTTGCAGACCCCATAGCTGCTGGAAGGCCCTGGGACAGCAGCCCCACCCCCACCACTAACCACACCCTGGCCGCCTACCTGCGATGCTTGTCTCCTAATCAGCCTCCACCACCCACAGCAGCATCCGGATACAGAGTCACCGAGATAGGAGCTCCTTTGGTGTGACTAATGTTAGTCCCTTCTGTTACCCAGCCTATCTCTGGTATAAGTTTCCAGGCTCCTGCTAAAGTGCTCGGAGGGGCTGGGCACGGTGGCTCACATCTGTAATCCCAACACTTTGGGAGGCCAAGGTAGGTGGATCACCTGAAGTCAGGAGTTCAAGACCAGCCTGGCCAACATGGTGAAACCCCGTCTCTACTAAAAATACAAAAATTAGCTGGGCATGGTGGTGTGGGCCTGTAATCCCAGCTATTCGGGAGGCTGAGGCAGGAGAACCACTTGAACCCTGGAGGGAGTGATTGCAGTGAACCGAAATCACTCCATTGCACTCCAGCCTGGGCAACAAGAGTGAAACTCCGTCTCAAAAAAAAAAAAAAAAATTGGCTGGGCACGGTGGCTCACGGCTGTAATCCCAGCACTTCGGGAGGCAGAGGTGGGCTGATCACGAAGTCAGGAGATCAAGATCATCCTGGCTAACACGGTGAAACCCCGTCTCTACTAAAAATACAAAAAATTAGCTGGGTGTGGTGGCGGGCGCCTGTAGTCCCAGCTACTTAGGAGGCTGGGGCAGAAGAATGGTGTGAACCCGGGAGGCGGAGCTTGCAGTGAGCCAAATTGCGCCACTGCATTCCAGCCTGGGTGACACAGCAAGACTCAGTCTCAAAAAAAAAAAAAAAATTAAATTAAATAAAAAAAAAATAAAGTGCTCAGAGGATAGGGTTAGTCAGGGACTAACAGAATGTTTCAGAGGAAATCAAGATATTGATGATATGGTGGCAGGGATGGTTTTTTTATTTGTTTTTTAAACTATGGCCAAACAGAAAGCTCAGCAGGCCATGTCATGGAGATAGACCATGTAGACATAGGCCAGGCTGGTAGCTTCACCTTACCTGGCCTTAGTTTCTTCACCCATAAAATAGGTCATATCACGCCTGCTGTAGTCACTTCTGAAGGGTTCATCTGTATGGACACTGATTTAATGACTGTAAAGTTGTAGGTAAAATGTCAGCTCATTAGTACGACTGACACTTTGTGTGTCCCAAGCATATTCCTGGCCCTGGGGGAATGCAAGGTTGTTATAGCTTAAAGTAGGACTTCAATGAGCTGACATTCCAGGTGCCTGGGAGGGCTGCTGCAGTGGGGTCTGAGGAGGGCTGGGGATGAGTAGAGAGGGGGCACTTAAGAGAGGGAAGTGGGCTGGGGAGAGTAGAAGGGAAAGCTGACCTTGAAAGCTGCAGTTAGGTAGGCATTGGCATTCCTTCCACAGTATTTTTTCAGGCACTGCTCTAAACTCTGGGGATGCAAAAGTGAGCAAAGCAGACATCTCTGCCCTCCTAGAATTTACATTCTAGGGGGAAAGGAGACGGATAATAAACCAGCTAAAAAATAAATCTTTGTTCAGATGGTGATAAGGGCTAGAGAGAAAAATAAATCAGGAAAGATGGATGGGACCTGAAGCTCACCAAATTTGAGTCTCCCTGCCTCTCCCAAATATATATTGAATGAATTCAAATTTAAGTTCAGGGCCTAGGAAGGGGAGCATTCAGGAACACTTTTTTTTTTTTTTTTTGAGATGAAGTCTTCTTCTGTCACCTAGGCTGGAGTGTAGTGACATGATCTCGGTTCACTGCAACCTCTGCCTCCCGGGTTCAAGCGATCCTCCTGCCTCAGCCTCCCAAGTAGCTGGAATTACAGGCGTGAGGCACTGCATGGCCTCTGGGGCAGTTTTAAATAAAGTGAGAAGGCATCAGTGCAGTGGAGACTTAGAGGTGAGAGGGAGCCATGGCTCCCTGGGGGAAGCCCCCTGGGGGAAGAGTGTTCCAGGCAGGGGAACAGCAAGCAGAAAAGGTCCTGGGGCAGGTGTGATCGGGAACAGCAAAGAAGCCAGCACGGGCCGGGCACAGTGGAGCGCACCTGTAATCCCAGCTACTCAGGAGGCCAAGGCAGGAGGATTGCTTGAGCCTAGGAGTTTGATATCAGCCTGGGCAACATATCAAGACCTCATCTCTATTAACAAATTAAAAGAAAAAAGAGGCTAGGCGTCGTGGCTCATGCCTGTAATCCCAGCACTTTGGGAGGCCTAGGCAAGTGGATCACCTGAGGTCGGGAGTTCGAGATCAGCCTGGCCAACATGGTGAAACCCCATCTCTACTAAAAATACAAAAATTAGCTGGGCATGGTGGTGGGACGTCTGTAATCCCAGCTACTTGGGAGACTGAGGCACGAGAATGGCTTGAACCCCAGAGGCGGAGGTTGCAGTGAGCCGAGATCATGCTACTGCATGCCAGCCTGGGTGACAAAGCGAGACTCCGTCTCAAAAAAAAAAGAAAAAAGAAAGAAAAAAGAAGCTAGGGCTGGGCGCGGTGGCTCATGCCTGTAATCCCAGCGCTTTGGGAGGCCGAGGTGGGCAGATCACAAGGTCAGGAGTTCAAGACCAGCCTGGCCAACATGGTGAAACCCCATCTCTACTAAAAATACAAAAATTAGCTGGGCGTGGTGGTGGGAAGCCTGTAATCCCAGCTACTTGGGAGGCTGAGGCATAAGAATCGCCTGAACCCGGGAGGCAGAGGTTGCAGTGAGCTGAGATCGCGCCACTGCCCTCCAGCCTGGGCGACAGAATGAGACTCCATCTCAAAAAAAAAAAAAAAAAAAGAAGCCAGTGTGGACTCAGCAAGGGCATCAATGGGGAGAGCAGAGGAGAAGTTAAGAGGGAATGGAGTGGGGGGTGTAGATCATGAGGGCCTCAGGCCGCTTAAGGACTTGAGCTTCTGTTTGTTTGTTTGTTTGTTTGTTTATTTAGAGATGACAGGGTCTCACTCTGTTGCCTAGGCTGGAGTACAGTGGTGTGATCACTGCTCACTGTAGCATCAACATCCGGGGGTAAGCGTTCCTCACACTTTAGTCCCCCAAATAGCTAAGGACTACAGGTGTGTGCCACCACACCTGGCTAATTTTTTATTTTTTCTAGACATGGTTCTTACTTTGTTGCCCAGGCTGGTGTCCAACTTCTGCCCTCAAGCAATCCTCCTGCCTCAACCTCCCAAAGGGATGGGATTAAAGGCACCCAGCCTTGGGTTTCTATTCTAAGTGAGATGGGAAGGGCACAAATGTGATAAGATCCAAATGCACTTTTTTTTTTTTTTTTTTTGAGATGGAGTTTCACTCTTGTTGCCCAGGCTGGAGTGCAATGGCGTGATCTCGGCTCACCACAACCCCCACCTCCTGAGTTCAAGTTATTCTCCTGCCTCAGCCTCCCGAGTAGCTGGGATTACAGGCGTGCGCCACCATGCCAGCTAATTTTGTATTTTTAGTAGAGACGGGGTTTCTCCATGTTGGTCAGGCTGGTCTCGAACCCCCAACCTCAGATAATCCGCCTGCCTCGGCCTCCCAAAGTGCTGGGTATAACAGGCATGAGCCACCGCGTATGGCCCAACTGCGCTTTTAGAAGAGACTTCTGTCCACGGAGTGGAGGAGGACCAAGAGCAGCAGGTGAATGGTGAGAAGTGGTCAGATTCTGGAAACACTCGTATTTTGAAGTTAGAGCCTGATGATTTAAATATGCGGTATTATAGCCGGGCGCGGTGGCTCACGCCTGTAATCCCAGCTACTCGGGAGGCTGAGGTGGGAGAATCACTTGAACCCAGGAGGTGGAGGTTGCGGTGAGCTGAGATCGTGCCATTGGGCGCCCAGCCTGGGCAGCAAAGCGAGACTCCGTCTCAAAAAATAAAAATAAAAATAAAATGGGGTATAAGCCAGATGCAGTGGCTAACACCTGTAATCTCAGCACTTTGGGAGGCCAAGGTGGATCACTTGAGGTCAGGAGTTCGAGACCAGCCTGGCCAACATGGTGAAACCCTGTCTCTATTAAAAATACAAAAATTAGCCAGGCATGGTGGTGTGTGCTTGTAGTCCCAGCTACTCGGGAGGCTGAGCCAGGAGAATGGCTTGAACTGGGAAGCGGAGGTTATGGTGAGCTGAGATCACACCACTGCACTTCAGCCTCGGCGACAGAGTGACATTCTGTCTCAAAAAAAAAAAAAAAAAAATGTGGTGTGCACAGTGGTTTACACCTATAATCCCAGCACTTTGGGAGACAGAGGCAGGCAGTTCACAAGGTCAGGAGTTCGAGACCAGACTGGCCCAACATGGTGAAACCCCGTCTCTACTAAAAATACAAAAATTAGCCGGGCATGGTAGCATGCACCTGTAATTCCAGCTACTTGGGAGACTGACACAGGAGAATTGCTTGAACCCAGGAGGCAGAGGCTGCAGTGAGCCGAGATCGTGCCACTGCACTCCCATCTGGGCGACAGAGTGACATTCCGTCTCAAAAAATAAACAAACAAATAAATATGGGGTCTGAGGAAAGGGAACTTTGCTAGGGTTTTGACCTGAGCAACTAGAAAGGTGAAGCTGTGATGCGCTGGAGTGAGGAAGTCCCTGGGAAGAGCTGGTCTTGGGGAAAGATGACGAGTTAGGATTCAGAAGTGTTCAGTTTGAGATGCAAACACAGCTCCTAAGTGGAAATGCTTAACGGTATAATGGAGTTCATGGGAGAAGTCAGGCTAAAGGTGTAAAAATGGGCACCATCAGTATAATGCTATTAAAAACCATGGTGGCCAGGTGCAGTGGCTCATGCCTGTAATCCCACTACTTTGGGAGGCTGAGGTGAGCAGTTCACCTGAGTCTAGGATTTGAGACTAGCCTGGGCAACATGGCAAAACCCTGTCTCTACAAAAAATACAAAAATTAGCCAGGCATGGTGGCTCATACCTGTAGTCCCAGCTCCTCGGGAGGCTGAGGCATGAGAATCACTTCAACCCAGGAGGTGGAGGTTGCAGTGAGCTGAGATCACGCCACTACACAACAAAAGAGCGAGACTGGGCAACAGGGCGAGACTCTATCTCAAAACAACAATAAGAAAAACCATGGCAATATTGAGTTGATGTCACCAAGGGACTGGGTGTGGGCAGAGGAAGAACCAGGACCAGAGGAGAGCTCAGGAGAGGAGGAGCCCCACAAAGGAGACTGAGAAGGAACCAGGGAGGGAGACGGGGAGACCAGGAGGAGCCTCCTGAAGGCAATGTTTTTTGGGAGGAGGCAGTGACCAGCTGTGTGAGATGCTGCTGAGAAGGAGCTGCTGGATTTAACCAGGAGGAGGTCATTGTTGACCTTGACAAGTCATTTCAGGAGCGTTTTGGCGAAGGAGAGTCTGACTGGCATGGATTCAGGGCAGTGTGGGAAGAGAGGAACTGGGGACAGTGACTACAGACAACCTTTCCAGGAGTTTTGCTCTAAAGGAGGCAAAGGAATGCAGTAATTGTAGAGTTATGAGGTCAAGAAAGAGCTTTTGTTTTGTTTTTATGGTTTTTATGTGGGTGTGATAAAATGTGCATAATGTAAAATTTATCATTTTAGCCTTTTTTTTTTAAGAGTTGAGGGTCTTAATTAGCCAGGTGTCACGGTGTGCATCTGTAGTCTCAGCTACTTGGGAGGCTGAGGTGGGAGAATCACTTGAGCCTGGGAGGCAGAGGTTGCAGTGAGCTAAGATTGCGCCACTACACTCCAGCCTAGGTGACAAAGTGAGACTCTGTCTCAAAAAAAAAAAAAAATTACGTACATACTTATATATAAAATGAATCAGCTCCCAAGCCTCTGCTTCACTGACCAGCCAGATCTCCTCCCTGTGCTCATCACTCCATTATTTTCTTGCCTGATCCCCCTACGTCATAATCTCTGTGAGACCTAGAGCCTCATCTGTCCTTGAGTACCAAGTCCCAGCACCCAGAGCAGTGGCTGGCCTACAGGAGCACGCGATTAACACACGTGGGTGGGATGAAAGACAATGAGCAAGTGAGTGTCGTTTTAATCCCCATTTTATAGATAGGTGACAGCTTCAGAGGCCACATTACCCAGTCAGTAAACACAGTAAGCTGAGGTTCCACCCAGGCCCTTTGGCTGTGAAAGCCAAGATGAGTAGCCTGGGGGCCACGCCCCTCCCCCAGGTGCCCAGTTCATACAGGCAGGCAATTGGCAGACGTGGGGGCCTGTGGATTTGTCAGCAAGGTTGCTGGTGGGGTTTTTGTTTGTTTGTTTTGAGATAGGGTCTCACCCTGTCACCCAGGCTAGAGTACAGTCGTGTGATTTCAGCTCACTGCAACCTCCACCTCCTGGGTTCAAATGATTCTCCCACCTCAGCCCAGATCTGGAGTAGCTGTAGCTGGACTACAGACAAGCGCCACCATGCCCGGCTAATTTTTGTATTTTTGGTAGAGACAGGGTTTCACCATATTGGCCAGGCTGGTCTCGAACTCCTGACCTCAAGTGATTCACCTGCTTTGGCTTCCCAAAGTGCAGGGATTACAGGCGTGAGCCACCACGCTCAGCCTGCTGGGTGGCTTTTTCTTTTTTTCTGACATAGGGTCTCGCTCTGTTGCCCAGGCTGGAGTACAGATCTCCATTTACTGCCGCCTTGACTTGCTAGGTTCAAGCGATCCTCCCATCTCAGCCTCCCTAGTAGCTGGGACTACAGGCACACACCAACACCCCCGGCTTTTTTGTTTGTTTGTTTGTTTTTTGTAGAGACAGGGTCTCCTTGTGTTGCCCAGGCTGGTCTCAAACTTCTGGGCTCAAGCAATCCTCCTGTGTGGGGATCGCAAAGTGCTGGGATTACAGGCATGAGCCGCCACACCCAGCAGAATTTTAATTTAAAAGCTCAGCTTAAACACCTCATGATGCTTACACATTTGGTACATTTTTAACAATCGTTGATTGTTCAACTCCATCCGTCTCAGAGTTAAAGACACAGGATAAGGAAAACATCTCCTTATCCAAGTGATTTGGGGTGGTATTCCCAGCTGTCTGAGGCTGTACATTGACCAATTATTTTGGCCATGACTCAGAGTTCCCCTATCCTGCTATCCTGAGATCATGAGAGGCCATCACAGAGTCCACTTTTATCATCTCTATGCCAATAAGGGCTCTAAATGGGGTGGTGTGACAGCCCATGTGCCCTACGTTCAAGTTACCTAATTTTTCCAAAGAACTGAGTTTTGCTGATACCCTCCACTCCCACCCAGCTTTCCTCACCATTTCATTGGATTCTGCTTGTCTAAATATTGCTGATTTTGTTCTGATTTTTCTCTTTTTTTTTTTTTTTTGAGACAGAGTCTCACTCTGTCACCTAGGCTGGAGTGCAGTGGCGCAATCTCCACTCACTGCAAGCTCCGCCTCCCGAGTTCCAGTTATTCTGCATCAGCCTCCCGGGTAGCCAGGACTACAGGCACGTGCAAGCACGCCCGGCTAATTTTGTATTTTTAGTAGAGACAGGTTTCACCATGTTGGTCAGGCTGGTCTTGAACTCCTGACCTCGTGATCCGCCCACCCTGGCCTCCCAAAGTGCTGGGATTACAGGCGTGAGCCACCGTGCCCAGCCTTTTTTTTTTTCTTTTCTGAGACAGAGTCTCACTCTCTCGTCCAGACTGGAGTGCAGGGGCACAATCTCAGCTAATGGCAATCTCCACCTCCTGGGCTTCAGCGATTCTTGTGCCTCAGCCTCCCAAGTAGCTAGGATTACAGAAGTGCGTCACCATAGCTGGCTAATTTTTGTATTTTTAGTAGAGACAGGGTTTCACTATGTTGGCCAGGCTGGTCTTGAACTCCTGATCTCAGGTGGGCCAGGTATGGTGGCTCACGCCTGTAATCCCAGCACTTTGGGAGGCTGAAGCGGGCAGATCACCTGAGGTCAGGACTTTGAGACCAGCATGTCCAACATGGTGAAACCCCGTCTCTACTAAAAATACAAAAGTTAGCTGGGCGTGGTGGTGAACGCCTATAATCCCAGCTACTTGGGTGGCTGAGGCAGGAGAATCACTTGACCCTGGGAGGCGGAGGTTGCAGTGAGCCAAGATTGTGCCATTGCACTCCAGCCTGGGTGACAGAGCAAGACTCCATCTCAAAAAAAAATAATAAAATTAGCTGGAAAAAAATATTTAGCCAGGCATCGTGGTGCACGCCTGTAGTCCCAGCTATTCTGGAGGGTGAGGTGGGAAGATGGTTGAGCCTGGGAGGATGACGGTGCAGTGAGTCATGTTTGCACCATTGCACTCCAGCCTGGGTGACAGAGCAAGACTCTGTCTAAAAAAAACAGGCCGGAAACAGTGGCTCATGCCTATATTCCCAGTACTTTGGAAGGCCGAGGTAGGCGGATCACCTCAGGTCAGGAGTTCCAGACCAGCCTGGCCAACATAGTGAAACCCTGTCTCTACTAAAAATACAAAAATTAGCCAGGCTTGGTGGTGCACACCGGTAATCCCAGCAACTCTGGAGACTAAGGCAGGAAGAATCGCTTGACCCAGGAGGGTCGAGGCTGCAATGAGTTGAAACCGCGCCACTGCACTCTAGCCTGGGCGACAGTGCGAGGCCCTGTCTCAAAAATAAAATAAAATAAATAAATTAGCCAGATACTGTGTGCACGCCTGCAGTCCCAGCTATTCTGGAAGCTGAGGTGGGAAGATGGTTAAGCCTGAGAGGACAAAGCTGCAGTGAGTCATGTTTGCATCACTGCACTCCAGCCTGGGTGACAGAGCAAGACCCTGTCTAAAAAACAAAAACAGGCCGGGTGTGGTGGCTCATGCCTGCCATCCCAGTGCTTTGGGAGGCAGAGGTTGGCATAATCCCAGCGCTCTGGGAGGCTGAGGTGGGCGGATCACCTGAGGTCAGGAGTTCCAGACCAGCCTGGCCAACATGGTGAAACCCTGTCTCTACTAAAAATACAAAAATTAGCCAGGCATGGTGGTACACATCTGTAATCCCAGCTACTTGAGAAGCTGAGGCAGGAGAATCGCTTGAACCTGGGAGGCAGAGGTTGCAGTGAGCTGAGATTGTGCCACTGCACTCCAACCTGGATGACGGAGTGAGACTCCGTCTCAGAAAAAAAAAAAACCAAAACAGGCCGGGTGTGGTGGCTCACGGCTGTAATCCCAGTACTTTGGGAGGCCAAGCCAGGCGGATCACGAGGTCAGGAGATTGAGACCATCCTGGCTAACACGGTGCAACACCGTCTCTACTAAAAATACAAAAAAATTAGCTGGGCGTGGTGGTGGGCACCTGTAGTCCCAGCTACTCGGGAGGCTGAGGCAGGAGAATGGCGTGAACCTGGGAAGCGGAGGTTGCAGTGAGCCTAGATCGCACCACTGCACTCCAGCCTGGGCCACAAAGCAAGTCTCAAAAACAAAAACAAAAACAAAAAAATGATTAACATTTCAATCAGTCAATGGGTAGACTTTGAGTCACGCTGATTATCCACCACAATTGTGGGCGGAGCTCATTCAATAAACTGAAGACCTTTAAGAGAAAAGACTGAGGTCCCGGCCAGGTGCGGTGGCTCACGCCTGTAATCCCAGCACTTTGGGAGGCTGAGCCAGGCCAACATGGTGAAACCTCATCTCGGATACAAAAAATTAGCCAGGTGTGGTGGCGGGCGCCTGTGACCCCAGCTACTTGGGAGGCTGAGGCAGGAGAATCACTTGAACCTGGGAGGCGGAGGCTGCAGTGAGCAAAGATGGCGCCACTGCACTCCAGCCTGGGCAACAACAGAAAAACAACAAAAATCATCTCATTTTCATCTGTGTCTTCCAGTATTAAAGAGGTTGAGTGTCATTTCTGGCTTACTAGCCATTTGGATTTCTTCTGATACACACTTCATCTCATTTGCCTAATTTTGTCGTTGTCTTCTTATTGCTTTCTAAGGGCTCTCTGTATACTATGGATATTAGTCCTTGGTTAATGACACTGCAAATACTTACAATTTTTTTTAATTTTTAATTTTCGTGGGCACATAGTTTATTGAGAATTTTTTTTTTTTTGAGATGGCAGGGGTCTCATATGTTCCCCAGACTAGAGTGCAGTGGCTATTCACAGGCGCCGTCTAGCGCACTACAACCTTAAACTCCTGGGCTCAAGCAATTCTCCTGCCTCAGCCTTGGGAGTAGCTGGGATTACAAGTGCCCGCCACCACGCCTGGTCTGCCAATACTTTCTATCAGTCTGTCATGTTTACTGTCTTTTCCTCCATACAGAAGTTTTTCCTTCTCAGTTGGGTCAAGTCCATTGACCTTTCTGTTACAGCTTGAGTTTTGTGTCTTACGTAGAAAAGGTGCCCCTGCTCTCACTTTCTGCACAGCTATCAGGTCCAGCTCATAGCAGTTCTTCTATTTATCCATCCACTGCCCCAGGAGCTGCCTGGGCATTCACTGCCCCGCACCCCTCTCCAGCCCCAAGGTAGAGCTCGGGCCCTGGGAGTCCCAGGACCATCCCGGACTGGGGAGCTGCTTGGTGTCCAGCCCCGGGCTCAAGCTCTTCTCCAGCTCTGCAGCTACCTGAGGGGTAGCAGCCCGGATAGCATCCTGGATGTTGGTTAGGTCCCACTGGGTCCTCAGGAGGGCACTGTCTAGCGTGAAGAAGCCGTCGCGCGTGCGCCGCACTTGGGTGCAGACAGCAGTGGTCTTTAGTTCCAGGCCGATTTCATGAACCAACTTCCGCAGCTCTTTCTGCGTCTCATGCATGCACTGCACCTCTGCCAGGGACACACAATGACAGACATGGTGGTGAGAGCACAGCCTCTAGTGTGTGGTTGTGAACGCACACCCCTTGGATACCTCCTAGGTGTGTAACAACCTTAGCAAGACCCCTAAGCTCTCCAGGTTGTGCTATTCAGAGGACCTGCCCTGTGGGTGCCACCTGAAATGTGTTAAGACTTGCAGAACCTCAGGCCCCACCGGGACCTGCCAAGTCAGAATCTGCCCTTTTTTGGCAACAGGGTCTCATTCCATCACCCAGGCTGGAGTGCAGTGGTGTGATAACAGATCACTGCAGCCTTGACCTCCTAGGCTCACATGATCCACCTGCCTCAGCCTCCGGAGTAGCTGGGACGTTCTGAGCCATCACAACTGGCTAATTTTTTATTTTTTGTAGAGACAGGGTCTCGCCATCTTGCCCAGGTTAGAACCTGCCTTTTACTAAGACTCGGTTTCCCTATCTGTAAAATGGGAGTTATGAGGAGTAAAAGAAATCATTTATAGAAAGATAAATGATTATCTTTAAAATGTTATTAAGATGTTATCTTAATAACAGAGTTCTGTGCTCAAGCAGAGGAGCAGGCATTAACATGACCAACAGAAAAAAGGGGCGGGCGCAGGCAGAGACAAAAGGAACACAGATAAGAGGGGCCTGAGCTGGGTGGGACTGGGGACGTAAGAGTTGTGTCTGATGGAGCCCTCACAGCTTCAAACATGGGCAGCTCTGGAAATAAGCCACTAAATATAACCTTTGCTTGGTAAGGTCTGGCTTCCAAGGGTGACTTGGCAAGAGATAGGAGAGCTTTTGTTCTGCGAGCTCTGTCATCAGCCAAGTCCAGGCCAGGGCTGGGAAGGAAGTCGGCACCTGATGCCTTGGCCCGCAGAGATCAGGGCCGGCGTGTGCTGGCCTCAGCTGAGCCAGACAACAGTGACCTCTGCAAGAGCGTTCCTGAGTGACTCCCAAACCTACGGGTCCCATCTCACTGCTCCAACTTCCTTGGCCAACCTACCTAAGAGGAATTCCGGAGGTGCAAAGTAGAGGCATCGGATGCCAGTTATCAGCATCGGGGACTTGTTCATGGGCCGGATCAGGCCTCTCACGGCCATCTCATAGGCCTCCTGGGTCTTCAGGTCGAGGTTGGAGTACCTGCAGATCAGGAAGGGGGCTGCAGCTGGGTGGCCCACCTACCCTTTCCCCCACATGAGGTGCCTCTCTGGAAGCTCCTCACTTGCTTTGTGTGCCCTGCCACCGTGGCTCCTCCAGCCACCTTTCCTGCCCTCCTTCATCACCAGGTGCCTGGTAGAGTCAGGAAACCCAGGCAAGCTGGCTCCAGAGCCCAAGCTCTTAACTCCTTGGCTGCTCTTGCCCTTGGGCTCTGTGCTCCAATGATGTGGTCCCTGGTTTCCTTGCCATTAGATCATATACTCTCAGCAGGACAGCTTGGTTCTCTTGCTCTTCTTGGCCTCCCGTTGGCCAACCCAAGACCTGGCACACAGAACCATTTCTTAATGCCAAGAAAGAAACAGGTAGCTCCCGTCTGGTTCTGGGCTCTAAAAACAAGATCCATGGAATCTGCCCCAGGTTTGGGGGAGCCTACGGGAGCCAAGGGCACTTACTGCTCTCCCAGTACCTCCCTGAGGGCCCTACTCACATCACCAGGGCCTTCTGATGGGAGCCTTGGATAACGGCCAGAATGCGGTCCAGCTTCTCTCTGGTCACGTGGTCTGGAAAAGGCAGGGGGTTGTCAATGTACAGGTACCTGCTGAGTATTGGTCACAGCAAACTCCTTCCCCCCAGGCCAGCCCCATCCCTGGAACATGGAGAGAGGATGTTTTGGAGGGATCCCCATGGCGGGGTGGTTGGGAGTCCTTTGAGATTCTCATGAAAGCACTGGACCTCAGAAAGATACTGGATCTCAGAAAGATACACATGACTCAGCAGCAAGGGCACTCTATTTTTTTTTTTTTTTTTTTTTTGAGACGGAGTCTCGCTCTGTCACCCAGACTGGAGTGCAGTGGCGCAATCTTGGCTCACTGCAAGCTCCGCCTCCCAGGTTCATGCCATTCTCCTGCCTCAGCCTCTCGAGTAGCTGGGACTACAGGCGCCCACCACCACGTCCGGCTAATTTTTTAAATTTTTAGTAGCAAGGGGGTTTCACCGTGTTAGCCAGGATGGTCTCGATCTCCTGACCTCGTGATCCGCCCGCCTCGGCCTCCCAAAGTGCTGAGATTACAGGTGTGAGCCACTGCACCCAGACTTTTTTTTTTTTTTTTTTTTGAGACGGAGTCTTGTTCTGTTGCCCAGGCTGGAGTGCAAATGGCACAATCTCAGCTCACTACAAGCTCCGCCTCCTGGAGTCAAGCAATTCTCCTGCCTCAGCCTCCTGAAAAGCTAGGATTAAAGGTACACGCCAAGACACCCGGCTAGTTTTTGTATTTTTAGTAGAGACGGGGTTTCACCATGTTGGCCAGGCTGGTCTCGAACTCCTGACATCAGGCAATCCACCTGCCTTGGCCTCCCAAAGTGCTGGGATTACAGGCGTGAGCCACCGAACCTGGCCTTTTTTTTTTTGAGATGGAATCTCGCTCTGTTGCCCAGGCTGGAGTGCAGTGGTGAGATCTCAGCAAACTGCAAACTTCACCTCCTAGGTTCAAACGATTCTCCTGCCTCAGCCTCCCGAGTACCTGGGATTATAGGCGTGCACTACCATGCCCGGCTAATTTTTTGTATTATTATTATTTTTTTTTTTTTTTTTTGAGACGGAGTCTCGCTTTGTTGCCAGGCTGGAGTGCAGTGGTGCAATCTCAGCTCACTGCAACCTCCGCCTCCCAGGTTCAAGCGATTCTCCTGCCTCAGCCTCCTGAGTAGCTGGGACTACAGGTGCCTGCCACCACGCCCGGCTAATTTTTGTATTTTTACTAGAGACGGGTTTTACCATATCAGCCAGGCTGGTCTCAAACTCCTGACCTTGTGATCCACCCATCTCGACCTCCCAAAGTGCTGGGATTACAGGCGTGAGCCACTGCGCCCGGCCTCTTTTTAAAATTTAGAACAGTAGCCAGGCGTGGTGACTCACACCTGTAATCCCAGCACTTTGGGAGGCCGAGGTGGGCAGAATACCTGAGGTCAGGAGTTCCAGACCAGACTGGCCAACAGGGTGAAACCCAATTTCTACTAAAAATACAAAACATTAGCTGGGTGTGGTGGTGTGCACCTGTAATCTCAGCTACTCCGAAGGCTGAGGCAGGAGAATTGCTTGAACCTGGGAGGTGGAGGTTGCAGTAAGCCAAGATCGCGCCACTGCACTCCAGCCTGGGCGACAGAGCGAGACATCGTTTCAAAAAAAAAAAAAGAAAAGAAAAGGAAAGGCTGGGCGCGGTGGCTCATGCCTGTAATCCCAGCACTTTGGGAGGCCAAGGAGGGCGGATCATGAGGTCAGGAGATCCAGACCATCTTGGCTAACATGGTGAAACCCCGTCTCCCATCTCTACTAAAAATACAAAAAAAAAAAAGCCGGGCGTGGTGGCGGGCGCCTGTAGTCCCAGCTACTAGGGAGGCTGAGGCAGGAGAATGGCGTGAACCCGGGAGGTGGTGCTTGCAGCGAGCTGAGATCGTGCCACTGCACTCCAGCCTGGGCGACAGAGCGAGACTCCGTCTCAAAAAAAAAAAAAAAAAAAGAAAAGAAAAGGAAAAGGTCAAAGACTGACGAGATGGAGAGAAACTAGAGTCTTTGGAAGTGACGTTACATTTGAGCTAGGCAAGCAGGGGAGTAGAGGATGCTCCTGGAGCACAGATCCCGTGGCCAAAGCCTCAGCCCAAGCCTAGTGTGTGCAGTGGAACTGAGAAGGGGCCAGCGTGGCCTAGGGCGGGGAGAGGACTCAGGGAAAGCAAATGCGGAGGGAGGCAGCGGCAGCCACTTCCGGTTCTCACCATAGGTTGTCTTCTCTACCAGCCTCCCGTCCTCACGGAAGTCATCTGTAGCTTTGCCCAGGAGGCCACGCACTGTGTAATCCTTCAAGGACAGGGAGGTAAAGATCCGTCAGTGACCCCATTCTAAGCCCTAGTAGCCCCTGCCCCAGAAGCTGGGGGTGGGGGGTCCTCAGGTCTCCCTCAGGAAGCTCATGTGCCCAGCCCCTGCCCAGCTGCTCCACAGCCCCAGGAGGAAGGGCACCAGCTCTGTCATGTGGCCTTCAGCAGCTCTTGCTCTCTTTGTATTCAAGCTCTCCTGTCACCTGGGGACAGTAACAGGGCCAGTCTCACAGTACTGCTGCCTGGATTCAGCAGGACATGGTACCTGGCTCCCAGTCAGCAGGCTTCCTACAAGACTGCTGGCTGGTTTCCATGACAACCAGCACTGGCAGCCTCCAAAGGTACTGACCGCTGACAGCCACCCTGTGGCCACCCCAGGCCTCCATGTTTCTCCTCTCCAACCTAACTCGGCAATTTATCACCCCGAGCCCCTTCTAGCATGCCCTGTAGGCTTCTCTCCACGCCTCTAAATAGAATGAGATTCCATGGCCCAGATCAGGCCCTTGCTCATCCCTGCTTGTAAAAACTCCCCCTCCTCTGAATCTGTGCAGCTAACCCCATCTGCCACAGATAAGTAATGATTGGCTGGATACAGTGACTCACACGTATAATCCCAGCACTTTGGGAGACAGAGGCGGGTGGATCGTCGAGTAGCTGGGAGGACAGGCATGCGCCACCAGCCTGGCTAATTTTTTTGTATTTTTAGTAGAGACAGGTTTTCACCATGTTGTCCAGGCTGGTCTTGAACTCCTGGCCTCAAGTGACCCACCCACCTCAGCCTCCCAAAGTGGCAGGAGCCACTGAGCCCGGCCACAATTTTTAAAATTTTTATAATTTAAAAAAATTTTGTAAATAGAGATGGAGTCTTGCTATGTTGCCCAGACTGGTCTCAAATTCCTGGGCTCAAGCAATCCTCCTGCCTCAGCCTCCCAAAGTACTGGGATTACAGGTATGAGTCACCACACCTGGCCCTCATTCCCATTTTACAGATGAGGAAACTGAGGCACACAGATATTAATTAGGTAATCTACCCAAGGACACACAGCTGTCAGAGTGGTAGAAGCTGGGGTTCAAACTGAAGCCATTTGGCTCCAGAATTTGTGCCCTTAACCACTAAAAACATGGGCCCCATAACGTGGCACCTGCGTACATACTTTGTGGTATCAGACTCCATAGCCCCGACCCCACCTCTGGATGGTAAGCTCCCTGTGGGTAGGATGCTGACATCTACCTCTCAGTCTTGGGACAGAATAGGGAATGGCATCATGATCAAGCTCTGGTGTTGGAGAGACCTAGGTTCAAATCCCAGCTCTTAAAGCCCTAACAACTACATGACCTAGGTAAGTAACATCTCCTCTCTGAGCCTCAGTTCTCTCATCTGTGAAATGTGGCTAACAACAGATTCCACTTTACAGGGAGGCTGTGAGGCTTCCCTAAAGGAATCCACGTACAGTGCTCAGCACAGAGTAGTCGGCATACACTAACACTGGTAGTTATTATTGTTATTATTATTACAGCCCCTGCACAGCACACGATCATCAAAAAAATGCTTGCTTATGGCTTGGGTGTTCCCCCACGGAATCCTCTAAGCTTCAGAATCCTGCTGGTGACCCCCAGGAAAGGACCAAGGGAGAAGCAGGCTGTCCCCAGACCCTCGTACCTTGGTAAGATGAGCATTGTACATATCGGTGAGGAGCCTGCATCCATGTCCCACGCCGAGCACTGAAAAGCAGCCAGCGTCATCTCACACCTGGGACCCCCTTCCCATTCCCCTAAGTATCCCCACCCCTACCCCCACCATCAGAATACTCCCTTTTCTGATGCTGCCAAAGGCAACAAGAAGGCAAAAAGATCTTCTACAGGGGGCAGGTGCACCCCTCTGGGTATATATCACATGCAGATTGCTGGGCCTTACCCATATGCACTGAATCTGACTCATGGTTGGAGGGGGCCTAGGATCCCTGCCAAGCTCTCCACAGGATTCTGACACCTGAGAGGAAGAGATCCCTGGCCTAGTCACACAAACCTGCACTCAAATCAGGGACAGCTCTGAGTATAATCTTTAGCCTCTTTGAGCGTCAAGTTCCCCATCAGTAAAATGGGGGTAAAAATACTGTCTGAAGGCCAGGCGCAGTGGCTCATGCCTGTAATCCCAGAACTTTGGGAGGCCGAGGCAGGTGGATCACCTGAGGTCAGGAGTTTGAGACCAGCTTGGCCAACATGGTGAAACCCCATCTCTACCAAAAAATACAAAATTAACCAGGTGTGGTGCTACACTACACTCCAGCTTGGGCAACAAGAGTGAGACTCCGTCTCACAAAAAAAAAAAAAAAAAATTAGCCAGGCGTGGTGGCGGGCACCTGTAATCCCACCTACTCGGGAGGCTAAGGCAGGGAGAATTGCTTGAACCCAGGAGGCGGAGGTTCCAGTGAGCCGAGATCATGCCATTGCACTCCAGCCTGGGAGACAGAGCAAGACTCTGTCTCAGGAAAAAAAAAAAATACTGATTCCTGTGGGTGCTGTGCAGTCGGCACAGAGGAAGGGCCCAATAAACGGTGGCCACTGTGGTCACTTCCTGCCTTTCTCCCGGTCTGTTTCTCCCTCTGGCTGAGGGACAGAATAACTCTGCATTCACTCGTGGGGAGACAGAACAGGGAGAGGGGGCATGAGATCATGTCTGCCTGCCTGTGCCTCAGGAAGCAAGACAAGGGGACTGTGACTGTCGCGGCTGGAGGATGTGGGCACCACCTGACCCTGGGGACACAGATGGCTCATGACTAGGGCTTTGTGTGTCCAGACCCAGCCACATGCAGGCCCTGGCCATTAGGTCCAGAGTCACGCGCCTGGCTGCCCCATGATGCAATGATGGTTTTCCTTCTCCGGACCAGGGGTATTCACTGGCCATGGGACCCAGAACAAGTCACCTAAATCCTACTTTCTTCTTCCATAAAATCATATAGTATCTACCTAATAAAGTTGTTGTGGTAAATAAATGTGCATAAAGGGCCTCGAACTATGTCATGTGTGGGAATCACTGAATAAAGGTGGGTGACTGTGGTATTAACCTGTGATTACCTCCGTCCCACCTATCCACTCCCCAGCTGATCAGCCTTGGGGCAGGAATCAGGGCAGGAGAGGAGTGGTGGGACGTGGGTGCCAGGTAAGAAGTGGGCTGGGCTCCTGGTAGCTTCAGGATCTTTTCTCAAGCCTTATCACTGTACCCCCAGGCTTCTCACATCACCTACCAAGTACTCCAGAAGCCTGGGCATCCAACCGATGTCCCACGCCAACCTTGAGATGGGCGAATGCTGGTCCACATACTGGAAAGAAACAAACAAGGTCCATTTTCTCAACTAAATGCCACCCCAGGATGGCTTTGGGCTGCATGTTGACCTCGTTCTCAGAATGGGCCTCATGGAGCCCAAACTAGCATCAGGCCAGACTCTCAGGCTTCCCCGTCATGGAATCTGGGACCCTGAACTGTATCCTCAGTGCCCTGGGATCCAAAGGGCAGCCCAAGATGCCTCTTACTCTGCCTATCATCAGTCTCCCAGTGAGAGGCTCTAAGAAGACTGGCGTAACACTGAAGGTCAAGAGTGCGGGGTTCCCTGCCCAGCTCTACTGAGGAAGAGTCCCTGGAGGAAAATGGAGGCTGTGAGCTCCTTAAGGCAGAACCTGGGTGTGTCAACTCACTAGCTGCTCAGGAAAGAACTACTGAAAGAATAAATGCAGGAATGAGCCAGAAGTGTTTACACTTCTACAGATTAAGAGGAATCTAGGGGAAGAGTCCAGGGTAGTTAAGGGCCTATTGAATCCAGGCCATGTTACTAAATGTCAACACTGAGCCTCAGTTTTCTCCCTTGTGAAATGAAAATAGGACCCATCTCACAGCACTGTGGTGATATCAATGAGGATTGTACTTGGGGGAAGCTTAACACAATGCCTAGTACAGAGTGGCGACTCAATACATTATACTTCTTATTGTTACCATATAATAGAGTCATTGAATATCACAAGTCCAACGGGTTTTTGAGGTTTCTGGTCAAACCTCTAGATTCCCTGACACATGCCTTAATCACATCTAGTGATGGGGACACATTACCAGAACCAGTTCCATTGTTGGGCAACTTTATTCAGTAAAAAAATCACTCTTTCGGCTGGGCGCAGTGGCTCACACCTGTAATCCCAGCACTTTGGGAGGCCAAGGTGGGCGGATCACCTGAGGTCAGGAGTTCGAGACCAGCCTGGCCAACATGGTGAAACCCCATCTCTACTAAAAATACAAAAATTAGCTGGGTGTGGTGGCACACACCTGTAATCCCAGCTACTTGGGAGGCTGAGGCAAGAGAATAGCTTGAACCTGGGAGATGGAGGTTGCAGTGAGCTGAGATCACACCACTGCACTCCAGACTCCAGCCTGGGCAACAGAGCAAGACTCTGTCAAATAAATAAATAAATAAACTTATTCTTTCCCAGAAACCCAAAACCCCTACCTTAGGACTTCTACCTAGGGTCTCATTTCTCACCTGGAGTCCCAGAATAGAAAAAGGGTCAGCAAACTACAGTCCACAAGTCAAACCTGAAGACTGAAGACTGTTTTTTTTTTGTGTGTGTGTGTTTGCTTGTTTTGTTTTGTTTTGTTTTGAGATGGAGTCTCACTTTGTCACCCAGGCTGGAGTGCAGTGGCGCCATCTCAACTCACTGCAACCTCCACCTCCCAGATTCAAGCGATTCTCATGCCTCAGCCTCCTGAGTAGCTAGGATTACAGGCACCTGCCTCCATACCTAGCTAATTTTTTGTATTTTTAGTAGAGACGGAGTTTCATCATGTTGGCCAGGCTGGTCTTGAACTCTTGACCTCAAGTGATCCGCCTGCCTCGGCCTCCCAAAGTGCTGGGATTACATGAATGAGCCACCGCATCTGGCTTGTTTTTTGTGGCCTATGAGTTAAGAATGGTTTTTGCATTTTTCAGTGGTTCAAAATAAATCAAGAGACCAGTTGCAAGGGCTCACGCTTATAATCCCAGCACTTTGAGACGCCGAGGCAGGCAGATCACTTGAGCCCAGGAGTTCAATACTAGCATGGGCAACGTGACAAAACCCCATCTCTACAAAAAATACAAAAATTAGCCAGGCATGGCCGGGCGTGGTGGCTCACACCTGTAATCCCAGCACTTTGGGAGGCCGAGGCGGGTGGATCACGAGGTCAGGAGATCGAGACTATCCTGCCTAACATGGTGAAACCCCGTCTCTACTAAAAATACAAAAAATTAGCTGGGCGTGGTGGCGGGCGCCTGTAGTCCCAGCTACTCGGGAGGCTGAGGCAGGAGAATGGCGTGAACCCAGGAGGAGAAGCTTGCAGTGAGCCGAGATCGTGCCACTGCACTCCAGCCTGGGCAACAGAGCATGACTCCGTCTCAAAAAAAAAAAAAAAATTAGCCAGGCATAGTGGCCTGTGCCTGTAGTCCCAGCTACTCGGGAGGCTTAGGTGAGAAGACTGCTTGAACTCAGGAGGCAGAGGTTTCAGTGAGCCGAGATCTCACCACTGCCCTCCAGCCTGGGTGACAGAGTGAGACCCTGTCTCTAAATAAATAGAATACTACAGTTGTCCCTTGGTATCCAAGGGGATTGGGTCCAGGATCCCTTGCAGATACCAAAATTTGTAGATGTTCAAGTCCCTGATATAAAATGGCATAGTATTTGCATATAACCTAGGCATGTCGTCCCATATACCTTTTTTTTTTTTTTTTGAGGCAGAGTCTCACTCTTTCACCCAGGCTGGAGTGCAGTGGCACGATCATGGCTCACCACAACCTCTGCCTCCCAGGTTCGTGCGACTCCTCGTAACTCAGCCTCCTGAGTAGCTGGGATTACAGGTACGTGCTATCATGCCCAGCTAATTTTTACTAGAGACGGGGCTTTGCCATGTCTTGAACTCCTGACCTCAAGTGATCCGCCCACCTTGGCCTCCCAAAGTGCAGCGATTACAGGCGTGAGCCACCACACCTGGCCACTTTTTTTTTTTTTGAGACTGAGTCTCGCTGTGTCGCCCAGGCTGGAGTGCAGTGGCACGATCTCCGCTCACTGCAAGCTCCGCCTCCTGGGTTCACGCCATTCTCCTGCCTCAGCCTCTGGAGTAGCTGGGACTACAGGCGCCCACCACCACGCCCGGCTAATTTCTTTGTATTTTTAGTAGAGACAGGGTATCACCGTATTAGCCAGGATGGTCTCGATTTCCTGACCTCGTGATCCGCCCACCTCAGCCTCTTTATTTTTTTTGGAGACAGAGTCTCACTCTGTCACCCAGGCTGGAGTGCACTGGCACAGTCTCGGCTCACTGCAGCCTCTGAACTCCTGGGCTCAAGTGATTCTCCCACCTCAACCTCCCGAGTAGCTGGAACTACAGGCATATGCCACCCCACCTGGCTAATTTTTTTTTTTTTTTGAGACAGTTTCACTCTTATTGTCCAGGCTAGAGTGCAATGGCACAACCTAAGCTCACCGCAACCTCCGACTCCCGGGTTCAAGCAATTCTCCTGCCTCAGCCTCCTGAGAACCTGGGATTATAGGCATGTGCCACCACACCTGTCTAATTTTGTATTTTTAGTAGAGACGGGGTTTCTCCATGTTGGCCAGGCTGGTCTCGAACTCCCGACCTCAGGTGATCTGCTCGCCTCAGCCTCCCAAAGTGCTGGGATTACAGGTGTGAGCCACTGCACCCGGCCTTTTGTATTCTCTTGTAGAAGTAGGGTTTCCCCATGTTGCCCAGGCTGATGTTAAACTCCTAGGCTCAAGTAATCCACCGCCTCAGCTTCCCAAAGTGCTGGGATTACAAGCATGAGCCACCAGGCCTGGCCTTCCCATATATTTTAAATCATCTCTAGATTACCTTTTTTTTTTTGAGACGGAGTCTCGCTCTGTTGCCAGGCTGGCGTGCAGTGGCACAATTTCGGCTCACTGCAACCTCCGCCTCCCGGGTTCAAGTGATTCTCCTGCCTCAGCCTCCTGAGCAACTGGGACTACAGGCGCCTGCCACCACTCCCGGCTAATTTTTGTATTTTTAGTAGAGACGGGGTTTCACCATGTTGGCCAGGATGGTCTCGATCTCTTGACCTCATGATCCACCCTCCTCGGCCTCTCAAAATGCTGGGATTACAGGCGTGAGCCACCACGCCTAGCTAGATTACTTATAATGCCTAATATAATGCCTATGCATCACCTTGAGTGGATTCAACACAGTACTAGGTGCACAGCAAATTCAAGTTTTGCTTTTTGGAACTTTGTGTTTTTCTTCCCAAATACTGCCAATCTGAAGCTGGATCATGGGATGTGGAACTCATGGACTCAGAGGCAACTGTACTTAGTGACACGTGAAAATTACCTGAAGTTCAAATATGAATATTCATAAAGTTCTATTGGAATACAGCTAGGCTCATTCCTTTAGATACTGTCTATAGCTGTTTGGCACTACATTGGCAGAGTTGAGCAGTTCCAACGGAAATCACATGGCCTGAAAACTAAAACATTCAGTATCTGGCCCTTTCCAAGGAAATCTGCCAATTCCTGGTCTAATACCTCACTCCTCTGTGGACCTTCAAGGGCCTGGCACAGGAATCTGAGCACTGGGACACTGACTCGGCTCAGGGATTTCCTGGGAAGTGACACACAGGATCCTGCTTAAATCTGCCTTACCCAGTGGATGGTTGATGAAAGAGGGTACGCTGGTGGCTGTGAGGGTCAGCTCCTTCTCTTCGCTGCCTTCCATGGGGCCCAGCAAGAAGCGAACACGCTGTTTAGGAGCGGGAGGCTTCCTGGCATTGAGACCTGAACACACAGAGATAATATATACACACATACATACAAATATATGTACATATAAAATATTTTTTAAGAGACAGGGCCTCGTTCTGTAGCCCAGGCTGAAGTGCAATGGCGCCATCATAGCTCACTGTAACGTCAAACTCTTGGGCTCAAGCGATCCTCCTGCCTCAGCCTCCAGAGTAGCTGGGATTACAGGCGTGCACCACGATGCTGACCAGGAATATCTTGTTCTGTCCAAACACTTGGGGGATTAGACAACAGGGAAGTATGATGTAGAAGACAAAGCAGAAGCCCATGGTGCAGAGGGCAGTATAGCAGTAGTTAAGAAACAGGCGGATTCAAACAGACTCTACAACGTAGTAACCGTGTGACAAGGAACAATACTGAGTCAGTTTCCCCCTCGGAAAACAGAGGAAAGTGAGGAGTAAGAAAGCACAGAGAACAGGCGTTTGGGAAAGCGCTCTGCCCAGGTGAATAGGTCACGTGATTTTGTTTTGGGGTAAGGACCAGAAGCGGAGATGGACTTCCAAGAGAACGAGAGCGGGAACGTGGGTCTGGTTCGAGGCACTCACCCTTCAGAAGTTGTAGCTCCACTGTATCCCGCAGGTGCTTCCATTTTAGCCCCGGGGGCTTATAGACCGCGAAAAGCCCATGCAGCCGCGACAAGCCAGCAGACCCCATACTTGAAGATCACAGCACCCGCTGGACCTGGACGGAAGTACCGCCAGGCCCCGCCCCCAAATGTGGTCCTTTCCACGGGCGCCGCCATGTTCCACAGCCGGAAGAGGTTCGCATTTTATAGTCTTCGGGGAAAACCGGCTGTGGAGAAGGAAATAGGGCCCGGCGCTGAGTGAGCGTGGTTGCGTGTCCTTTGCAGACACTTTCTGGGGCGAGGTGACATGGCGAGAGTCTTGGATCGGTGGACGTAGACGGTAGACAGTTCGCGTGCGTTTCCTTCGCCTACTTGGCCTACATGCCTTCTGCCCGTGAAGCGATGTTTCCCCTCGAAAGGCCGTAGGCTACGCCGTCAGAATCGGTTTTTCAGTGAGTTTTGACCCCTCCGACGCTCCGTCGCCTGACAGAATCGCGGCGTTCTTCGTACCCGCCCATCCTCCGCGGACGCCCGCTGCCATGGCGACTCTGCTGCGCCCTGTCCTCCGTCGGCTCTGCGGGCTCCCGGGCCTACAGCGGCCTGCGGCAGGCAAGTGGCGCCGGGTTCTGGGCGCAGGCGGGAAGGAGCCTGAGGGCGCCCGGCTCCTCTGACCTCGGCCTTTTTCTTGCCCCGCAGAAATGCCCCTCCGGGCTAGGAGCGACGGCGCCGGCCCGCTATACTCGCACCACCTCCCCACCTCCCCGCTGCAGAAAGGGCTGTTGGCCGCCGGCTCCGCGGCGATGGCGCTCTATAACCCCTACCGCCACGGTAAGGCCGCCCGCGCCTCGCCCCCGTGGGGGCGGCTTGGAGCCGTTTCCTGTGGGTAACTGGAACATAGCCTAGGTCGGGGTACCCAAACCTGGTTGCAGCTCGTAACCACTCGGAACGTTTATGAAAATGCAGATTCCTGGATCCCACCTAAACGCACTGAATCTGAATCTGAATCTGCAGTGGAGGGAGAAATGGGCGTGAAACCGAAAGTCTGTCTTTAAACTACTTGGGAGAATCTGTCATGCAGCCATATTGAGAACATCTAGACTAAATAGATGATTCATAAGTACCGATCAGTTTATAATATCCTACTAGAAAGTCAACTCCGAGGTCGAGGACCATGTCTGCCTCGTTCCACTGCATCTGCAGCCTTCTGGATAGTGCCTGGCACATAGTAAATGCTCAATAAATGTTTGCTGGATGTGTGACTAGAACATTCTAGGGTTCTACAGTGTTTTTCTTATGCCTCCTAGATTTTTGAGTTCTGGGAAGTACTGTTATTCCTACTAACAAAAACAGGCTAGGCGCTATTATAGTGGCTCACGCCTATAATCCCTATCGGGGGGCCGAAGCGGGCAGATGGCTTGAGCTGAGGAGTTTGAAACCAGCCTGGGCAACACGGTGAATCCCCATCTCTACAAAAAAAAATACAAGAATTAATTGGGGCTGGTTGCATGCGGCTGTATTCCCAGGCTGAGGTGGAAGGACCATTTGAGCCGGGGAGTTCGAGACTGCAGTAAGTTGTGATTGCGCCATTGCACTCCAGCCTGGGCGACAGAGCGAGACCCTGTCTTAAACAAAAAATACACTATATCTCCATGTCCCCAGTGGTTTTTTGTTTGTTTTGTTTTGAGACACAGTATTGCTCTGTGGCCCACGCTGGAGTGCAGTGGCGCAATCTCAGCTCTATGCAACTTCCACCTCCCAGGTTCAAGCGATTCTCGTGCCTCAGCCTCCTGAGTAGCTGGGATTACAGGCCTGTGCGGCCTGGCTAATTGTTGTATTTTTAGTAGAGACGGGATTTTGCTATGTTGCCCAGGCTGGTCTCAAACTCCTGACTTCAGGTGATCCTCCCACCTCGGCCTCCCAAAGTGTTGGGATTACAGGCATGAGCCACCACGCCCGGCCAAGACCAGCGAATTTTTTAATTTTTTTGTAGAGACGGCGTCTTGCCACGTTGCCCAGGCTGCTCTGGAACTCTTGGCCTCAAGTGATCCTCCTGCCTCAGCCCCCCAGTGTTGAGATTACAGGTGTCAGCCGCTACACTTGGCCACTAAGTGTTATATATATATGATTTTCATGGTTTCTCACATTAACCAGCTAAGAAAGGTGTTGTCTGCACTTCACAAATTAAGACACTGAGGCTGAAAAATGTGAAGCAGGCCAGGCATGGTGGCTCACACCTGTAATCCCAGCAATTTGGGAATCCAAGGTGGGAGGATCACTTGGGGCCAAAGTTCAAGACCAGCCTGGGCAACATAGCAAGACCTCATCTCTACAGAAAATTTAAAAAACTAGCTGCATGCCTGTAGTCCTAGCAGTGAGCTATGATCACACCACTTCACTCCAGCCTGGGCAACAGAGCAAGACCCTGTCTCAAAAAAACAAAACAAAACAGAAATGTGAAGCAATTTGTACTAGGTCACCTAGATAGTGAACACACCTGGACTGTAGCCCAGCATCTCTGATGCCTAAGCCTCTACCAATCAATGGAGACATGATATTGTATTGTGAAAAGTGATTTATAAAATCTTTACAACGTTGTGCTAACTAGAGCTGTCCCGCCCCAGTAGATTAAGAATAAGAACTATAGATATGTATACTGATCCCTTGTTGTGTGCTGGGTAATTTGCTAAGTGTTTAGCCTGAATCCTTATAACAAAGAGCTAGACATCATCCCTAATTTATCCTGTAGGAAACAAAGGCTCAGACCAGGTCAGCTAACTTACCTAAGATGACATCCCCCATTTGTGCCCGTTTCTGTCCTTTCAGACATGGTCGCAGTTCTAGGGGAGACCACAGGACACCGCACCCTGAAGGTCCTCAGGGACCAGATGAGGAGGGATCCAGAGGGTGCCCAGATCCTGCAGTAGGTCCCAGCTCTGCCTGGGGGTCTGGGGGCATTCTCTAGGTATTCTGACCTCTCTAGAATCACATTGTGTTTGTTCTGTTCCGCTAGGGAGCTTTTGATACCCTGGCTACATATGGTTGCACAGGCTGGGCACTGCCCAATTCCAGGGGTGTCATTCACATACATGTGTATACACTGATGACTTCCGAGTTGTGCAGTGTGATAGCCTTGGCCCAGTTTCAACCACAGGGCTCTGTGCCTTCATTAAGTTCCCATAACATGTGCTGGCTTTACCCCTCCCTTGCAGTACCTTTTGCAAGTACTCTGGTCACATTCGAGGACTGTCTTCCTGCCGAGATTGTACCCCTGCCCATGTCCTTGGTTTGGGGTAGTATCCTAAGTCCCTGACACTAGCCTGGCCAGTTGTAGGTGCTCCATTAAGGCTTGTGGTGGCCACATTGCTCCTCTGTACATTCTCCCGCCCCTCAGCTCGCTGTAGTTGGATCGTTCACCTACCTTTGCCCACACCCTCCCAATGCCCAAGTCTTGCCTTTCAGGGAGCGTCCCCGGATTTCGACATCCACCCTCGACCTGGGCAAGCTCCAGAGCCTGCCGGAAGGCTCCCTCGGTCGCGAGTATCTCCGTTTCCTGGATGTGAACGTGAGTTTTCAGCTCCTGTGTATCTGGCAGTCACCAGACAGGACAGAGGAATAGCACAGGCATGACACCCTGAGGAAAGAGGAGCCCTGAGCTGCCACCATTGGCAGGAGTGCTCTTCAGGCTCATGCCAAGGCTTTGTCATTTTCTATGGGATAGGCAAATGGGTGGGAACATGCCTGCAATTGATAATACTGGCCAGTGTTCATTAACCTCGCACTGCATGCCTGATGCCAGCCTCATCCGTGATCTTGCTGAATCCCCCCACAACTCTGTCAAGTATGTTCTATTATTATCCTCTTTTAGCAGATAAGGAAACAGAGGCTCAGAGCAGTGAAGCAAACTTGCTAATTCCACATAACTGGTATTAATGGAGATAGTAATCAATCCCAGATCATGCTCTTCACTGCTGTACTGTATCCCTTTATTCCAGGGACATTGCTTTCCCTACGGTATGGCAGGTGTGGCACTCTCCAGCCCCTCCAGCCCCAGGCAGGGAGGACAAGGAGAGGGGGAAAGGGGGTGTCCCGACTATTGGCAAACTCATTCACTAACTGAGGCTCTGCTATGTGCCATCCCTTTTTTTTTTTGAGTCGCTCTGTCGCCCAGGCTAGAGTGCAGTGGTGCGATCTCTGCTCACTGCAAGCTCCGCCTCCCAGGTACACGCCATTCTCCTGCCTCAGCCTCCCGAGTAGCTGGGACTACAGGCGCCCGCCACGACGCCCGGCTAATTTTTTGTATTTTTTAGTAGAGACGGGGTTTCACCGTGCTAGCCAGGATGGTCTCGATCTCCTGACCACGTGATCCGCCCGCATCAGCCTCCCAAAGTGCTGGGATTACAGGCGTGAGCCACAGCGCCCGGCCCATCCTTTTTGTTTTGTTTTGTTTTGAGACAGGGTCCCGCTCTGCCACCCAGGCTGGAGTGCAGTGGCGCCGTCTCGGCTCACTGCAACTCAGCTTCCTGGGTTCAAGCGATTCTCCTGCCTCAACCCCCCACGTAGCTGGGACTACAGGTGCACACCACAACGCCCAGCTAATTTTTGTACTTTTAGTAGAGAGGGGTTTTACCATATTAACCAGGCTGGTCTTGAACTCCTGACCTCAAGTGATCCACCTGCCTCAGCCTCCCAAAATGCTGGGACTACAGGTGTGAGCCACCGTGCCCAGCCCAACCATTGTTTTGTGTACAGGGGATATAATGGTGAACTAGACAGCCAAGTTCCCTGCCCTCATTTCTATTCTACTTCGAGAGGTAGACAATAAAATAGTTTTTAAAAATTTTCAGGGAAGGCACAGTGGCTCACATCTGTAATCCCAGCACTTTGGGAGGCTGGCGGGAGGACCACCTAAGGTCAGGAGTTTGAGACCAGTCTGACCAACATGGTGGAAACCTGTCTCTACTAAAAATACAAAAATTAGCTAGGTGTGATGGTGTGCGCCTGTAATCCCAGCTACTCGGGAGGCTGAGGCAGGAGAATTGATTGAACCCGGGAGGCACAGGTTGCAGTGAGCTGAGATCACACCACTGCACTCCAGCCTGGGCGACAGAGTGAGACTCTGTCTCCAACAAAACAAAACAAAAAAATTCATATAAAAATACAGGTAAAATGTTTCAAGTAATTAGAATATTCTGGCACTGGTCCATGCGTGTTGGCTCATGCCTGTAATCCTAATACTTTGGGGGGCTGAAGTGGGCGGATCACTTGAGCCCAGGAGTTTGAGACCAGCCTGGACAACATGGTGAAACCCTGTCTCTGCAAAAAATGCAAAAATTAGCCAAGTGTGGTGGTGTATACCCATAGTCCCAGCTACCTGGGAGGGAGTTTGAGGTAGGAGGATCAGTTGAGCCCAGGAGGTCGAGGGCGGTGAGCCGTAATCACACCACTACACTCCAGCTTGGACAACAGAGCAAGACTCTGTCTCAAAAATAAAAAAAAGTATACCAGCACTATTGTCAGCAGTTGGGATACAGTGGACAAAACCAGCAAAAAGCCTGCCTTTGTGGAACTTACATTCTAGCAGCTATGAAGAGAACAAGTTAGTGTGATAGAAGACAGCTTTGGTATTGGGAAGGGTACAGCCACTTCTGACTGGGTGGTCAGGGCCGGCTCCTCTGAGGAGACTTGGAAGGTAAGGAGGAGCCAACCCTGTGGAGAGCTGAGGAGGAGCATTCTGAGTAGAGGGAATGGCAAGGGCAAAGGCCCCTTGTGTTTAGGAAAAGGAAGGTTGACCAGTGTGGCCGCAGAGGAGGGAGTAGCAGGGAGACAGTGAGTGGGCTGGAAGGGGAGCCAGGGCTGCGCCCTGTAGGCCACCAGAAGGAGGAGTCTGTATTTTGTAATAGGAGCAGTAGGAAACTTGTGGAAGGTTTTGAGCAGGACAGTAAAGTGACCTGATTTGTAAAGGACCTTAGGATCCAGTTGGCCCATCTTCCCTGTCCCTGTCCCATCTTCCCTCCCTCCTGCAACACAGATACATCCCATCAAGGCACCCCTGCCAAATGGCGAGCCAGTCTGGCTGATGGAGGTGAGGGGTCTCCAAAGGTTGCCCTAGAACAGTTTCTCAAGCCGGGCATGTTAATGTTTAGGCTGGATCACTCTTTGTTGTGGGGGCGGTCCTGAGCCTGGTAGGATGTTTAGTGGCATCCCTGGCTTCTACCCACTGGATGCCAGGAGCACCCCCCCGTCAAGTTGTGACAACCACAGATGTCTCCAGAGATTACAGATGTTCCCTGGTGGGCAGTTGAGAACCACTGCTCTGAATGGTTATTGTCCCCGAGACGATGTTCTGTTCCTCACAGTCTCCTGCACAGCTACCTTGACGGGGCGATCACCTGCACTATTTTAAACCATCTCTCTCAGATTTCACCAGGATGCAAGTCATTTCATCAGTGGGAAACTCACCAGGGTGACCTGCCTCAAGTGCTACACAGGGAGGGACAGTCTGAATTTCCCCCAGTCTTTAGCCCTGTCGCTGTGGAGGGGAGGGGGTAGCAGGGACAGGACTGCTAGGACACCTTGCTCAGCCACAGCCCCACTTGTAACCGCGCTGGCGATTGTGACACTTGTAGAGCAAGGAAATCAGCAGCTCATGGAATGTGAAGGAGCACCTTTGTCCCCAGAGAGATTTAGATAAAGGTTCAAGGTGAGGCTACCCTCCCCTCCCTGAGGCTGATTTTGGTGAGAGGTGTGGTCATCTTGTAGTATCAAGACTACAGGCATGGGCTTGAGAATTAGGAGGAGCCTGAGTGAGAATCCTGGCTCTCTTCCCAGCTTTACAAGCCTGGACAAATCCTTTGACCTCGCTGAGTCTCAGGTTCCTCATCAGAAGTAAGAGGACCTCCCATATATCTTCCAGGGCACTTATCGGCCTTGGTAATGGATATTAAGGCCACTGGCTTTGGAATCCAGCAGACTTTGTTTCAAATGCTGACTCGGCCACTTTACTAGCTGTGTGATCTTGGGCAAATTACTTTATCTCTCTGAGCCTTGTTTTCCTTATTTTTATTTATTTATTTATTTTTTTGAGTCTCGCTCTGTCACCCAGGCTGGAGGGCAGTGGCACAATCTTGGCTCACTGCAACCTCCACCTCCTGGCAATTCTCCTGCCTCAGCCTCCTGAGTAGCTGGGACTACAGGCGCACGCCACCAGGCCTGGCTATTTTTTGTATTTTTAGTATAGGCGGGATTTCATCATATTGGCCAGGCTGGTCTCAAACTCCTGACCTCAAGTGATCCGCTGGCCTTGGCCTCCCAAAGTGTTGGGATTACAGGCATGAGCCACCACGCCCGGCCCTTGTTTTCCTTATCTATATCTGCAGTAATAACAGTATTTACCTCCAAGATTGCAAGGATGAAAGGATAATATATGTAAAAGACACCCTAGGTGCCGGCACCTGGTGGATACTCTATGATCACCTTCAGCTTCACACAGCAGGCTAAGGCCATTCTTTGGGAACAGGAAGACCAGGCTGTTCCCACTGTGTATGGGTGCTGCTGAGTACTCAGAGGCAGTGGGCAGTTAAGAGGAGAAGAGTTCTGGGATCAGAAAAGTGCCCAGGACTGGCCTTTTATTCATATGTTCAAGAGGTGTTCATTCATCCAGGCCCTGGATCAGGCTACTGGAGGTAAAAGAATAAGTGAAACAGAGCCAGTCCTGCCCTTGTGTAGCAGACAGGCTGTCTGGATACTGTCCATAAAAATAAAATGTGATCGGCTGGGCACGGTGGCTCACAACTGTAATCCCAGCTCTCTGGGAGGCCCAGGCGGGTGGATCACGAAGTCAGGAGTTTGAGACCAGCCTGACCAACATGGTGAAACCCTGTCTCTACTAAAAAAAAAAAAAAAAATTAGCCGGGTGTAGTGGCACGTGCCTGTAATCCTAGCTACTCAGGAAGCTGAGGCAGAAGAATTGCTTGAATCCGGGAGGAGGAGATTGCAGTAAGCCGAGATTGCACCACGGCACTCCAACCTGGGCGACAGAGTGAGACTCCATCTCAAAAAATAAAAATAAAAATAAATAAATAAAATGTGAGCACGTAGGTAATTTTTAATTTTCTGCCAGCTACTTTAATAGCAAAAAGAAATTAATTTTTTTGCTATTAAAATTAAGGTGGAATTTTTTTGTTTGTTTTTTTGAGATAGAGTCTCACTCTGTTGCCCAGGCTGGAGTGCAATGGTGCCATCTCAGCTCACTGCAACCTCTGCCTTCTGGGATCAAGCAATTCTCTTGTCTCAGCCTCCCAAGTAGCTGGGATTACAGGCACCCGCCACCATGCCTGGCTAATTTTTGACCATATTGGTCAGGCTGGCCTTGAGCTCCTCAGGTGATCCGCCCGCCTCGGCCTCCCAAAGTGCTGGGATTGTAACCATGAGTCACCGTGCCTGGCTAGAATTGATTTTAAATATGCATCTTGTTTAGCCCAATATATCCAAAGTATTATTTCAACAAGTAATCAATTTTCTTTTTTTTTTTTTTTTTGAGACGAAGTCTCACTCTGTAGCCCAGGCTGGAGTGCAGTGGCGCGATCTCGGCTCGCTGCAAGCTCCGCCTCCCGGGCTTACGCCATTCTCCTGCCTCAGCCTCCCGAGTAGCTGGGACTACAGGCGCCCGCCGCCACGCCCGGAGAATTTTTTGTATTTTTAGTAGAGACGGAGTTTCACCGTGTTAGCCAGGATGGTCTTGATCTCCTGACCTCATGATCCACCTGCCTCAGCCTCCCAAAGTGCTAGGATTACAGGCGTGAGCCACCGCGCCCGGCCAGTATTTTTAAATCATTGAGAGTTTTACATTTTTTTCATACTAAGCATTTGAAGTCTCGTGTGTATTTTATATGATCAGCACATCTCGCTTGGACAACTTTCTTGGCCACATGTGGCAAGCGGCTGCCATACTGGACAGTGTAGGTCTAGGAGACATTAATACTCACATCCACTAAACATCAAGGTACAGTTATTTTGAGTGCCACTAAGAGGTGAATGATGTTTCCAGAGACCATAACATGAACCCACTTGGTCTGTAGGTTAGGGGTGGCCTCTCTGTGGTGGGGGGAAGGGATGGGGGACAGGGGACACTTAACCCAGGTCATGAAGGATAAGTAGGAGTTACCACAGTGAAGATGGAGGTAGTGGGAGAGAACACCCCAAGCTGGGAGCAAGTTATGCTAGGATCAGGGTCTTTGGGGCTTCATTATTTATTTTTAGAGACAATGTCTTGCTTGAGTGCAGTGGTATAGTCATAGCTCCCTGTAACCTCAAACTCCTGGGCTCAAGCATCCTCCTGTCCCAAGCCTCCTGAGTAGCTGGGACTATAGGCACACACCACCACACCTGACTAATTTTTGTATTTTTTTTGTTCTGGGTTTTTTTTTTCTTTGAGACAGAGTCTCTGTCACCCAGGCAGGAGTGCAGTGGTGCAATCTTGGCTCACTGCAACCTCCGCCTCCTGGGTTCAAGTGATTCTCCTGTCTCAGCCTCCCGAGTAGCTGGGACTACAGGTGTGCACCACCACACCCGGCTAATTTTTGTATTTTTTAGTAGAGACAGGGTTTCACCGTATTGGTCAGGCTGGTGTTGAACTCCTGATCTCAGGTGATCCGCCCACCTTAGCCTCCCAAAGTGCTGGGATTTACAGGCATGAGCCTCGGCCCCTGGCCAGTCGCCAGAGTTTTCTAGTAGGTATGAGTTAGGTGAGAGTTGTGACGGTGTCAGAGACAGACTGGCAAATCGGGCCCTGGGAACCATCAGGAAGGGTTCTAGGGGAGGCTCATGGTTGTCAGAGGGTCTCCCCAGACACCCGAGCACCCACCCGCTTCGTGGATGATGAGGAGCTAGCGTATGTGATTCAGCGGTACCGGGAGGTGCACGACATGCTTCACACCCTGCTGGGGATGCCCACCAACATCCTGGGTGAGTGCCCCCAACCCTGATGGCCTGTCTCCCTGGGGTGGCTTCAGGGCCAGGGCAGGGCTTGCCTATCTCCACCACCCTCTGCATCACCTGGCTTGGTGCCTCAATTTCTGCTTTACCTGAACATCTTAGTAGCATCTTTGCCACATGTCCCCCTTCTTTCTCCCACTGCCCCTCAGGGCTCCTGCACTAATGGAGCAGCAGAGCCCATCTTCAAGGCTCCTGGTGTCTTTTTAGGCTTTAGCTGCCTCCCTGCTCTGAAACCTCAGTAGCTCCCTAAGGCCTGCAGGAACCATCCTGGAGTGTTTAGCCTGGCTTATGGGGTCATGGGGTCCTCTGCGCCCTGACCCCAGGCTTCCTTTCCATCCCCTACTCCCTTCTGTTCACTCTTGGGCTCTCTCCTGTACTCCAAGCCAAGTGCCCCAGGGCCCAGCACAGGCCAGGACTGGGCACAGCTGACCCCGTAGAGATTAGGGAGGAACAGTGCCTCTCTTTACCCTGCTGTGAGCACCACTGGCCTTTCCTTCAGATAGCTTGTTCACCTCCCAACACATCCCTCACCCACAGGGGAGATCGTGGTGAAATGGTTTGAGGCTGTCCAGACTGGCCTGCCCATGTGCATCCTGGGTGCATTCTTTGGACCGATCCGACTTGGCGCTCAGTAAGTTTTCAAGTGGTAGCTGGGTCGGGGTTGAGGGTGGTATCAGGACAGAACTCAGAGGGACCAGGGCTCTTAGAAGTAGGAAGAGCACACGGGCCCCTGCACAGCCCGTTCCAGTTCTCCAGGAAGTAAGGGTAGAAAGAATGGAGCAGAGATGTGAAACTGGCCTGGGGCAAGGGTCTTCAAGTGAGCAAATAAAGCCTGTACATTTCACAGGACTCTGGGGTCTCTTGGGCCAGGCCTAAGTGCATGGTCAGAATGATGAGCGTCAGTGGGAAGGCAGGTTGGTGTTAGATTCTGGAGTGAGGGAGCCATGATTTAAATCTGAGCTTCGACATGTTCAAGATGTGTGGCTTTGGGCTTGAGATTCCACCTCACTGAGCTCTGTTGCCTCATCTAAAAAGCAGGGATAATAACTACCTCCTTCCGAGGCCTTTGTGAGGATGAACTGAGAAAATGCACAAGTGCCGAGCAGTCGAGTGCCTGGCCCCAGGGACTTGATGTTTTCTTTTTCCTCTGCTGCCCCACAGGAGCCTGCAAGTGCTGGTCTCGGAGTTGATCCCATGGGCCGTTCAGAACGGGCGCAGAGCCCCATGTGTCCTCAACCTGTACTATGAGCGGCGCTGGGAGCAGTCCCTGAGGGCTCTGCGGGAGGAGCTGGGCATTACAGCACCACCCATGCACGTCCAGGGCTTGGCCTGAGCTCCTGAGCCAGCGGGGCCTGGCCTACCTCCCCCATCCCCTGCTTCCCTTGGAGGCAGAGGGCTCCCTTGACTACCTTTGTTCCTCTTCTTTGAACACTGACCCTTGGACAACATTTATCATAATTTGTCATAACCACTGCTGAGTGGCCTTGAGGACGAACCCCGCAGGGAGCAAGCAGTACAGTGGCATTCCCAGGGGGACCAGCAGCTACCCAAGGAGAACCATGCATGAACAGTATCAGTCGTCTGGGCTCATGCTGGGATGTCGCAGTGCTCCTGTTGCAACTCCTCCCAGCCAGCCAGGTTTGCTGGGGGCCAGGCTGGGTGTCCTCACAGGAGTGAGGGCTACACCCAATTCCAAAAGCCTGAGAAGAGAGAAGTGGAGGGGGAGGCGAGTGTGTGAATAAAGGCTCCCATCAGGTCAAGTGTCTGCTTGTCCTCCTTTCCCCCAGGGATGCCCCTGACTTTGGCACTCTTGCGCCTTCCAAGCACCCTAGTGCTTGGAAGTAGAAGTTTCCCTCCCAGCCTGGGCTCTAGCTGCTTGTCCCCTCTCCTCTGGCCGAAGTTGGGTGGACATGGATTCAAATTCCCAGCTCCTCCCTGTTTTTTTTTGTTTTGTTTTTTTGTTTTTTGTTTTTGTTTTGAGATGGAGTCTCGCTCTGTCGCCAGGCTGGAGTGCAATGGCGAGATCTCGGCTCATTGCAACCTCCACCTCCCAGGTTCAAATGATTCTCCTGCTTCAGCCTCCTGAATAGCTGGGACTTCAAGTGCGTGCCACCACACTCAGCTAATTTTTGTATTTTTAGAGACGGGTTTTCACCATGTTGGCCAGGATGGTCTCGATCTCTTGACCTCGTGGTCCGCCCATCTCGGCCTCCCAAAGTGCTGGGATTATAGGCATGAGCCACCGCGCCCAGCCAACTCCTCCCTGTTTTCCAGCAGAGGACTTAGGGCAAGTCCCTTCCCCTCTCTGAGTCCCCATTTCATCATCAGGAAAAGTGGAATCCTAAGGCACTCATCCCCTAGGACTATTGTGGGGGTTTCTGAGGGGACATTCAGAAGGCGGACTTCAGAAAAAGGGCCCAAGGAGCAGGAGGTGGGGTTTTTTATTGTTGTTGTTTGAGACAAGCTCTTGCCCCGTCATGTAGGCTGGAGTGCATGGCATAATCTTGGCTCACTGCACCCTCAACTTCCTGGGCCCAAGCAGTCTTCATCTCAACCTCCCCAGTAGCTGAGGCCACAGGTACACACCACCATGCCCAACTAATTTTTTTTAATTTATATTTATTTATTTTTGAGACAGGGTCTCACTCTTTTTGCCCAGGCTGGAGTGCAGTGGCACGATCTCGGCTCACTGCAACCTCTGCGTCCCAAGTTCAAGCAAGTCTCCCATCTCAGCCTCCCCAGGAGCTGGGACTACAGGCGCATGCCATCATGCCCAGCTAATTTTTGTATTTTTTGGTAGAGATGGAGTTTCACCATGTTGGCCAGGCTGGTCTTGAACACCTGACCTCAGGCGATCCAGCCACCTCGGCCTCCCGAAGTGCTGGGATTACAGGCGTGAGCCACCACGACTGGCCGCCCAACTAATTTTAATTTTTTGTAGAGATGAGGTCTCTATGTTGCACAGGCTGCTTGAACTCCTGGGCTCAAGTGATCCTCCCACCCTTGGCCTTCCAAATAATCCAGATGTGAACCACTGTTTCCAACCAATCAGGAGCTGTTTTATTCTTACTGTGTTCATAAGCACAAAAAGCTGCAGTTCATTTTGGAGTGGCAAAAAGGCATTTTCCTTGGGTAAGAGCCAAGGAACAAGGACCGGCTGGATGAAAGGTATTAGAAGAGTGGGTGGCCCTGGCTTGGGTTTAGAACCAGAAAAGCCCCAAGATGGAAGAGGCTTTAGCATTTTTCAGGCCAATTCCTCATTGCGTGAATAGATGATTGATGGCCCAGAGGCAGGCAGAGAATTGCCTGGAGTAACTAAAACACAGGCCACAGGCCCCCTGGTATGTTTACCAGTGCCTCAGTTTCCCTATCTATAATCAGTTTCTAACTGTACTATATGTCAGGCAGTACTAAGCACTTGAGATGCATTATCGCACTGACACCTCAAGGTCACCACCCAAGGAGGGAGATGGTATTTTGCTTGTGTTTTACTAACGAGGCAGTAGGAATAGAGCTGGGGTTGGAACCACGGGTTGTCTGAAGACCTGCTCAGCACTGCCATACCAGGGCCCCAGCCTTCCCTGTGCGCACCACGTCTGGTTCAGGGATCCCAATAGCAGAGGAAGGGCAGGGGAGGCTGGAGGCCCACCTCAGAACCATGGACTTTTCAGGAGGGAAACCTTGTTCTGAGCTCCTTGAATCTGCGGGAAAAGGAGGCCATGCTAGTGAGTCCCCATACCTCACCAGTCTCTGCAGACCTGCCAGCTGTTTCTGCAGCTTCCCAGGGTCCCAGGCACCCCCACTGCAGCTCACTAAAGTCAACAGTGCCAGGGTGGCAGCGGAGGTCAGACAGATGGCCTTCACTGCCCAGCTGAGCAGCTCACCTGCTCTAGGCAGGCAGTGCCTGGACAACCCTGGGCCTTTGTAGCACTTGTGAGATGGACACAAAGCATCAGGCTTAGCTGGGAATGGAGTCTGGTCTCCTGAGTATAGGGTGGCATTTGTGTTACCAGCTCATGATTGGAGAAAAATCAAACTGGCTATAGGTAATCACTGGTGAGGCCCTACCAACTTCTGCCTAGAAACGTCTATTCTCCCATCTCAGTAAACCATGCTTGCCTTCATCCTGCTCCCTGAACACACCAGGCTTCTTCCTGCCTTTGGGAACAGCACCGTGTCCCCAGGTTGTTACATGGTGAGCTCCTTGTCATTCACATCTCTGCTCAAATGTCACAGCAGAGATGTCTTCCTGGGCTTCCTGCCATCTAAAGCAGTCCCTAGTCCCCCTCTGCCTCTCTCCATGCTATCATCTTCTGTTTATTATTATTTATTTTTTGAGATGGGGTCTCATTCTGTCACCCAGGCTGGAGTGCAGTGCCACTATGACGGCTCACTACAGCCTCGACCTCCTGGGCTCCAGGATCCTCTTGTTTTAGCTTCCCTAGTAGCTGGGCCTATGGATGCATGCCACCACGCCTAGCTAAGTTTTTTTTGTTTGTTTTGTTTTTTTTTGTTTTTTTGTTTTGAGATGGAGTCTCGCTCTGTCACCCAGGCTGGAGTGCAATGGCGTGATCTCAGCTTACTGCAACCTCCCTTTCCCAGGGTCAAGCAATTCTCCTGCCTCAGCCTCCCAAGTAGGTGGGATTACAGGGGTGCACCACCATGTCCAGCTAATTTTTATTTTTAGTAGAGACGGGGTTTCACCATGTTGACCAGGCTGGTCTCGAAATCCTGACCTCAGGTGATCTGCCCACTTTGGCATCCCAAAGTGCTAGGATTACATGCCTGAGCCACCGTGCCCAGTCAAGTGGTTTCTTTTTTTTTTTTTTTTTTTTGGCGGGGGGAGTGGATGGAGTCTCACTCTGTCGCCCAGGCTGGAGTGCAATGGCGTGATCTCGGCTCACTGCAACCTCCCACCTACTGGGTTCAGGCGATTCTCCTGCCTCAGCCTCCCGAGTAGCTGGGATTACAGGTGCCTGCCACCACGCCCGGCTGATTTTTTTTTTAATTGTTAGTAGAGATGTGGTTTCACCATGTTGGTCAGGCTGGTCTCAAACTCCTGATCTTGTGATCCCCCCGCCTCAGCCTCCCAAAGTGCTGGGATTACAGGTGTGGGCCACCGGGCCCGGCTTTTTTTTTTTTTTTTTCTTTTGTAGAGACAGGGTCTTGCTATGTTGGCTCGGCTGGTCTTGAACTCCTGGCCTCAAGCCATCTTCCTGCCTTGACCTCCCAAAGTGCTGGTATTCCAGATATGAGCCACTGCACTATGCCCTTATTTTCTTTAGAGCATTCACCACTCTGAAATTATTTTGTTGGTAGAGCTTGGCGGGGGGTGGCTCATGCCTGGAGTCCCAGCACTTTGGGAGGCCTGGGGGGGCAGATGACTTGAGCTCAAGAGTTCCAGACTAGCCTGAACAACATGATGAAACCTCGTCTCTACTAAAAATACAAAAAATTAGCCAGGTGTGGTGGCGCACACCTGTAGCCCTAGCTACCCAGGAGGCTGAGGTAGCAGGAGCACCTGAGCCCAGGAGGTGAAGGCTGCAGTCAGCTGTGATTGTCTGGGCAACAGGAGTGAGACCCCATCTCAAAAAAAAAAAATTAAAAAATTTTAATGACAATACTGTGATGAGCGTGACACCAGCACAGTGAGCACTGAGTGAGGGATGACCTATTCCATCTCACTTCCACCTGTCCTCTGTGCGGCCAGCTAGACTGTAAGCAACTGAAAGGCAGGCTGTCCTGTTCTGTGTTGTCTTGCTTCTCCCCCTCAGGCCTGATCCAATGTCCGGTGGTACTGCTTTGGTTTCTCCAGTGTGACGAGCCTGACTGAAGGAGAGCAGGTGGCTGGTCACCAGCATCCTCCCGCTAACTCTCACCTGCCCACTTGCATATGACCTCAGTAGTTGATGTGGAAGTACTCATGATTATACTCACGAATCCTGGTGTGCATAAGGTCAGAGCCTCCAATTCACTCTCCCTTTCATTCATTCAAGAAATGTTGTGCCAGGCGCAGTGGCTCATGCCTGTAATCCCAACACTTTGGGAGGCTGAGGCGGGTGGATCACGAGGTCAGGAGATCGAGACCATCCTGGCTGACACGGTGAAACCCTGTCTCTACTAAAAAAAATACAAAAAAATTAGCTGGGCCTGGTGGCGGGCGCCTGTAGTCCCAGCTACTCGGGAGGCTGAGGCAGGAGAATGGCGTGAACCTGGGAGGCGGAGCTTGCAGTGAGCCGAGATCGCGCCACTGCACTCCAGCCTGGGCGACAGAGCAAGACTCCGTCTCGGAAAAAAAAAAAAAATACTCCCCACAAATCTCCACGCTGACCCTGTGAGGTATTATTAATTAGTATGTCCCATTTTTTATATGTAAGAACAAAATGAATCTTGACCTTTCAGCTGAGAAGGCGAACTCAATGCTCATGCCCATACCACTGCACATTCTGCCTCCTGATGGTGATACCCATGAAGGATGTGGTGCTGGAATTTACTCAAGTCCCCAAAAGGAGGCACCCTATATTCCAGAAGAAATAGGTCCAAATCCTTATCAGACCAAAATTTCATCTTTATTTTTATTATTATTAGTTTTCTGAGACAGGCTCTCACTGCTCTGTTGCTCAGGCTGGAGTGCAGTGGCCCAATCTCGGCTCACTGCAACCTTTGCCTCCCGGGTTCAGTGATTCTCTTGCCTCAGCTCCTGAGTAGCTAGGATTACAGACGTGCACCACCACGCTCGGCTAAGTTTTGTATTTTTAATAGAGACAGGGTTTCGCCCTGTTGGCCAGACTGGTCTCGAACTCCTGACGTCATGTGATCTGCCCACCTCAACCTCCCAAAGTGCTGGGATTACAGGCATGAGCCACTGTGCCCAGCTTATTTTTATTTTTTGAGACACGGTCTTACTTTGTTGCCCAGGGTGGAGTTTAGTGGTGCAATCACAGCTCACTGCAGCCCCAAGTTCCAGAGCTCAAGCAATCCTCCCACCTCATCTTCCTGAGTAGCTGGGAGTACAAGCAAGAGCTACCTGGCTAATTTTTTTTTTTTTCCTGTAGAGGCAGAGTCTCACTATGTTGCCCAGGCTGGTCTTGAACTCCTGGCTGAAGTGATCCTCCTGCCTCAGCCTCCAAAAGTGCTGGGATTACAAGCTTGAGCCACCACGCCAGTCCCAGAATCTTTTTTTTTTTTTTTTTTTTTTTTTTTTTTGAGATGGAGACTTGCTCTGTCGCCCAGGCTGGAGTGCAGTGGCGCAACCTCGGCTTACTGCGACTTCCGCCTCCCAGGTTCAAGCAATTCTCCTGCCTCAGCCTCCCAGGGATCTATTAATGTTTAAGGACAAGTGGCAACTGTGGATGCCCAACATGGTTACTTAACAAGAAACCAATTTTTCAGAGGCCAAGAGTCCCAACAGGGCCGAGAATCTGGCCACTCGCCTATGGCTCTGGAGGTGGCATGACAAATAAGGGTGGCATGACAAATATAGGTTAACTGATTTGTTGCAGGGACCAGAGATCATAGATGGTGAAGTTAACTAAGGGCCTCCAAATCCGTGTCCTTTGTGCCAACAGGTGTGCCAGGCTGCTCACAAGACACCATGGTACGAGAAAGGATTTCTCGTAGTCACCTAGACACCAGGTTTATGGCTGTGTCGCAGCAAAGTTGGGTGTGACTTATGATTTTCGTTCTGAACCTTATTTGTTAGATAGGTCCTGGAGTCCTTAAAACACGCAGGTGAAAGTCAGGGAGTAGGAGCCATCAAAATTCGACTCTGGTGGGACTCGAACCCACAACCTTTGAATGACCACACTAGGCTCAGCTAGAAGTCCAATGCGCTATCCATTGCGCCACAGAGCCGGCTGCGGAACCCGGCCGCCCCGCTCACCTCTGCCTGAAACCGCCCTCTTAGCGAGCTTCTAGGTGTGGTGCTGGGTGTTTGCTGAACTCGGCCGGGGCCCGAGAGCGTGCTCCGGGTTTTCGGCTGTGGTGTGGACTGGGGTGCTCTTCCTACATCCGGGCGCTGGGGACAGCAGGGGGCAAGGGCCGGGGTCGGCAGGGAGGAAGGGCCGGGGTGAAGCCCGCCTGTCTCCTCGCGGACTCGGGGGTCTCCTCGGCTGGGTGGGGCCGCGCGGCGTGGACTACAACTCCCAGCGTGCCGCGCGGCGGCGCCGCCCGAAGCCGTTGCGCGAGCAGGGCGGGCTGGGGCCGAGCGGCGTCAGGCGCGCTGGGGCTGCGCTGCGCCGCCGGCTCTGTGGCTTGCCGGCTTCGGGGAAGGTGCGGCAGGCGGTGCTGCGGCCTGGCACAGCAGGTTTGGGGTGCGGGAGGCGGGCGGGGTAGGAGCGCGGCGGGCGGGGCCGGGCGGCGGGCGGGGCTGGCGGGGCGGCCGGGCCATGCAGGGCGCAGAGCCGGCTAAACCCTGCTGAGACCCGGCTCCGTGCGTCCAGGGGCGGCTAATGCCCCTCACGCTGTCTACGCTGCTGCAACCGGGCCGCATCTGGACGGGGCGCCGCGCGGCGGAGCCGACGCCGGGTGAGCATAGACCGGGCTGGTGGGTTCCCGGGTGGGGACATGTGCCAGGCCGAGTCGGGCGAGGTGGCGGTGCGGACCCCAGGTGGGGGGCGCGCCCTGCGGCGCTATTTCCCCGACAGACGCACTGTTACCTTGCTGTCTAGGGGCGAGGGCGGCACGCGTGACCCGGGACAGGGGCCCGAGGGAACTAGTCACCCTCTTCTGGCCTCTTCTTGCCCCAGCCTTCCAGGACAGGTTCCTGCCCCTCTGCTATGGCGGGCTATGGGAGGCCAGAGATCTGAGGACCCTGGACCCTGGCGTTGGGGTTGAGGACTCTGGTTCAGTTCCCCCGCCCCCGGCTTTTGCTTTTCGCGAGGGGGAGGGGGAGATGGTCTCCCAGGGCTTCTTGTGGTCCAGACCATTCCCTTTTCCTGGCTTGGAGGCTCTCAGGCCATTTCACATTTGTGACCTTCATCTACTCCCAAGAACAGGAAAACTCGGAGAAAAACAGTCCCATCAGATGTCCCCTTGATCGAGTCCTCAAAGCTCCAGGAATAGAACCCAAGAGTCCTAGCTCAACCCAGCCCCTGAAGCACAGTCAAGTCATTCGCCTTCCCCTAAGCCCTAGACCCCAAAGATTCATCCGAGTGGCTGTGTGTGTCTGTGTGATGGGTGGTGGTGTCTTCAAGGTCCTCCTCGCCTCCCTCAATCAGCTTTGCCCCCTGGGCGGTCACCTTTCAAGCACTTCCAGGCTCTAACTCGTTTTCTGGGTCGCCCTCTATAGACCAACAGACGCACTGCGATACCTGAGTCTATGGGCAGGGACCAAGCAGGGCTCCTTTTCCAGGGAGCTGCCCCTTTGACTTGGCCTGGTCATCCACAGAACCTCCCTGGGTTCTGGGTGGGGAGTCGAGCCAGAGACTTTTTTTTTCTTTTTTTGAGACGGAGTCTCGCTCTGTCTCCCAGGCTGGAGTGCAGTGGCACAATCTCGGCTCAATGGAACCTCCGCCTCCCGGGTTCAAGCAATTCTTCTGCCTCAGCCTCCTGAGTAGCTGGGGTTACAGGTGTGTGCCACCATGCCTGGCTAATTTTTGTATTTTTAGTAGAGACAGGGTTTCACCATCTTGGTCAGGGTGGTCTCGAACTCCTGACGTCATGATCCGCCTGCCTCGGCCTCCCAAAGTGCTGGGATTACAGGTGTGAGCCACCACTGCCAGCGAGCCAGAGGCTCTTAAGTCAGTACCCACCCCCAGGCCATCCGGTTTTAGGGACCCTGGATGTCAGAAGAGTGAACTGTCATGTTTTGGCTAGAAAAGCCTCTTAGAACACGTCTCAGGACAACTCGGTGGTGGCCACTGCGCAGACCAGACTTCGCTCGTTCTCGCATGCCTCGCTCCGCTTTTCCTCCGCAACCATGTCTGACAAACCCGATATGGCTGAGATTGAGAAATTCGATAAGTCGAAACTGAAGAAGACAGAGATGCAAGAGAAAAATCCACTGCCTTCCAAAGAAACGATTGAACAGGAGAAGCAAGCAAGCGAATCGTAATGAGGCGTGCACCGCCAATATGCATTGTACATTCCACAAGTATTGCCTTCTTATTTTACTTCTTTTAGCTGTTTAACTTTGTAAGATGCAAAGAGGTTGGATCAAGTTTAAATGACTATGCTGCCCCTTTCACATCAAAGAACTACTGACAACGAAGGCTGCGCCTGCCTCTCCCATCTGTCTATCTGGCTGGCAGGGAAGGAAAGAACTTGCTTGTTGGTGAAGGAAGAAGTGGGGTGGGACGACAGTGAAATCTAGAGTAAAACCAGGCTGGCCCAAGGTGTCCTGCAGGCTGTAATGCAGTTTAATCAGAGTGCCATTTTTTTTTTTGTTCAAATGATTTTAATTATTGGAATGCACAGTTTTTTTAATATGCAAATAAAAAGTTTAAAAACTTAAAAAAAAAAAGAACACGTCTCACTACACCCATTGCACAGAGGGCAGATACTAAGGTCTAAAATGTGAAAAGGTCTTGCCCAAGGTCACTTGGAGAATGGTGGGCAGAGATGGGACTATGAGACGAGAACCAGCCTCCTGCTTCTCACTCTTGGAATTCCTCACCTCAAGTGCCAAGCCCCTAGCCTGCCCCTTCCAGGCCAAGCCTGGAAAGGGACCCCTGTGGTCAGTCACCCAACTCAGTATGGCTAAGCCTTACCACAGGCTGTCCCCTTGGGATCACAGTGGCCTGGCTGTCTGGGCTGGGAGGTAGGAGACCTGGAGGGTTGGGTGTTTGGGTCCACTAACTGCCCTGTGTCCGCAGGCCACAATGCTGCTTGGAGCCTCTCTGGTGGGGGTGCTGCTGTTCTCCAAGCTGGTGCTGAAACTGCCCTGGACCCAGGTGGGATTCTCCCTGTTGTTCCTCTACTTGGGATCTGGCGGCTGGCGCTTCATCCGGGTCTTCATCAAGACCATCAGGCGCGATATCTTGTGAGTACCTGGCCCAGCCTTTCCTGGGGTCTGCCACACTACAGTGAGCTTCTGGTCCCCCAAATCTCCCCAGGCCAGACCTCATGTTCTCTACCAGCACAGGGCAGCTGAGCTGAGTTCCAGAACAGCAGCCTCTGCTCCACACCCGTACCCTGGCAATAGTACCTGGTCCCTCCATCTCCAAGGTCAAAGTCTTCTCCCAGGGAATCTCCCTAACTTGAGGCTCCCAGGCCTTGGGCAGGCTTGGCCTAGGACGTACATTGAACACCAAGTGTGTTGAGACATCTGCAAGGGGTCCTGAGGACTCTGTAAGTTTATGAAAGGGTAAAGAGGAATTTTGGGGAAAGGCCCTGCCCTCAGGTTGGCAGGGGTGTGAGATGGCACAGGGGGCACTGAGTTCTAGAGCAGAGCCCCTACTCAGATGTCTGGGATAACCTGCTCCCCAAAGAAAGCCCGGTATGCTCCAAGGGACATCCTGTACCAGAAATATCTATTCCCGCTTGTTCTCTACTAGGTGCCAGGCTAGCTTTGGGGTCCAGAGAGGAATAAGGCAGACCCCATCTGCCAAGCTCAGATTGGTCAGGAGAAAGAAAGGGACACAGCACATCTGTAAATTGGCAGTGCCATGTGGGCAGAGACCCTGGCACAGCCTTGCTCACTACTGTGTCCCAGCACCCAGTTCAGTGACCCACACCCCACACAGGCAGCTCAGCATTTGTCAATCTTGGTTGATTGCAAAAGAAGGCACGGAGTGGCACACCAGGAAGGGTGGTAGCTGTGGGAGCATGGAGCAAGGAGAAACAGCTGCCAGCCAGGACCCTGGGAATCAGAGAAGGCCTCCTGGAGAAAAAGCGGCTGTACTTGAGAGGCGCCTTAGTGGTGGTGGAAGGAGATGAATCCAACCAGAAGGCACAGCATCAGCAACAAAGGCATGGAGTCCAGGGCTGGGCGCAGTGGCTCACACCTGTGATCCTAGCACTTTGGGAGGCCGAAGTGGGTGGATCACTTGACCTCAGGAGTTTGAGACTAACCTGGGCAACATGGCAAAACCCCGTCCCTACCAAAATACAAAAAAGTTAGCCAGGCATGGTGGTGCACACCTGTGGTTCCAGCTACTTGGGAGGCTGAGGTGGGAGCATCATTTGAGCCTGGGAAGTGGAGGTTGCAATGAGCTGACATTGCATCACTGCACTCCAACCTGGGTGACAGAGTGTGACGCCATCTCAAAAAAAAAAACAAAAAAACAAAGGTGGCAGGAATGGGATGTTGCCAAGTGATTCCACAAACTTATTGAACATCTACTCTGCCTGGCACAGGACCCAGGGGATAGAGTGTTGAATAAGACAGAAGCCTATCCCAGCTAGGCTCACAGGGAGGAAGACTGGACAGACCAGCAAACTCATTCATTATTTACTGTGGTCATGGTGGGTCGAGGGAGCAGCTGGACTGTGGGAGGCCCCAAACAAGGAGTTTGGACTTTTACAGGAAGCTCTGGAGACCTAGGAGGTTTCTGCTGGAGCAGCAGGCTGAGAGGGTAGGAGTAGAACTCTGGAGCCAGAGAGGCCTAGAGTTCAAATCTCAGCTCAGCCACCCTCCATCCATGAAGCTTTGAGCAGGCCACGGCACCACGAGAGCCTTGATTTCCTTCTGTGTAAGGGGAGGGGAATCATACGAACTCTCAGTGTTATTGAGAGGCATCAGTAAGGCAGTGCATGTTCCCAGCAGGAGCCAGGAGATAGAAGTGTTGTAGGGGGTCTGGCTCATGAAGCATAGGCTGGCGAGGCAGCAGCCTGGGGTAGGGTGTCAGGACCCCTCCCTCCCAACCATGGCAGACACAGCGCCCTCTCTTGTTCACACACAGTGGCGGCCTGGTCCTCCTGAAGGTGAAGGCAAAGGTGCGACAGTGCCTGCAGGAGCGGCGGACAGTGCCCATTTTGTTTGCCTCTACCGTTCGGCGCCACCCCGACAAGACGGCCCTGATCTTCGAGGGCACAGATACCCACTGGACCTTCCGCCAGCTGGATGAGTACTCAAGCAGTGTAGCCAACTTCCTGCAGGCCCGGGGCCTGGCCTCGGGCGATGTGGCTGCCATCTTCATGGAGAACCGCAATGAGTTCGTGGGCCTATGGCTGGGCATGGCCAAGCTCGGTGTGGAGGCAGCCCTCATCAACACCAACCTGCGGCGGGATGCTCTGCTCCACTGCCTCACCACCTCGCGCGCACGGGCCCTTGTCTTTGGCAGCGAAATGGCCTCAGGTGAGCCCCAAGGGGGCGGGGGACAAGCAGGAACCCCATGGGATCTTACACAGACCACAGCTCCCTTCCAGCCCTGCCAAGGCTGTGTGGGTCAGTGGTTAAGGGCACAGAGTGGAGTCAGACAGCTTAGGCAGTGCCACGAGTAAACGAGATCCTGGGGAAGGGACTGATTTCTCTGAGCCTCAGTTTCCTCATCCGTCGTTCCTACCTCATACTGTTTTCAAAAAGGTACTTCAGACTGGGCATAGTGGCTCACAGCTGTAATCCCAGCATGTTGGGAGGCCAAGGCAGGAGGATCCCTTGAGCCCAGGAGTTTGAGACCAGCCTAGGCAACATAGTAAGACCCTGTCTCTACTAAGAAATTTTTTTGAGACAGGGTCTTGCCCTGTCACCCAGGCTGGAGTGCAGTGGTGCAGTCACAGCTCACTGCAGCCTTGACCTCTCAGGCTCAAGCAGTCCCTCCACCTCAGCCTCCTGAATAGCTGGGACCACAGACATGCACCACCATGCCTGGCTAAATTTCACATTTTTTGTAGATACTCAGTTTTGCCATGTTGCCCAGGCTGGTCTCAGACTCTTGAGTTCAAGCGATCCACCTACCTCTGCCTCTCAAAGTGCTGGGATTATAGGCATGAACCACCACACCTGGCCTACTAAAAAAAGTTTTTTGTTTTTTTTTGTTTTTTTTGTTGTTGTTGTTTTGAGATAGAGTCTTGCTCTGTCGCCCAGGCTGGAGTGCAGTGGCGTGATCTCGGCTCACTGCAACCTCCACCTCCCGGGTTCAAGCAATTCTCCTGCCTCAGCCTCCTGAGTAGCTGAGATTACAGGCACCCGCCACCACGCCCAGCTAATTTTTTTGTATTTTTAGTAGAGACGAGGTTTCACCATGTTGGTCAGGCTGGTCTCCAATCCCTGACCTCGTGATCCACCCGCCTCGGCCTCCCAAAGTGCTGGGATTATAGGCATGAGCCACCACGCCCGGCCTAAAAAAAGTTTTTAAAAAATTAGCTAGGCTTGGTGACATGGACCTGTAGTCCCAGCTACTCAGAGGCTGAGGCAGGAGGATCACTTAAGACTAAGAGGTTGAGGCTGCAGTGAGTGATGATTGTGCCACTTCACTCTAGCCTGGCAGACAGAGTGAGACCCTGTCTCAAAAAAAACAAAATAAAAGGCCGGGTGTGGTGGCTCATGCCTGTAAATCCCAGCACTTTAGGAGGTCGAGGTGGGCAGCTTTGAGATCAGGAGTTTGAGACCAGCCTGGCCAACATGGTGAAACCCCGTCTCTAATAAAAATGCAAAAAAAAACCTAGCCGAGCATGGTGGTGCGCACCTGTAGTCCCAGCTACTCGGGAGACTGAGGTAGGAGAATCGCTTGAACCCAGGAGACAGAGGTTGCAGTGAGCCGAGATCACGTCACTGTGTTCCAGCCTGGATGACAGAGAGAGGTTACGTGTCAAAAAAAAAGATACTTACCTGAAGCACTAGCAACATGGCTGATGCTAGGTGGCCCCTCAGTACAATGGTAATCATCCTTGTGACTAATTAGGCCGTATCTAGCTCATCTGTAAAATGGGAACAAAATTAATTCCCCACTTTCCTCACAGAGCCTGCATTTTATTTGCTGCCACATTGGGCACCTGCAAAGTACTGAGGTTGCTGCTTTCCAAGAGCAGCTCTAATCTCTATAAAGACCGAGTGAGGTAGGGATCTTGGTTTTATGGATGATGAGCCTGGAGTTCAGAGGGGTTTGTGAGGAGCTCACCCAAGATCACACAGTTAGTAAGTGGTAGAACTGGGGTTTGATCTTCAGCTTGATCACAGCACTCTGTTTTTTCTCCCCACACTGTTGTGGTTGTGGGATAATGAATAGGGAAGTCATTAGGATGCTGAAAGGGGGCCTGGCATGGTGGCTCACGCCTGTAATCCCAGCACTTTTGGAGGCCAAGGAGGGCAGGTCACCTGAGCTCGAGAGTTAAAGACTAGACTGGCCAACATGGTGAAACCCTGTTTTTACTAAAAATACAAAAATTAGCCAGGTGTGGTGGCACACGCCTGTAATCTTGGCTACTCAGGAGGCTGAGGCACAAGAATCACTTGAACCAAGTGAGCCGAGATCATGCCACTGCACTCCAGCCTGGGCGACAGAGTGAAACTCTGTCTTAAAAAAAAAAAAAAAAAGATGCTGAAAGGGGGCCAGGCACAGTGGCTCATGCCTGTAATCCCAGCACTTTGGGAGGCCAAGGCAGGAGAATCTCTTGAGCCCAGGAGTTCAAGACCTGCCTGGACAATATAGTGAGACCCTGTCTGTCTCTATTTAAAAAAAGCAAAAGAAAAAAAAAAAAAAAGAAAGGAAAGAAAAAAATGGTGCTGAAAGGGGAGAGGGAAGAAGGCAGCCAGGGAAGAAGAGAGGGTTGGGCAAATCAAGAGGAAGCCAGGAAGGTGGGGCCAAGCCGACCAGCGCTGCTCCATGCCCGGGGGTGGGGGTTATGTGATGTCCGTGCAGTGCGCAGGGGAGCCTGAAAGCAGGTTCCCGCTCTCGGAAGGGGATGGAGGGCCACTGGCCTCTGACCCGCACTCCTCCCTTCTATCTGGTGCACCACAGAGTAAGTAGTGCGGGATAGTGGGGGGGAGCCCAGACCTTGATGTGAGGTAGAGCTGGCATTGCACGCCAGGTCCAGCACATTCTAGCTGTGAGCAGGTCCTCTCATTCTCGGAGCGTCAATCTTCTCATCTGTAAGAGGGGCTGTCAATGGTCCCTCCTTCCCAGGGCTGTGAGACCAGGGAATGCAGGTAAAGCGGACCTACTCTGTGGTTAGCCCATGGCTAATAGAACCATTGCCGGTGCCCCTGTCAACACTGAAGGCCCAGTTGCTTCACTGCCTCTCCTCCTGCCCAGCCAGTATCCTCAGCAACATGGCCAGCCCTGCTGGGAGCAGAGGTCCCTGGGAACATGGGGTTTTCTGGCCTGCCTGCTGACTGCCCTGTCTCCCCACAGCCATCTGTGAGGTCCATGCCAGCCTGGACCCCTCGCTCAGCCTCTTCTGCTCTGGCTCCTGGGAGCCCGGTGCGGTGCCTCCAAGCACAGAACACCTGGACCCTCTGCTGAAAGATGCTCCCAAGCACCTTCCCAGTTGCCCTGACAAGGGCTTCACAGGTGGGCTCCATCCCCTCCCCATAGAGGGGCTCTCACACAGGCCCTGGACAGAGCACTGGCCTCAGTGCCAGAAGGAGGCTTTTCTGGAAACTTGCCATGTGCCTGGAACATGTCACGTCACCTCCCTTTTTCCATCTGGAAAATGGTGACAGTAAACCTGGGCCACTCCAGGGTTACTGTGAAGGTGACATGAGCTGATGTGTATCAGTGCCAGATACAGGGCTGAGAACACAGGAGCTCACAAAGTCCAGTGTGATTTGTTGAACAAGCCTTCATTGATGCCTAATGGGCAGAATCCTGTGGACTCCGGGAACCTGCCTGGTCTGGGCTTTGGTTGGGGTTGGGTGGGAGGGTGGGTGAGGAGCAAGACCCTTTGTATATTCATCAAGTGCCTCTTCAGTGCAGGACACTTCAGGATCTCCAGCTGTGATCCTCTCCCAGCACTGTGCTGCCTCCCTGACCCCACCTCCAGGCAGCCTTCCTGAGCCTCTCACCCCTCTTCTTTTATACTGTAGCCTACCTGGTTCTTCTGCTCTTCTCATTCTCTTTCCTGTGAAGCCACATTGCCTGGTGGCTCAGAGCTTGGGCTGTCGAGTCAGATCCGAGTTTATATCCTGGTTCTACTGCTTCCTTTGTGTGAACCCTGACACCTGCCCTGCCCTTGGAGCCTCAGTTCCCACAGCCATAAAACTGGGGACAGTAGCAGAACCTACTCTATGGGGTATCTTTGAGGGTTGAAAAAAATACAGTGGGGCCAGTCCTGAAGCTAGGGTGTGGCAGGAGGGGCTCAGTAACTGGTCATTGTCATCAGCACTGTTTAACTTCTCTCTTGTATGTGAATCTGGTCTCTTGGGTGCATTTGTCAGCTGCTTGAGGGCAGGGACTCTGGCTGGTTGCTCTGGTGCCCTCATAGTGCCTAGGGCTGGCAAACAGCAGGCAGGCAGAGAGCATGAGGTGTCTCGGCAGGCATTCTAAACACGTGGAGTCTGCCTGTGGAGTTCCTGACCTCCAGGGAACCTCAAGTCTGGTAGGGCCGAGCCTCACATAGAAACTCTAACGTGGCAATCCCTGTCGAGGGCTGCAGAGTGGGACAGATCAATGCTCAGCAGTGCGGAAGCTACCTCAACACCCCACTTCCTGCAGCTAATGCCTCCCTGTGCTCTATGACTTGGGGCAGGTGTCACCTTTATCGTGAAGCCCACCTGGCACCACCTCCCCTCCTGCAAGCTTGGGCCAAATGTGGCTACTGGGTTTCAACAGGTCCTGTGCCCTCCCTCGGCACTTGTTGCTTAGTATTGGAATTGCCTGTGTCCTCATCTGACTGTTCCACTGAGCTGTGACTGCCAAGAGGGCCAGGCCCGTGCCCATCTTACTCACTGATGTCTCTCTCCACCAGGGCCTAGCACAGAGCAAGGGCCCAGGAAATATTTGTTGGAATGGATGCCGGTGTTAGAGCTGAATGGTATCTGAGGTTATCAGAACAGGCTTCCTAGCAAGGGTGTGATGGGAACAGGTGTTGAAGGGTGCACACCTGCAGGTGTCCATTTGTGTGACCCTTTGCCCAGCCCTGAGCTGCCCCCGACAGCCACTCGCGTCTGTTTTCTTTAGATAAACTGTTCTACATCTACACATCCGGCACCACAGGGCTGCCCAAGGCCGCCATCGTGGTGCACAGCAGGTAAGGGGCAGGTGCCCAGGGTGGGGTAGGCACAGGCAGGGCTGGGGAGCCTCCTTCTGCCTTTCTAGGGCCCGCTCAGCCCTTGGCCCTGTGCCTTCCCAGGTATTACCGCATGGCTGCCCTGGTGTACTATGGATTCCGCATGCGGCCCAACGACATCGTCTATGACTGCCTCCCCCTCTACCACTCAGCAGGTAACTCTAGGGCTGTCACACAGCCTCCAGCACCTGCCAGGTCTCTAGGAACCCCACCCCCATCAGGCAGTGTGCTGCAGTAGAAACACACAGCTTTGGGCCAGGCGCAGTGACTCACACCTGTAATCCCAGCACTTTGGGAGGCCAAGGTGGGCGGATCACTTGAGGCCAGGAGTTCGAGACCAGCCTGGCCAACATGGCAAAACCCCATCTCTACTAAAAATACAAAAATTAGGCTGGGTGTGGTGGCTCACACCTGTAATCCCAGCACTTTGAGAGGCCAAGGTGGGCGGATCACTTGAGGCCAGGAGTTCGAGACCATCCTGGCTAACACGGTGAAACCCCGTCTCTACTAAAAGTACAAAAAATTAGCCAGGTGTGGTGGCTCATGCCTGTAGGCCCAGCTACTCGGGAGGGTGAGGCAGGAGAATGGCGTGAACCCGGGAGGTGGAGCTTGCAGTGAGCCAAGATCGTGCCACTGCACTCCAGCCTGGGCAACAGTACAAGACTCTGTCTCGGAAAAAAAAAAAAGAAAGAAATTATCTGGGTGTGGTGGCGTGTGCCTGTAGTCCCAGCTATCTGTGAGGCTGAGGCACGAGAATTGCTTGAACCTGGGAGGCAAAGGTTGCAGTGAGCTGAGATCACGCCACTGCATTCCAGCCTGGGCAACAGAGCGAGACACTGTCTCAAAAAAAAAAAAAATTAGCTGGGTCTGGTGGCGTGTGCCTGTAATCCCAGCTACCTGTGAGGCTGAGGCATGAGAATTGCTTGAACCTGGGAGGCAAAGGTTGCAGTGAGCTGAGATCACGCCACTGCACTCCAGCCTGGGCAACAGAGCGAGACACTGTCTCAAAAAAAATAAAAATAGGCTGGGCGCAGTGGCTCACGCCTGTAATCCCAACACTTTGGGAGGTGAGTGGATCACGAGGTCAGGAGTTCGAGACCAGCCTGGTTAACATGGTGAAACCCTGTCTCTACTAAAAGTACAAAAAGTAGCTGGGCTTGGTGGCGGGTGCCTGTAATCCCAGCTACCCAGGAGGCTGAGGCAGGAGAATGGTTTGAACCCAGGAGGCAAAGGTTGCAGTGAGCCTAGATCGTGCCATTGCACATCAGCCTGGGTGACAGGGCAAGACTCTGTCTCAAAATAAATAAATAAATTAATTTAATTTAATTTAAAAATAAAAATAAACAGGATTAGCCAGGCGTGGTGCACATGCCTATGGTCTCAGCTACTGGGAAGGCTGAGACAGGAGAATCACTTGAGCCTGGGAGTTTAAGGCCAGCCTGGGCAACATGGTGAGACCTGTCTCTAAAAAAAATTTTGTTTTAGGCCAGGTGTGGTGGCTCACGCCTGTAATCCCAACACTTTGGGAGGCCGAGGCGGGCGGATCACGAGGTCAGGAGATCAAGACCATCCTGGCTAACACGATGAAACCCCATCTCTACTAAAAATACAAAAAAAAAAAAAAATTAGCCGGGCGTGGTGGCGGGCGCCTGTAGTCCCAGCTACTCGGGAGGATGATGCAGGAGAATGGCATGAACCCGGAAGGCGGAGCTTGCAGTGAGCCGAGATGGCATCACTGTACTCCAGGCTGGGCGACAGAGCGAGACTCCGTCTCAAAAAAAAAAAAAAAAGTTGTTTTAAATTGAAAAAAGGATGAGCACACCAGCCTCACAGTGTGTGTGGCAGTGTCCCACGGGGCATCTGGGCCTGTCTCATTTCAGTTTGTTTCCACAGATATGCATGGCATTGCTGCTTGTTTGTAGGGGCTTAAGGGAAGACAGCTTGAATAAATATAGCTCCTGCCCTCCAGGTGCTTAGAGTCGGGTGTATATGTGAGTGTAGGAGAGAGGCAGGGAGCAAGAGGGCAGCACCAGGGAAGAGCCTGGTGATGGAAGCCGGGGAGGCTTCTTGGAGGAGGTCACCCAAGGCAGGCAGATGTGAGGTGCAGAAGCCTGCAGGGCAGCACAAGCCTGCCTGGCTGGATGGCAGTATCACTGATTTGGGGCCGGGGAGGGTCTTCATCTCGCTGACCCTCAGGGGCCATCCCTCTGCCTCCAGGAAACATCGTGGGAATCGGCCAGTGCCTGCTGCATGGCATGACGGTGGTGATTCGGAAGAAGTTCTCAGCCTCCCGGTTCTGGGACGATTGTATCAAGTACAACTGCACGGTGAGCGAGAGCGGGAAGGGTGAGCTGTCCCTTTCCCCTAGTTACCCTCTTCCCAACTACACTCCGGGGCATCTGTCTTATAGCTGAGGTGGCCAGTCATTCCAAAGGGCTCATTTGTGGCAAAGTTCCCATTGTTCAGATGGGAAGGCTGAGACCCGGAGAGGGAAAGGATGGCATGGCCAGCCCCTGGGGAGAGTAGGGGCTTGAGGGATCAGGAGAATCCTAGTGTAGTGAGGGCAGCCTCTGGAGCCTCGAATCACACCAAGTTCACCCCCAGATTGTGCAGTACATTGGTGAACTGTGCCGCTACCTCCTGAACCAGCCACCGCGGGAGGCAGAAAACCAGCACCAGGTTCGCATGGCACTAGGCAATGGCCTCCGGCAGTCCATCTGGACCAACTTTTCCAGCCGCTTCCACATACCCCAGGTGGCTGAGTTCTACGGGGCCACAGAGTGCAACTGTAGCCTGGGCAACTTCGACAGCCAGGTGCGGCCAGGTTGGGGATGGGCGAGGCTGCTGCAGGGATGGCCCACAGAAGGCACTGGATGCAGAGGGGAGGGCAGAGTTCGAGCGTGAGAGTGTGGGTGCTGGAGTCCCACTTCCCCCTCATTGTCCAGTTTTGGGCCCATGGTGAGAGAGCCCAGGCCCAAGTCTTGGCCTTCGCAGGTGGGGGCCTGTGGTTTCAATAGCCGCATCCTGTCCTTCGTGTACCCCATCCGGTTGGTACGTGTCAACGAGGACACCATGGAGCTGATCCGGGGGCCCGACGGCGTCTGCATTCCCTGCCAGCCAGGTCTGCCACTTCGGGGTCAGAGAGGGAGGGGTTGGCCTGGGAAGGAAGGAGGCCAGGCGCGTGTGGATGGGGAGCCTTGTTCTGACCAGTGGCCATCAGTTATCTCTGCTCTTAGGGTTACAAGTTACTCATTTATTTGTGTATCCATCCATTCATTCATTCATTCGCCATTCTATCTGTACATCAGTCCATTCATTCATTCTTTTTTTTTTTTTTATTTGAGACGGAGTCTCGCTCTGTCGCCCAGGCTGGAGTGCAGTGGCGGGATCTCGGCTCACTGCAAGCTCCGCCTCCCGGGTTCACGCCATTCTCCTGCCTCAGCCTCCCAAGTAGCTGGGACTACAGGCGCCCGCCACTACGCCCGGCTAATTTTTTGTATTTTTAGTAGAGACGGGGTTTCACCGTTTTAGCCGGGATGGTCTCGATCTCCTGACCTCGTGATCCGCCCGCCTCGGCCTCCCAAAGTGCTGGGATTACAGGCGTGAGCCACCGCGCCCGGCCAAGCAATTCTCTTTTCTCACCCTCCTGAGTAGCTGGAATTACAGGCAAACCCCACCATGCCCGGCTAGTTTTTCTATTTTCAATAGAGATGGGGTTTCACCATGTTGTCCAGGTTGGTCTCGAACTCCTGACTTCAAGTGATCCATCCACCTCGGCCTCCCAAAATGTTGGTATTACAGATGTGAGCCACCATGCCCGGCCCTCATTCATTCATTTTCATATTGACTCCAAATGACCCTGAGTCCAGGCTGCTTGAGATTTATTCTGGCTCAGCTCCTTAGCTCTGTGTCATGGGCGAGTATTCAGCCTCACTGTGCCTAAGTCCCCTTATCTACAAACTGTGCCCATGGCAGCACCCACACATGGGGCTGGCCTGAGGATTATGTTTCATAAAGAACATAAAACTCTGAGTGGGTCCCGGCATGGAGCAGAGGCTTGGGGCGCTGGCTTTGTTAGGCTGTCCCCAAGGAGCCTGACTTATGTTCATCCTCCCATCAGTTTCGAGAACAAACATCACTGGCTCAGTGTGTCCGACCTGCCAAGATGAGCTCCTGGGCTGGGGGAGGGTGGGGCATTTCTGTGGCAAGCAGCATGACTCAAATCAGATCAAGACACAGAGTACAGGCTGGGAGTGGTGGCTCACACCTGTAATCCCAGCACTTTGGGAGGCCGAGGCGGGTGGATCACCTGAGGTCAGGAGTTCGAGACCAGCCTGGCAAACAGGATGAAACCCATCTTTACTAAAAAATAAAAAAAAAAAATTAGCTGGGCCTGTTGGCGTGTGCCTGTAATCTCAGCTACTCAGGAGGCTAAGGCAGGAGAATTGCTTGAACCCAGGAGGTAGAGGTTGCAGTAAGCCAAGATTGCACTGCTGCACTCCAGCCTGGGCAACAAGAGCAAAACTCCGTCTCAAAAAAAAAAAAAAAAAAAAAGACGCAGGGTACACCTGGTGACAGGACGGGTGGGAGAGGCTGCCTAGGGCAGATCTGACCCTGCCTTCCCCACCCCAGGTGAGCCGGGCCAGCTGGTGGGCCGCATCATCCAGAAAGACCCCCTGCGCCGCTTCGATGGCTACCTCAACCAGGGCGCCAACAACAAGAAGATTGCCAAGGATGTCTTCAAGAAGGGGGACCAGGCCTACCTTACTGGTGGGTCCCCAGCCCTTCACAGCCCCTTCCTGAGGGTTGGGGGAGGAGGGGACCTTCTCCCACCTCCAGAGGACACCTTCCCAGGACTCCCCCAGTCCTGGCCCTTGTGGTCAAACAAATCCTTGGGCTCCAGCAAAGCCTCCCTGGCTTGAGCCCTGGTCTCAGAGCTGGCCAGGCCCAGCCCTGCCTCATCCGGCCCCTCCCTAGGTGATGTGCTGGTGATGGACGAGCTGGGCTACCTGTACTTCCGAGACCGCACTGGGGACACGTTCCGCTGGAAAGGTGAGAACGTGTCCACCACCGAGGTGGAAGGCACACTCAGCCGCCTGCTGGACATGGCTGACGTGGCCGTGTATGGTGTCGAGGTGCCAGGTATGTGCAGGCAGGCGCGAGGTGTGGGTAGGGAGGCACCACCCAGGGGCACCACCAGCTACTCAGTGTCTACCCTGCCACCCCCAGGAACCGAGGGCCGGGCCGGAATGGCTGCTGTGGCCAGCCCCACTGGCAACTGTGACCTGGAGCGCTTTGCTCAGGTCTTGGAGAAGGAACTGCCCCTGTATGCGCGCCCCATCTTCCTGCGCCTCCTGCCTGAGCTGCACAAAACAGGTGTGTCCCTCCCCTGCTCCAGCTCTCGGATCCCAGGTCCCTTCCCGTTTCCTTCTGGAGAGACCCGGTTGGCTGTTACTTGACCTCTGCACACAGCCTGGCCGGGCAGTTGGTAAAGTGACCTGCCTGTGTAGAGGTGAGCAGACGGGGCTGGCAGAGAAGACACACATTGTTCCTTAGTAGAACACATATTAGGTGCCAGGCACAGCGCTAAGCCTCGGGATACGGCTGGTGAGCTCTGGATGTTTTGCCTTCTTGGAGTTTTAGAGCAGGAGAGAGGCTGGCCTAGGACAAGGCATTCCAAAGGTAAAGAATCGACCACATAATCTGTCATGAGATTAGAGTTAAACAGATAAAAAGAAAAATGAACCACAGAGCAAGCTGATAGGAAAGCAAAAAGGTGGGACGCTTGGGATGACTAGAAGGCTCCTCTGAGGAGGGGATGGTTCAGCTGAGACCTGAATGAAAGGAAGGACTTTATGGCGGTGGGAGGCACTCTAGGCTGCAGGAATAGACACTGTAAAGCCCCCGAAGCAGGAAGGAGCTTGGGTGCTGGAGGAACGAAAGGGGGCCCCCAAGGCTGGAGCCAAGTGAGAGGGGCAGGCAGTGGCATGAAGTGGGAGAGAAACCAGCAGGGGCCAGAAGCCCAGGGCCTTGCAGGCCAGGGTAAGAGTCGGGACTGTCCCGGGGGCAGTAGGGAGCCACAGAAGCATCTCAGCAAGGCCGGGCGCAGTGGCTCATGCCTGTAATCCCGGCACTTTGGGTGGGAGGCCAAGGCGGGCAGATCACTTGAGGTCAGGAGTTCGAGACCAGCCTGCCCAACATGGCAAAACCCCGTCTCCACTAAACATATAAAAATTAGCTGGCTGGGCGTGGTGGCTCACGCCTGTAATCCCAGCACTTAGGAGGCCAAGGTGGGCGGATCATTTGAGGTCAGGAGTTCGAGACCAGCCTGGCCAACATGGTGAAATGCCATCTCCACTAAAAATACAAACATAAAAATAAAAAAATTAGGCTGAGCATGGTGGCTCACACCTGTAATCTCAGCACTTTGGGAGGCCAAGGCAGATGGATTGCCTGAGCTCAGGAGTTTGAGACCATCCAGGGCAACATGATGAAACCCCGTCTCTACCAAAAATACAAAAAAATTAGCCAGGTATGGTGGTGGGCGCCTGTAGTCCCAGCTACTTGGGAGGCTGCAGCAGGAGGATCGCTTGAGCCCCGGAGGTGGAGGTTGTAGTAAGCTGAGATCACGCCACTGCACTCCAGCTTGGGCTACAGAGTGAGACTCCGTCTCAAAAAAAAAAAAAAAAAAATTAGCCAGGCATGGTGGTGGGCGCCTGTAATCCCAGCTACTTGGGAGGCTGAGGCATGAGAAGCACTTGAACCTGGGAGGTGGAGGTTGCAGTAAACCGAGACCGTGCCACTGCACTCCAGCCTGGGAGACAGAGTGAGACTCTGTCTCAAAAAAAAAAAAAAAAAAAAATTAGCCGGGCGTGGTGGTACATACCTGTAATCCAGCGACTCGGGAGGCTGAGACAGGAGAATTGCTTGAACCCAGGAGACCCAGGAGCCACAGGTTGCAGTGAGCTGAGATCATGCCACTACACTCCAGCCTGGGCGACAGAGTGAGACTCTGTCTCAAAAAAAAAGCATCTTAGCAGGTGGGAACCTGGTCAGACTCATGCTCTACAAAGCTCTCTGGCTGCTGTGTACGGAGTGGGAGAGGATTGCAGGCAGCCCTGAGGGAGCTGGGAGACGAGGGAGGGGCTGTTGCAGTTGTCCAGGTGGGAGGTGGGCAGCGGGCCCGCAGTCGCCCACAAGGCAGCACCATCTTTCTATCTGTTGGCCCATTGGTGGCTCTCAAGAGTTCCCTGGTGGGCAGGAAATGCTGAGGCTCATGCCCATACCTGCCCCTGCTTTCCTCAGCCCTTGGTGCCTCTTCTGGGCCCTCCCTGGCTGCTCACCCTTTGGAGCACATTTCCCTGGCCACCTCCCACGTTGTCGTCATATCAGTCCTGCCTTGATGGTGGGCACTCCCTAGCCAATGTGGCTTCTGCCAGAGAGTGGGTACCTGGAGTGCCTAAAGCATCGGGGAGGGTTTAGGACTTCAGTGTGGTTCTGAAGGTTGGAGACACTGTGGCCAGGCTAATGGCCAAGACCATGAGCTTCCGGAGGATTGAGCAGCACCATACTTCTGTCCAGGAAAGGCAGGGAGGCTCTCAGACCTTGTATTTCAGATGGGCTTTGCTGCAGAACAAACCACCCCCAAACTTACTTGCCCCAAAATGGCTCGAAACAACCAGTTTATTGATGCATAATTCTGTGGGTAAGCAATTTAGGGGTTAAGTGCAGCTGAGCAGTTCTTCTATTGACCTTGCTTTGGGGTCATCACTTAGTAACTTAGCTGGGGCAAGAGGCAGTTAGATGGCCTCACCCACGTGTCTGGCTCTCGGCTGCTTACCTCTGCAGCACTGTCCAACAGAACTTTCTGCAGCGATGGAAATGTTCTAGGTTTCTGCTGTCCAACACAGTAGCCACTAGCCTGGCAGAGCTACTGAGCACTTGAAAGGTGGCTGCTGGCTGGACGCCGTGGCTCACGCCTGTAATCCCAACACTTTGGGATTAAATTTTGTTTAATTAACTTAAATTTATTTATTTATTTGAGATGGAGTCTTGCTCTATCGCCCAGGCCGGAGTGCAGTGGTGCAATCTCAGCTCACTGCAACCTTTGCCTCCTGGGTTCAAGTGATTCTCCTGTCTCAGCGTCCCCAGTAGCTGGGATTACAGGCACGTGCCACCACACCTGGCTAATTTTTGTATTTTTTTTATTAGACATGGGGTTTTGCCATGTTGGCCAGGCTGGTCTCGAACTCCTGACCTCAGGTGATCCGCCCACCCTGGCCTCCCAAAGTGCCGGGATTACAGGCGTGAGCCACCATGCCTGGCCTTGTTTAATAATTTAAATGTAAATAGCCACATGAGGTCATATTGGACGGCGCCGGTCTGGGCCCTCACCTGGGATGGCTCATCTCTGCTCCACGTGGCCTCTCACCCTTTGGAAGGCTAGACTAGCCCCAGGGCACCCCCAAGCAGGTAGAGGTGGAAGATGCAAGGTCCCCCGAGGCCTAGACTCACCCAGAACTCCTACAACATTGCTTTTGCCACCTTCTGTTGGTTAAAGCAAGTTGTAAAGCCAGTCCAGATTGAGGCCAATGGAGATTGAAAAAGTCGAGCTCTTGCCAGGAGAAGTGCCAAAGCCACATAGCAGAGGTGTGTGTGTACAGGGAGGGGAGGAATCTGCAGCCATTTTTGGTAGTCTGTCTCATCCAGGTTCCAATCCCAGTTCTACCACCCTGAGCATCAGTCTTCTCATCTGTACAGGATTAATACCATTGATTGAAAGATGCGGCCAGGCGTGGCAGCTCATGTTTGTAATCCTAGCACTTTGGGAGGCTGAGGCAGGTAGCTCGCTTGAGCCCAGGAGTTCAAGATCTGGGTGGGCAACATGGCGAAACCCCATCTCTACAAGAAATACAAAACTTGGCCAGGCGCAGTGGCCCACGCCTGTAATCCCAGCACTTTGGGAGGTCGAGGAGGGTGGATCATCTGAGATCAGGAGTTCGAGACCAGCCTGACCAACATGGTGAAACCCCGTCTCTACTAAAAATACAAAAAATTAGCTGGGCGTGGTGGTGGGTGCCTGTAATCCCAGCTACTTGGGAGGCTGAGGCAGGAGAATCGCCTGAACCCGGGAGGCCGAGGTTGCAGTGAGCCAAGATCGTGCCACTGCATTCCAGCCCCGGTGACAGTGCAGGACTCCGTCTCCAATAAAGAAAGAAAGAAAGAATTACAAAACTTAGCCAGGCACAGTGGTGCACACCTATAGTCCTGGCTACTTGGGAGGCTGAGGTAGGAGGATCACTTGAGGTCGGCAGGTGGAGGTTGCAGTGAGTTGAGATGGCATCACTTCACTCCAGCCTGGGTGATAGAGTGAGACCCTGTCTCAATAAAAAAGAAAAAAATACCATGAATTTTTTATGTACGAGTAAGAAAATATGTGCTGCTAATTATACTAGTTCAGAGATGTTAAAATCTGCAAGCACGTCCGTGTTAGAATCCAGAGAATACGGTTGAGCACCTGCCTTATGGGGCTGATGTACAGATGAAATAAGCTCACACTGTTACCTGGTAGGTACTCAAAGGGAGACATCACAGTCAGAAGACCTCCGTTCTGGTCCCCACTCTGCTGTCACTCAGCATGTGACACTAGGCAAATAGCCTCCCTTCTCCAGGCCTGTTTTCCCATCTGCAAAGTAGGGGTGGGTGGGTAACTAGCAGCTGTCCCCATGCCCCAACTTTGCCACAGCTGCTGTATGACCATTCTTTGCAAACTGTAAAGGGCTGTGCCTCCTCCCCCACTTCCCTCCCCTGTTTGTCCTCCAGCCCTGCTCCCTGCCTTCCTCAGTACTGGTGGTTGGGAAGCTGGGAGCTCGGGCCCCTGCCCTGCACTGAGTCTTCTTCCCTGCTCTCCCAGGAACCTACAAGTTCCAGAAGACAGAGCTACGGAAGGAGGGCTTTGACCCGGCTATTGTGAAAGACCCGCTGTTCTATCTAGATGCCCAGAAGGGCCGCTACGTCCCGCTGGACCAAGAGGCCTACAGCCGCATCCAGGCAGGCGAGGAGAAGCTGTGATTCCCCCCATCCCTCTGAGGGCCGGCGGATGCTGGATCCGGAGCCCCAGGTTCCGCCCCAGAGCGGTCCTGGACAAGGCCAGACCAAAGCAAGCAGGGCCTGGCACCTCCATCCTGAGGTGCTGCCCCTCCATCCAAAACTGCCAAGTGACTCATTGCCTTCCCAACCCTTCCAGAGGCTTTCTGTGAAAGTCTCATGTCCAAGTTCCGTCTTCTGGGCTGGGCAGGCCCTCTGGTTCCCAGGCTGAGACTGACGGGTTTTCTCAGGATGATGTCTTGGGTGAGGGTAGGGAGAGGACAAGGGGTCACCGAGCCCTTCCCAGAGAGCAGGGAGCTTATAAATGGAACCAGAGCAGAAGTCCCCAGACTCAGGAAGTCAACAGAGTGGGCAGGGACAGTGGTAGCATCCATCTGGTGGCCAAAGAGAATCGTAGCCCCAGAGCTGCCCAAGTTCACTGGGCTCCACCCCCACCTCCAGGAGGGGAGGAGAGGACCTGACATCTGTAGGTGGCCCCTGATGCCCCATCTACAGCAGGAGGTCAGGACCACGCCCCTGGCCTCTCCCCACTCCCCCATCCTCCTCCCTGGGTGGCTGCCTGATTATCCCTCAGGCAGGGCCTCTCAGTCCTTGTGGGTCTGTGTCACCTCCATCTCAGTCTTGGCCTGGCTATGAGGGGAGGAGGAATGGGAGAGGGGGCTCAGGGGCCAATAAACTCTGCCTTGAGTCCTCCTAGCCTGTGTGCAAACCACCCAAGCCCACCCTGACCCCAGAACCCCACAGCCCCACTGTGGCCGCTTGATCCCCCACGCCAACCCCCTGGCCCATTGACCCGCCTCATCTGTTCATTCACTTATCTAAGCTGAGGGTGTAGCAGGTAAGATGCCGCAGCCCCTGCCTCCAATGTGCTGGTTCAGCCGGGGGCAGTGCCCATGTGAATCTGGCAAGGTGTTTAACAGTGTGGGCTTGAAAGTCCAAACCAGCTCTGTCACTCTAAGTGTGTGGCCTTGGGGAAATGACTCAGTTTCATCTGTGAAATGGGATTCATCAGTTAAGAGGATTCAGAAGCTAAAAGTGCTATCACGAGTAAGGAGCTTGAGGGGAAACCGTCACCTCGGGCAGGACCCTGACTCCGCCTGAGGTGCATTTTCCCAGTTGTTTAGGGGCGGGAAAGATTTGCAGGGGTGGGGGCTGCAGTGAGAGCCAAAGCAAGGCTGCCTGGCAGCCCGGACAGAGGCCAGGGAAGCTTCCTGGAACAGTCAACACAGCTGTCCCACCAGCAGTGCCGGTGGAGAGCCAGCTGTCTCCTAGGCCCCGATGGAGGAGTCACACCCACGCTGGAAACTCACTGCCCAATGGGAAGGGGTTCCAGCACAGCCCAGGGCGGTGGGCAGTGCAAGCCCCTGGGCCTTTATCTCCACTATGGGCTTTCTAAGGAAGGAACCAGAACTTGGAGGTTTTCAGTTACATGGCCAACATCTCACAGCAAGTAGAGAGGGCTGGAATGGAGCCCGTGCCCTTCCTGCCACACCACCCTGCCTCCTGGTGCAGAAGGCGGGGGAAGCCAGAAAGCCTCCATTCCACGCATGCCTGCAGGGCCGCCTTGGCCACGCCCCGGGCCAGCAGCTGACAGTGCAGGCGGAGGGTAGCCAGGCTGAAAGCTGGGGTGCCTCCTGGGGGAGTGCACTTGGAAAGACAGAGGAATCCAGTGCCTGTCTTGGGAGAATTTGGGATGCAGAGGCAGAACTGGAGTGGGGGCCTTGCGGAGCGGTGCTGAGTGGAGTCATGTGGCAGGTATAGCTGCCGTGCCTGAGTGTGATCAGCAGAGGGCGTGTGGAGCTTGGAGAATCCACTCCTGGCCCTTAGCCGAGGGAAGCATGGAGAGGCTGATTCCCACCTCAGCCGCGAGCAGGTTCCCAACTTAGAGGACCCTGTGACAGGCCTCCGAGGGCCTTTGGTCGGGTTTCCAAGGACCTGGATTTGGTTGGCAGTGCGGCTTTGTGTCTTTAACCCTCAGTAGTGAGTTCTCCACAGTGGGAAGAAGGAGCTCTCAGAGCGGGGCATTCCTTCCTCCAGGTTGAACACAGTCACCCGAAGGCAATATGCAGTGGTGGTGAAGAGCTCTGGCTCTGGAGTCGGACAGGCCTGCATCCAAATCCCAGCTCTACCACTTGCCAGGCTAAGCCTCAGTTTCCTCTCCTGTAAATGAAGGTCAAGGAATCCCTATCTTGGGATAGTTGTGAAAATTCAATGAGATCATGCACGAAAATCTCAGCACTAGGCCTGGTGCTGGTGTCCACTCAGTGCATGGTAGTTAAAAGAGAAAAAGGAGATATATTTAGATGTTAAAACCTCACTTAGACTAGGCTAAGTTTCCCACTTCTGTACTAGGCCCCACTGCAGCCCCTCCATGATGGACAGGGACTGGTGGGCCTGTGACCCCTTCACCTCTCGGGTCTGCATCTGATCATACCTCAACCATGGCTGTGTGAGTCATCTCCGTGCATGCAGCAGGTGCTTAATACATGCTTGTGAGGTTAACTGACAAAAATAGCTACTGTTTCTCAGGCATTTCCTGACATTTATATAGTGCCCCACAGTTTACAGAGCACCCTGTAAGTTCATCTATGGAGCAAATTATTATTATTATTATTTTTGAGACGGAGTTTCATTCTTGTTGCCCAGGCTGGAGTGCAGTGGCATGATCTTGGCTCACCGCAACCTCTGCCTCCCGGTTTGAAACGATTCTCCTGCCTCAGCCTCCCGAGTAGCTGGGATTACAGGCATGCACCACCACGCTTGGCTAATTTTGTATTTTTATTAGAGACGGGGTGTCTCCATGGTCAGGCTGGTCTCCAACTCCCGACCTCAGGTGATCCGCCCGCCTCGGCCTCCCAAAGTGCTGGGATTACAGGTGTGAGCCGCCGCACCCGGCCCTATGGAGCAAATTCTAAAGGCCTACCCTGTGCAGGGAGGGCAGGGAACTGCCAGATGAGCAAGATAGAGACCTGGGTCCCAGATCTGCCCTCAGGGAGCCACCATCTCCAGAGAGGGGGATGGTGAGTAAAGAAGCAAAGGCTGTGTGCTTAGCTGCACCTAATCCAGCACATAGGCTGGGTGTATCTTGGTCAGGGAGGGCTTTCAAGGAAGATTGTTCCAGATGGAGGAAGCAACCACATGTAGAGGGCTGGAAGTCCAGGGCAGGTTAAAAGGGCAGACAGGCCAGGCGCAGTGGCTCACGCCTATATCCCAGCACTTTGGGAGGCCCAGGCAGGCAGATCACTTGAGGTCAGGGGTTCGGGACCAGCCTGGTCAACATGATGAAACCCCATCTCTATATTAAAAACAAAAATTAGCCTGGCGTGGTGGTGGGCACCTGTAACCCCAGCTACTCGGGAGGCTGAGGCAGGAGAATCGCTTGAAACCTGGGAGGCGGAGGTTGCAGTGGGCTGAGCGCTCATGTCACTGCACTCCAGCCTGGGCAACAGAGTGAGACTGTCTCAAATAAATAAGGGCAGGCAGCGAAGCTGCAGGGTTGGGGAGAGGGGTTAGAGTTGTTAGAATCCTTTGTGGGCTCTTCTATTTTTACGCCTCCAGAGAGGAGCAAGCTCCATTTGGAGGTCCGAGTATCAAGTCAAACCCACTTCCTTAGGCTGCCATTAATGTCCACAATGTACGGCGCACTTCTATGTGTCAGGCCCTGTGCAAAGCGCTTTATGTGCATGATTTCATTAAATCCTTCTATTCAAAGCACGTACCTTGTTTTTTTAAAATCCTCCTATTCAAAGCAGGTACTATTTTTTTTTTTTTTTTTTTGAGATGGAGTTTTGCTCTTGTTGCCCAGGCTGGAGTGCAGTAGCCCAATCTCGGCTCACTGCAATCTGCACCTCCCGGGTTCAAACCATTCTCCTGCCTCAGACTCCCAAGTAGCTGGGATTACAGGCACCTGCCACCACGCCAGGCTAATTTTGTATTTTTAGTAGAGATGGGGTTTCACCATGCTGGTCAGTCTGGCCTCGAACTCCTGACCTCAAGTGATCCACCCGCCTCGGCCTCCCAAAGTGCTGGGATTACAGGCGTGAGCCACCGCGCCCAGCCCAAAGCAGGTACATTTTTATCCCCATTTCACAGATGAGGAATCTGAGGCTCAGAGAGGCAAAGTCTCTCCCAAATACCACAGAGCTTGTGAATGGCAGAACTGGGAGGAAAGTCCCCTTCCCTGAACCTCAGTGTTCCCATCTGCAAACTGTTCCTCCAGGAGAGGCTGGAAGGGGCCAGCCTCGTGCGCTCCCGGAGGTCCAGCTGCCCTCGGGACAGGCAAGTGGCTGTCCAGGCCACTGCATGGTGTATCACTTTCAGTTCCTGGGAAGAAGGTTAAATACCTCCGAGGGGCCCATTGAGGCTGCGGCAGCAAAGGAGGGGGTGACCGAGTGACTTTCAAAGGGGCTTGAAATGCGTAGCCGGCCCCTCCCCCCGAGGAGGGGGCCCTGCTTCCTCCCGGCCTAATGATATTCTGGGCTCAGCCCTCGTCTTTGGCGGCAGTTTAACCCGAGCCGGGGCGGATTTCTTTCTCACTGATCTCAGCTTGACACCCAATTAGCACAAGAATGGGAGGAGGAAGCCTGCGAGAGGCGCCTCCCAGCCTCCCGGGGCGCGCGAGGGGAGCAGGCGGGAAGACAAAGGACAGCAGGCAGGGGGGCACCCGCGCCCTCGCCTCCCCAGCCGACCCTGCCATTGTCTCCCTGCGAGCTTCAGAGAGGACGGAGGCCTACGCCCGGGCTGGCCGGCCTGCTGGAGGGAACAGGGAATGGGGCCCAAGCCCCTGTTCTGTGTGGACCCAAAGGGAAAGCATTTGGGTGAGGCTAGTCCAAGGGGAGGCAGTGAGGTCAGTGCATAAGGGGCAGGGATCCCGAGGACACAAAAGCCTGGGGCTGAGGCCTTACGGGGGCTCAGGCAAGCCACCCATTCGGAGTCTCGGTGCTCTCATCTGAAAAAGGGATCACAAAGAGTCCCTGTGAGGAGTAAATTAGGGGGTGCATGTAATGCACCTGGCAGGTGCAAAGTGGGCGTGCAATAAATACTATTTGAAAGATTATGGGTGTTAAGCTAATATTGTTACTAACTAAAGGATGGAGTGGGGTAGGCTTGGGTTAGAAGGAAGGACTTTATCAGTGATAGCTGGGCATCCACAGAGTGGGCTGGTTTACCCAAAGAGCTCACCAATCTCTGGGCTGTGCCAGGAGAAGCTGGAGGACCACCTGCCTGGGAGATTCCAGTAGGGAGGGAGTGTCTCTGGCCCCGTGCATAGACTCCCAACACCTCCTTTAGACTTGGGCTTCCATGTGACTTCCTGTGGGAAGCCTTCCCGGACCCCAGGACTAAGTTGGGGACCTCCTCTGGTTCCCACAGGCCCCGTGTTCTCCCTCCATACCATGGATTGCTCTGTCTTCTGTGGTTCCCTCTATGTGGTCTCCTTGAACATCAGCCCCAGGAGGGCAAGGAGACCCACAGGTTTTGGGGTTTGTTTTGTTTTGAGTTGGAGCCTGGCTCTGTCGCCCAGGCTGGAGTGCAGTGGCGAAATCTCGGCTCACTGCAACCTCCCCTTCCTGGGTTCAAGCGATTCTCCTGCCCCAGCCTCCCAAGTAGCTGGGATTACAGGTGTGCTCCACCACACCTGGCTAATTTTGTGTTTTTAGTAGAGATGGGGTTTCGCCATGTCCAGGCTGGTCTCAAACTCCTGACCTCAAGTAATCCACCCACCTCTGCCTCCCAAAGTGCTGGGATTACAGCGTGAGCCACCATACCTGGCCTACCGACAGGTTTTTTTTTTTTTTTCGTGGTGGTGGTTTGTTTTGTTGTTGTTTTTTTGTTTTGTTTTGTTTTTGAGACGGAGTCTCGCTCTGTCACCCAGGCTGGAGTGCAGTGACGCGATCTCGGCTCACTGCAAGCTCCGCCTCCTGGATTCACGCCATTCTCCTGCCTCAGCCTCCCGAGTAGCTGGGACTACAGGTGCCCGCCATCACACCCGGCTAATTTTTTTTTGTATTTTTAGTAGAGACGGGGTTTCACCGTGTTAGCCAGGATGGTCTCGATCTCCTGACCTCGTGATCCGCCCGCCTCAGCCTCCCAAAGTGCTGGGATTACAGGCGTGTGCCACCGCACCCGGCCAACTGACAGGTTTTGTTCATCATTGTGTTCCCAGCAGCAACACTGGCCCTGGTGTGTAATAGGTTCTCAGTGAATGTTTGTCAGGTGGATGAAGCTCTTCAAATGCTCCCAAGTGCTCCATTCCAGCTCTGGGAGGCAGTTTCCAGGTCAGGGGACACTGAGGTGGGTTGGAATCAGAGGCTGTAAAGGGCTCTGTATGCCTTCTAGGTAGGCCCTTAGCTTGTTGGCAAAGGGAAGCCATTAAGTGACTTTGAGCAGGGGACTGATATCATTCATTCATTTACTCATTCAGCAAGCTCTTGGCAAACCCCTATAGAGTACAAAGTTCCGCACTACCTGCTATAATCAAAGATGAATCAGGAAAAGTTTCTGCCCAGAAGGAGCTTAGAGTACAGTAGAAGAATCTTAGAATATGTTTGCATAGAAGACCTTAGAAGATCATTTGGTCCCAAACCTCTTCACAGAATAGGGAAACTGAGTTCCACAGAGGGGTGGGTCACATGGCACGGTGAGGATGAGGCCTTTCTGTGTACCACGTGAGTCCTCCACTTTCCAAGGACCAGGGCAGTGTCTCATTTGTCCTTGTTTTATAGGAACAGGGCCTGGCACATTGAAGGGGCTCAAAGCTGTCCGTGGAGTTGATCTGTACAATGAAGCCAAGGCCAGAGGAGGTGGGAGGCAGGCAGGCCAGAGAGGAAGCAGGTGCAGGTGAGGTGATGAGCTGGAGGACTGGGGGGGCATGCCAGATTAGAAGGGAGACTCGGCTGGGCGCAGTGGCTCACGCCTGTAATCCCAGCACTTTGGGAGGCTGAGGCAGGCAGATCACGAGGTCAGGAGATTGAGACCATCCTGGCTAACATGGTGAAACCCCATCTCTACTAAAAACACAAAAAATTAGCCAGGCCTGGTGGCGGGCGCCTGTAATCCCAGCTACTTGGGAGGCTGAGGCAGGAGAATGGCGTGAACCCGGGAGACAGCTTGCAGTGAGCTGATATCGCACCACTGCCCTCCAGCCTGGGCGACAGAGTGAGACTCCGTCTCAAAAAAAAAAAAAAAGAAGGGAGACTCATCCAAATTTGGTGACTGTTTGGATATGAGAGAGGGAAAATTAGGGTAATTTGGGTGTTTACTTGGGTGTTTTGGTGGGTGGTAGTGGTATTCCTGAGATGGGGAACACAGAACCTGTTTTGTTTTGTTTGTTTTGAGACGGAGTCTAGCTCTCTTGTTGCGCCACTGCACTCCAGCCTCCCGGGTTCAAGCAGTTCTCCTGCTTCAGCCTCCCAAGTAGCTGGGATTACAGGTGTGCACCACCATGCCCAGCTAATTTTTCTATTTTTAGTAGAGATGGGTTTCACCATGTTGGCCAGGCTGGTCTCGAACTCCTGATCTCAAGTGATCCACCTGCCTCAGCCTCCCAAAGTGCTGGGATTACAGGTGTGAGCCACTGCGCCCGGCTGAGAGAACCTGTTTTAGGAAAGAGTCACTGTGCCAAGAACTTACTCACTCCTCACTACAACCTTATGGGGTTGGGATGTTATTATCCCCATTTTACAGATGAGGAAACTGAGGCGCAAAGCTGTTAAGGGACTTGCCCAAAGACACAGCTAGAAAGTAGTAGGACCTAGATATATTAATTTTTAATTTTAATTTTTATTTCAGACAGTCTCACTGTCACCCAGGGCTGGAGTGCAGTAGTGTAACCTCCGCCTCCCAGCTTGTGCCTCAGCCTCCTGAGTAGCTGGGACTACAGGTGTGTGCCACCATGCCTGGCTTTTGGTAGAGATGGGGTTTCATCATGTTGCCCAGGCTGGTTCTGAACTCCTGGCCTCAAGCAATCCATCCACCTTGGCCTCCCAAAATGCTGGGATTACAGGCGTGAGCCACTGTGCCTGGCCAGGGCCTGCATATAAAGCTGGTAGTTGTACTCCTAGATCTTTACAAAAAAAATTTTTTTTAAATTAAAAATTCTTTGGCCAAGCCAGGTGCAGTGGCTCACACCTGTAATCTCAGCACTTTGGGAGGCCAAGGCGGGCAGATCACCAGGTCAGGAGTTCGAGACCAGCCTGGCCAATATGGTGAAACCCCATCTCTACTAAAAGTACAAAAATTAGCCAGGATGATGGCGCAAGCCTGTAGTCCCAGATACTCGGGAAGCTGAGGCAGAAGACTCTCTTGAACCTGGCAGGCAGAGATTGCAGTGAGCCGAGGTCATGCCACTGCACTCCAGCCTGGGTGACAGAGCAAGAATCTGTCTCAAAAACAAAACAATTTTTTTTTGGCCCAGTGTGGTGCCTCACACCTGTAATCCCAGCACTTTGGGAGGCCAAGACAGGCAGACTGCTTGAGCCCAGGAGTTTGAGAGTAGCCTGGGCAACATGGTGAAAACATGTCTCTACAAAAAAATTTTAAAAATTAGCCGGGCATGGTGGACTAGAAGGAAGGAAGGACTTTATCAGTGCCTGTGGTCTCAGCTACTCTAGAGGCTGAGGCAGGAGGTTCCCTTGAGTCCAGCAGCTCAAGATTACAGTGAGCTGTGATCATGCCATTGCACTCCGGAGTCTCACTCTGTCATGCAGGCTGAATGCAATAGCATGATCACGGCTCACTGCAGCCTTGACCTCCAGGCTCAGGTGATCCTCCCCTCACAGCCTCCTGAGTAGCTGGGACAGGCACACTCCACCATGCCTGGCTGATTTTTGAAGAAACATTTACAGACATAGGGACTTGCTGTGTTGCCCAGGCTGGTCTCAAACTCCCAGCCAGAAGCAGTCCTCTTGCCTTGGCCTCCCAAAGCATTGGGATTACAGGTGTGAGTCGCCACACCCATTCCACCTGAACTCCTAGATCTTAACTATTACATCATTCTGCCCTTAACCACTAGGCTACACCATCATCCTCTACCAATGCTGAGTTCAGTTTTGGAAGTGTTGGTGTTTAGATACCCATAGGCCGTCTACTTCATTCCATTTCTTTTTTTTAGCGTCTCACTCTGTCGCCCAGGCTGGAGTCCAGTGGCACGATCTCGGCTCACTGCAACCTCTGCTGCTTCCTGGGTTCAAGGGATTCTCCTGCCTCTGCCTCCAGAGTAGTTGGGATTACAGGAGACTGCCACCATGCCTGGCTAATTTTTGTATTTTTAGTAGAGACAGGGTTTCACCATGTTGGCTAGACTGGTCTTGAACTCCTGACCTCGTGATCCGCCCATCGTGGCCTCTCGAAGTGCTAGGATTACAGGCATAAGCCACTGTGCCTGGCCAACTTCATTCCATTTCTGCCCTGGGCTTTTTTTTTTTTTTGAGACAGAGTCTTGCTCTGTCACCAGGCTGGAGTGCAGTGGCTCGATGTCAGCTCACTGCAACCTCCACCTCCCGGGTTCCAGCGATTCTTCTGCCTCAGCCTCCCGAGTAGCTGGGACTACAGGCGCACGCCACCACATCCAGCTAATTTTTGTATTTTTTTAGTAAAGACAGGGTTTTGCCATGTTGGCCAGGATGGTCTTGATCTCTTGACCTCGTGATCCGCCTGCCTCGGCCTCCCAAATTGCTGGGATGACAGGCGTGAGCCGCCGCGCCCGGCCTGCCCTGAGCCGCCGCGCCCGGCCTGCCCTGAGCTTTTGCAACAGGCTCCAGTGGTCTCCGTGTCTCTTTCCTTATTCCCCTCAAATCATTCTCCATATTGCAGCCAGAAATTATATTTTAAAACACAATTCTAAAATGTCACTGTCTCCCAAAACCCTTCAGTAGTCTCCCACTGCTCCTAGAGACTGAAATGTTTACCTGCTTACAAGGCAGGGGTTGGCCCCTGAGCACCTTTGCAGCTCCCTCTCTAGATGGATGAAAGTCAGGCTCCCTAACTTCCACCTTCCTCTCCATGTTCCAGCATGTTCTCACCCAGAGCCTCTGGGCCTTTTGTCCTCCTCACTGGAATGCTCCTAGAGGTTTCTCTCCCCTCACAGCCACCTAGTTTACTCAGGTTTTAGAGCCCAGCAAGTCCAGTCTACTCAGTTTTCTTTTTGAAGTTCCTATAACTTCAGTTCCTTTATTTAAGTTTGAGGTTGTACATGTCTTAGTATGCTTATTTGATTACAGTTAGTCTCCCCGCTAGACTGTGAGTGCCCTAAAGGCAGGAACCTTGCCCATCCCCTTTACCACTAGCACCGATCAAAATGCCTGGCACAGGGAGGCGCAATGAACAGCTGTTGAACGAGTGACTTCCAAATCGACAGCAAAGGGGGCGGCTGGATAGCGAGTCGCCCGCTCAGGAGAGATTCTGGGTCGGAAATAAAGATCTGGGAGTCATTTATAATTCCAACCAGACGAGTAGATGGGCTGGCCCAAGCGGTGTGTAGACTGAAGAGATTCTAACTCATGCAAGATAAGCAGCTACGTGGCTCACGGTCACGTCGCAAAAAACCTGGGGGCTCTCCTCCGCCTGCTTGTGGTCCCGTACAAGGCGCTTCCCACCCTGGGTCTCTGAGCCCAGTCGGTGAAAGACGGAAGGAGACCGATTCACAGCCCCAACAGCGCCGGTGATAGTCCCTCTGCCACCCCTTTCCCTCCGCTGCCCTCCCCTCCCCTCCCCTCCCCTCGATGACTTCCTCCAACAGCTGACGAAGCTGGATCCCTGGGCACCGCCTCTTCCGTCCGCGGCACCCGGAGACGCCCGGAAATTTGCGGGCGCGCCGGAAGTTGAGGGGAGTTTCCTGCGAGCTCGGCTTCCTCAACATGGCTGCGCCCTTGTCAGTGGAGGTGGAGTTCGGGTGAGTCACAGAGCTGGGGCGCCGTGGGGATGGATTGAAGTCGTCGGGCCCAGAATTCCTTTCCTTCTGCCGTGGGGCCTGACACGGCCGAATCACTGGGTGTCCCAGTGCCCGCTGTGAGCTACGCTACCCGCCTAGGAGAGTCTGAGAGGCCAGTCTCTCTTGGCAGTGAGGCCGTCTGTCCGGAAATAGAGGCGCACATTGGGAGGGAAATGCTCTCTGTGTACCACTCGGTGCCCTGTGCTCCGCCGGAGTCGGAGGTCGTGACTGTTAGCAGGCAGCCTCTCTCTCTTCTTTTCCATTCCTATCTCGGACCAATCCCATCTGTTTGGCATCTGAGCTCCTAGAACCTAGAAGGACCACCCTCCACCCGCTGATTTCATTCTTTGGGCAGCAGTTTCTTTTTACACTGTTATTAAGGTCTTGTTTCTCGTGGGATGTAGTGGCCAGGGCGGGACTTTTTTCTTTTTCTTTCCTAAGACTTGGGGATGGTAAACAGACCTGAGCCTCCTTCAGGACAGTCAGTAAACTTGCTGATTGCCTTCTGCAGAACTGGAGTCAGGTGGAGACACGGGGACAAATAAGAAATCACACTGAAGGGAACTAACAGGGACAGTATAGTATACACAAGATGAAAAATGCAGAGATTGGGACACACACCAGTTACTGAAGAAACACAGAGCAGGGAGGAAGTCTACCCAAGGCACTATTTGTGCTTCCTACAAACAGGTTTGTCATATGGTTTCAAAGCTGAGGGAAACTGCAGAGCTTAGAGAGAAGGCAAAGAAACAGGCCTTGAAAGATGGGTGGTGTACTTTACAGTATCACGTGGAAAAGAGGAAATAGGTAGGGATGTGTGTGTGTGTGTGTGGAATAGGTAGGTGTGTGTGTGTGCCTGTGTGTGTGTAGATAAGCCAAGGTCTATGTGACAGGAAAAGTCTGGGATGGGAATCTAAAACCTCTGCCCAGTGCCTTTCTTCTCATTGGATGCCTCCCATTTCTTTCATGTTTTCCCTTAATTGGGTAGTTCATTCACCAGCCATTTATTGAGTGCCTACCATGTGCCGGGCAGCAAGCCAGACACTGAGGATACAAAGATAAATAGAAGTCTGTCCGTGCCCTACAGCGTTCAGCATTTCTGCCCCTTAGAAGGGGGGTAAGTCTCATGACTAAGTGCATTTTAATTGATATTGTCTGGCTGCTTGGATCCAATTAGAACTGTATTGGTCTGGACTCCTCACTGTTTTGCCTCACTGACCCTTGGCCCAGCTACACTCCCCAAAGCCTGGGATTCTAGGAGGATCCCTGCTTCCTTGACAGGCCTCAGCAGAGCTGGAAAGAGAGAAGCCACAGACTGCTGTGTTAAGATTTATCTGGGCCAGGCATGGAGGCTCATGCCTGTAATCCTAGTACTTTGGGAGGCTTGGGCAGGAGGACTGCTTGAGCCCAAGAATTCGAGACCAGCCTTGGCAACATGGGGAGACTTCATCTCTACCAAAAAAAAAAAAAAGAAGATTTATCTGCAGACAACTTGCCTTTCATCCTCATGAGTCAGACATGGTCTTTGTTTATCAACAATGTCTCTGCTAGGTACTGTGCTAGCTCAGTGGGGAAGTCATGTGAGGAAGATGGGGCCATTGCTCTCCAGAGCTTACAAACCAGCACAATTGCCCTTTTTCTGACCCAATCATCTCTAACTTCAGTCTCCCTTACCTCCAAGAGCAATAATGACCCCTGGCAAGGCAGGACAACATTCCTCCACCCACCCACCCACCCACCCACCTTCTATCACCTCCTGTCACAGCACAGCGTTCCATGAAAATTGCAGCATTCTCAGGAATGCCCAACATGATGCTCAACCCAGGTTCCTTCTCTCTTTGTCCTTGTGTTGATGCACGTTTTTGCCCTGACCTTTCTTTCATTTCCTATGTATCTTAGCAGACATGATTCACCCTTATCCAGAACTGGAGCAAATTTGCAAAGGCTAACACGCCCTTCATTTTCTCTCTTTTGTCCCTTAGTGGCCCCACTCCCACTCCAGTTCTGGAAGGGTCTCCCTCCTGAGCAGATGTAGTCCTCTTGGCCCCACCAGCTCCTCCAGAGACCCTCTGGAAGGCCTCTAACACCTTCCTTCTTGTCAGTGACCACGTCTGCCACCCTTTGTCTTCCCCCTGAATTGTTCTCAGCAGAGCGTTTTCTCAGGTCACGCAGGATTCAAAGTATGTAATATAGTTGTGTTTTGTGTCCCTGTGGTCCATGTTGTAAAGGCCCAGATATGGAGTTCTCTCCGTCCCACCCCTCTTCCTCCTTCCCAAGTTGGGGAGGTATTGGCAAAAGGAGGGAATGTCATTGAGGTCAGAGAAGAACTGGGAGAAATGGGCATTTCCTTTCCTTTAGCAGATATTTGTTGAGTGTCTACCATGTGCCAGGCCCTGTTTTAGGCAGAGCTTGCAGCCCAGCAGGTGGAGAGGAAGTAAATAAACAAAATATATATATACGTGTATATGTATGTGTATATACAGAAGATTAAAAGATGAAGATACATCAGAAAAGGTGAAGGTGGTTTTGAGAATATCTATACCTGTCACTGGTATCTACAAACACATCCACCAAGAATTGGGGGGGTTGAAGGAAGATGGAGATATGTCAGTTGAGTTTGAATAGCAGATCTTATAAGACATAAGAGAGTCTGGCCTTGGTCTCTCCTGGGCTAGAACAGGCCCCTTGTCTGCCTCCCTGAATCACTCTTGAGGCTGGGCATGCACCTTCCCCCACTCCAGATGTGCTGACAGCAGAAATGCCAACCCCTCCCTTGAGGGCCAGTGAATTCAGCAGTGACAGGTCACTCTCTGAGCGAGACTGGTTCTCCCTTCATCCGCTTGTAAAGGGAAAAACAGCCTCGGCCTCTGAGCCTGGCACCACCAGGTTTGGCCAGTCTTGGTTGTTTGCCTAAGTCCCAGTGCCTTCAGTTCCCATCCCTCTTCTCTGACCCCCAACTCCTGAGCCCCTTGCCTGTCACCCTCCCCCACCCCAGCTGCTGCATGTGCCAACCCCCCACCCAGGAGAAAACGAGGCTCTTGGAAGGGAATAAATGGAGGCTCTGTGCAGGCTTGCAGCTGAAATGGCCCTGTGCGCGGCCACAGATGGGCCTCCTCTCCCCCTCCACATTTCTGCATCAACAAAGCGTGACCTTGTTTGGATGACAGTCGCCCCATGTTTTCCCCATGACAATGCTTGCCTTGCCTTTGCCTCCCAGCGGGCTGTCTCAGGACATCTCTGTTCCCTGAAATTGGGAAAGGGTGGTGGGGTGGAAGACATCTCATTCTTCAAAAGTCTGGTGAGGCCTTTTCAGTTAAGATCCACAAGAAGTCTGAGATGGGAATTGGGAGACCCAGAGGGAGAAGCAGCATGGGGCGCTGAAAGAGCCCTGGCGCTCATCTCAGAAGCCTCAGCTTCTGGACTTGGCTCCAATCATCTCTGCAGTCCCCGCCTTCCCTTGGCCAGGTGCTGGGACACAGAAATGAACCAAACTCTGCCCTCAAGAGGCTTTCTGACCTTTGGGAAGTCCTGTTTTTTTCTGACCAGTCTGCTGGTGCTAAGCAGGAATCAGTTAGACTGAAATTATAGTTCAGCCCCTGCCTCTCTAACCTTGGACAAGTTGGTTGCTTAACCTCTCTAGGCTTGAGTCTGCTTTTCTATCAAAGTGAGCAAATAATATCTACCTCCTTCCTTCTTCCCTGGGACTCCCTGAGGATGAAATGAGATGAGGAACATCTTATAAATGGTGAGGCGATGTGAACAGTTGTTCTTAGTTGATGCCAGGCCTCATGGACTCTCTCAGCCTCCAGCACTGTGATGTACCCACCAGGTCAGCAGCAGGTGGCATGGGCAGGAGCATTCAAACCATCATCTGGCCAGAGGAAACCCCTAGATGCACAGGGTCTCCAGAGTGCCTCACAGTGGCTCCCCAACATTTTTCCAGATGGAAAGACTGAAGCTTAAGATTGAGTCAAGGCCAGGCATGGTGGCCCACACCTATAATCCCAGCACTTTGGGAGGCTGAGGCAGAAGGATTGCTTGAGCCCAGGAGTTCAAGACCAGCCTGGGCAATAGAGTGAGACCTCACTATGTTATAAAATATTTTTAAATTATTATTAGTTTTGAGATAGGGTCTCACTGTGTCGCCCAGGCTGCAGTACAGTGGCATGACCTTGGCTAACTGCAGCCTCAACCTCCCAGGTTCAGGTGATCCTCCCACCTCAGCCTCCCAAGTAGCTGGGACTACAGGCGCACACCACCATGCCCACCTAATTTTTGTAGTTTTTGTAGACACAAGGTGTTGCCATGTTGCCCAGGCTGCTCTTGAACTCCTGGACTTAAGCAATCCTCCCTCGCCTCTCAGCCTCCCAAAGTGCTAGAGTTACAGGTGTGAGCCACTGTGTCTGGCCCCCAAAGTATTTTAATAACAAAGAAAAAAGAAGATTGAGTCACACATCTAAGGTCTCAACATAGGGAGAGGTGGAGCCTGGGCTTCACATCGGGGCCGGCAGCTCCAAAGGCTGTGTTCTGCACCTGTGTGGTAAGCTGCCTCTCTAGAAGGCAGAGGAGTAAAAACAAGAGTCGGCAAATTTGGGTACTTGATTTTTTTTTTTTCTTTTTAAATAATTAGAGACAGAGCCAGGCATGATGACTCACAACTCTAATCCCAGCACTTTGGGAGGATTGCTTGAGCCCAGGAGGTCAAGACCAGCCTGGACGACATAGGGAGACCCTGTCTCTACAAAAAATAAAAATAAAATTAGGCAGGTGTGGTGACACGTGCCTGTGGTCCCAGCTACCTGGGGGCTGATGTGGGAGGTTTGCTTGAACCCAGGAGGTTAAGGTTGTATCAAGCTGAGATCACGCTACTGCACTCCAGCCTGGGTGACAGAGTGAGACCTTGTCTCAAAAAATAAATAAATAGGCCAGGCACGGTGGCTCACGCCTGTAATCCCAACACTTCGGGAGGCTGAGGCAGGTGGATCACGAGGTCAGGAGTTCAAGACCAGCCTGGCCACAATGGTGAAACCCTGTCTCTATTAAAAAAAAATACAAAAATTAGCCAGGTGTGGTAGCACGTGCCTGTAATCTCAGCTACTCTGGAAGCTGAGGCAGAGGATTGCCTAAACCCAGGAGGCGAAGGTTGCAGTGAGCCAAGATCGCACTACTGCACTCCAGCCTGGGCGACAGAGCGAGACTCTGTCTCAATAAATAAATTTTTTTAAAAAGTAAAATAAAATAATAAAAATAGGCCAGGCACAGTGACTCATGCTTCTGATTTCAGCACTTTGGGAGGCCAAGGCAGGGAGATTACTTGAGCTCAAGAGTTCGAGACCAGTCTGAGCAACATGGCGAAATCCCATCTCTACAAAAAGTACAAAATTAGCTGAGTGTGATGCCATGCACCTGTAGTCCCAGCTGCTTGGGGGTCTGATGTGGGAGGATTGCTTAAGCCTAGGAGGTCAAGCCTGCAGTGAGCTGTGATTGTGCCACTGAACTCCATGCTGGGTGACAAAGCAAGACCTTGTCTCAAAAATAAATAGATAATAATTTCCCGGGTGCCTAATGATAATAATAATTACATAGAGACAGGGTCTTGCTATGTCACCAAGGCTCTATTTCACTGAGGCTCATCTCAAACTCCTGGCCTCAAGCAGTCATCTCGCCTTGGCCTCCCACAGTGCTAGGATTCCAGGTGTGAGCCACCACACCTAGCCGGTACTTGATTATTAGTAAAAATTATATCCTACCTTGCCACATTAGAAGTCATATTTAGGAATTGGTCACTGGGTCTGGGCAGAGTGGCTTGTGCCTGTAATCCCAGTGCTTTGGGAGGCTGAAGTGGGAGGATTGCTTTAGGCCAGGAGTTTGAGATCAGCCTGGGTAACATAACAAGACTCCATCTCTACAAAAAATTTAAAGATTAACCTGATATGGGCCAGGCGCGGTGGCTCATGACTGTAATTCCAGCACTTTGAGAGGCCAAGGTGGGCGGATCACCTGAGGTCAAGAGTTTGAGACTAGCCTGGCCAACATGGTGAAACCCTCTGTCTAAAAATACAAAACTTAGCCAGATGTGGTGGCTCATGTCTGTAGTCCCAGCTACTCGGGAGGCTGAGGCACGAGAATCACTTGAACCTGGGAGGCGGAGGTTGCTGTGAGCTGAGATCACACCACTGCACTGCAGCCTGGGCAACAGAGTGAGACTAAACAGAGTAAAATAAAATTAAATATAAACATAAATATTAATATAAAAAGTAGCCTGATATGGTGGCATGCACCTGTAGTCCTAGCTACTTGGGAGGTTGAACAGGAAGGTCTCTTGAACCCAGGAGTTCAAGGTTACAGCGAGCTATGATTGCACTGCTGCATTCCAGCATAGGCGACAGAGTAAGAACCTGTCTCTAAGAAAGAAAGGGGGAGAAAAAGAATTAGTCACTGCACCCAAGGTGTTTCTGCACCTTAGTCTCTGCTTCTCTCGGCCTTCATTACCAGCCCTATCCTCAGTTTTCTGTTTCCGCTACCTCTTCCTATTTGCAGGAGCTCACCTGGCTGTCTTTTTCTCTGGTCCTCCTTTGCAGAGGTGGTGCGGAGCTCCTGTTTGACGGTATTAAGAAACATCGAGTCACTTTGCCTGGACAGGAGGAACCCTGTGAGTATTGGCTTTCTGAACCCCTCTCTTGGGGCCATTGAACAGGAGTTGGTCCATGGGGAACACTCAGCCCCGTTCAGGCCTGTGTTCTGCATCCGTGTGCTAAGCTGCCTCTCTAGCAGGCAGAGGAATAAAAACAAGAGTCTACACGGCTGGGCCGGGTGGCTCATGCCTGTAATCCCAGCACTTTGGGAGGCCAAGGTGGGTGGATCACAAGGTCAGGAGTTCGAGACCAGCCTGGCCAACATGGTGAAATCCTGTCTCTATTAAAAATACAAAAATTAGCTGGGCATGGTGGCGCGTGCATGTAATCCCAGCTACTCAGGAGGCTGAGGCAGGAGAATTGCTTGAACCGGAACCTGGGAGGCGGAGGTTGCAGTGAGCCGAGATCATGCCACTGTACTCTAGCCTGGGCGACAAAGCAAGACTCCATCTCAAAAAAAAAAAAAAAAAAAAAAAAAAAAAACTTGTTAATCTTTCTTGAACAAATATACACTGAGCACCTTCTGTGTAGCAGACCATGTGCTGATCACTGTGGAGACAGACATGAACAAAAGCCAGTCCCAGGCCAGGTGTGGAGGCTCACACCTGTGATCCCAGCACTTTGGGGGGCCGAGGCGGACGGATCACTTGAGACCAGGAGTTCTAGACCAACATGGCGAAATCCCATCTCTACTAGAAATACAAAAAATTAGTCACGCATAGCGGTGCGCGCTTGTAATCCCAGCTACTCAGGAGGCTGGGGCAGGAGAATTGCTTAAACCTGGGAGGCAGAGGTTTCAGTGAGCCGAGATCGTGCCACTGCACTCCAGCCTGGGTGGCAGAGCAAGATTCTGTCACCAAAAAAAAAAAAAAAAAAAAGAATGAACTTGCAGATCTTTGGCTGGGTAACTGTCAGGATAGCCTAGGGGCTGGGGACCGGATATGGCAGGTGTTCACTGTAACCTTAGCAGTGGGTTCTAGCAAGGGCTCAGGGATGGGATTCCAGTCTCCACCTATGACTGAGATACTTCTGGGGAGAAGAGGGCATCAGTTATATTAAGAGACAGGAAATGAGGTTCCTGGAGGTGGGCGGTAGAAAATGGTCAAGTCAGGCCGGACGTGGTGGCTCACACCTTTAATCCCAGCACTTTGGGAGGCTGAGGCGGGCAGATCACGAGGTCAGGAGTTCCTGACCATCCTGATCAACATGATGAAACCCCGTCTCTACTAACAGTACAAAAATTAGCTGGCGCAGTGGCAGGCATCTGTAATCCCAGCTACTTGGGAGGCTGAAGCAGGAGAATTGCTTGAACCTGAGAGGCAGAGGTTGCAGTGAACCAAGATCGCACCATTGCACTCCAGCCTGGGCAACAAGAGCAAGACTCCGTCTCAAAAAAAGAAAAAGAAATAAGAAAATAGGCCAGGTGTTGGCTGGGCACGGTGGCTCACGCCTGTAATCCCAGCACTTTGGGAGGCCAAGGCGGGTGGATCACGAGGTCAGGAGTTCAACACTAGCCTGGCCAAGATGGTGAAACCCCGTCTCTACTAAAAATACAAAAAAATTAGCTGGGCGTGGTGGCATGCGCCTGTAATCCCGGCTACTCTGGAGGCTGAGGCACGAGAATTGCTTAAACCTAAAGGGGCGGAGGTTGCAGTGAGCCGAATCATGCCACTGCACTCCAGCCTGGGCAACAGAGCGAGACTCCATCTCAAAAAAAAATAAAATAAAATAAAATAAAATAAACCAGGCACAGTGGCTCATGCCTGTAATCCTAACACTTTGGGAGTCTGAGGTAGGAGGATTACCTGAGCCCAGGAGTTTGAGACCAGCCTGGGTAACATGGCAAAACCTGGTCTTTACAAAAAAATAAAAAATTAGCCAGGCATAGTGGCATGCACCTGTGTTCCTAGCTGTTTTAGAAGCTGATGCTGAAGGATTGCTTGAGCCCAGGAGATCGAGACTACAGTGAGCTATGATCACACACTGTTCTTCAGCCTGGGTGCCAGAGTGAGACCCTGTCTCAAAAGAAAAAAAAAATACATAAGCAGAATATGTATGGGGAGAAAAAAAGAAAATGGTCAAGTGAGATTTGGCAGGATTCTTCTGGAACTGGACACACATCTGCCAGGAATCAATTATTATTGCTCAGATTCACTGGCTGCCGCACCTCTCTGTCCCTCCCTCAGGTTGGAGAGCAGTGGCACAGGGTGGGGTCTGTCTGCCACACGTGGAGGCTGGGGGGGGGACACTTACTGAGGAGCAGGTCACTGCCCACATTGAGCTGGGAGGGGATATGTGGCTGGGGTTTCATGTCAGGATTGTGTGTCCCTGGTCGAGGAAGACATGGGGTGCTAAAGGTGACTGTTTCTTAGTTTGACAGATGGCCATGCAGCCTTGGGAGGGCACATGGTGCTCTCAGAAGAAGCTTCTCAAAGATTCAGTCTCAAAGACCTTGCCTGGAAGTTTATTAAAATATCACAAGTTATTATTTATTTCCTGTGGAGTTTGTCTGACATGAAAACCCACAAATTTTCTTTTTTTTTTCTTTTCTTTTTTTTTTTTTTGAGATGGAGTCTCGCTCTGTCTCCCAGGCTGAAGTGCCGTGGTGCAGTCTCAGCGCGCTGCAACCCCCACCTCCTGGGTTCAAGCAATTCTCCCACCTCAGCCTCCCAAGTAGCTGGGATTACAGGCAGGCACCACAACACCTGGCTAATTTGTGTATGTTTTTTTTTGTTTGTTTTGTTGTTGTTTTTGAGACGTAGTCTCGCTCTGTTGCCCAGGCTGGAATGCAGTGGCGCGATCTTGGCTGACTGCAAGCTCCGCCTCCCGGGTTCACGCCATTCTCCTGCCTCAGCCTCCCAAGTAGCTGGGACTACAGGTGCCTGCCACCACGCCCGGCTAATTTTTTGTATTTTTAGAAGAGACGGGGTTTCACCATGTTAGCCAGGATGGTCTCGATCTCCTGACCTGGTGATCCGCCCGCCTCGGCCTCCCAAAGTGCTGGGATTACAGGTGTGAGCCACCGCGCCCAGCCCCAAAGTACTTTATTCTTTCATGTAGTTGGCAAATCTATTTTGAATGCCCTCTTTGTGCCATCACTGTACTAAGTTACTGGATATTCATTAGTGAGCAAAATAGATGTGGTCCTTGCCCTAGTAGAGTTAGCAGTGTAATGGGAGTGGAGCCAGGGAATAAACAAGTAAACAAATGAATGTATAACTGCGTCATTACAACTTTTAGTAACTGGCATGAGGAGAACCAAAGGGTACTTGAATAGGACTAATAGGTGGTCAGCAGAGGTCTCTTTAAGGAGGTAACATACCAAGGCCAGGTGCAGTGGCTCACTCCTGTAATCCCAGCACTTTGGGAGGCCAAGGTAGGCGGATCACCTGAGGTCTGGAGTTAGAGACCAGCCAGGCCAACATGGTGAAACCCTGTCTCTACTAAAAATACAAAAATAGCTGGGCATGGTGGTGGGCACCTGTAATCCCAGGTTGAGGCAGGAGAATCGCTTGAACCCTGGAGGTGGAGGTTGTATAGTGAGCCGAGATCGTGCCACTGCACTCCAGCCTGGGCGCAGAGCAAGACTCCGTCTCAAAAACAAAAAACAAAACAAATAAAAGGTAGAAACCAAAATTTAGAGAAGTCAGGGGTCTCACCCCAAGTCATAGAGTTATTTAAATAGCAGGGTTGGGATTCAGAACTAGCTTTCAGGCCACTGAATTTCAGAGTCCTGGCGCTTTGCCACTAACCCATCACCGTCTATCCCAAGAGGCTCCCTGAATTACTCTAACATCTTACATTTTCCAGTTTTTACGCTTTCCTTCATTTATTTATTCATGAGTTCAACAACTACTTATTTCAACTTTCAGATGACCCCAAGAGATAAGAGACCCCTAAAAGAGAAAGAGAAGGAGGGAGGGACCTGAGGCCTGCCCAGAGTTACCCAAGTAGGGAGGCTGGGCTGGGACTCAGATTTTTTTATCCTTCATCTTCCAGCCACTGTTCAGGGAACAGGCAGGGGCCTATCCCCACTCTGGGAAGAAAGGAGGGGAGTGGGAGGGAAGGCACAATGGCCCACTTAGTCTTTGGCTCCTTTGCTGTGAGTCCCTACACCTGGTTCCTGTTGTGCCCAGAGGCATGGGTCACACAGCAGACCCATGGTAACCTAGGTTGGTGACCTAGGTCACCAACAGAGCTGGTTAGCAGCTGCCAGGCCTCACCCTGGCACATGTGAGCCCAGCTGGGGGTCAGGGGCCTGGTGCTGCTAGGAGAGTCTTACCCTTCCCCCAAGTCCATGCCCAGATATGTCATCTGGCAGACTTCCCAGCCTAGGGGCTGCCACTTGGCCAAGCGAGTCTTGGAGGTTCCAGCAGAAATAATAGCAGCCGTAAGATTTCAGAATGTGACAAGCCTCACAAATGAGGGAACTCGTGGCTCCTAGGCCAGGGGAGAGCTTCCAACCCAGCCAATTTGGGAGAAATGATGAGCAAGGCCTGAGGGAGTGAGACTGCGAGAGAGGAAGCCTGGCACGCGCAGTTGCACATCACTTATTCCTGCCAGACTCTTTCTTCCCTATCTGTAAGATGGGAGGTTGGGCTCGCTCTGTATGTTATTGAGCTGGTTGTCTCTTTGACATCTATAAGAAAAGTTTCTTCAAGATCCAAGTATATACAATTCGGTGAAGCAGAGTGTGCTGACCCAGTAAGAAGTTGTGTGAGAGAAGGGATGTCTTAACAGCCATCTCGCTGAAACGGCCATGCAGGCACCCACCAGCTTAGGGTATTGCGGCTGCTGGGAGTTGGCCTCTGTGATTCAAGCATCCCTTTGACCCAAGGCCCCCTGCCCAGGCCCCAAGTGTAGACATGGCCGCCTCACCTTTCCCTGCCTGTCTTCCCCTGTCCTGCCTTTGTGCCCCCTCTGCCTGCTCCACTTGTGTTAAAGGGTGGCTGGTGAGGGAGGGCAGGAGCTGCAGGAGCTCCTGGGCGCTTTAAACTGCTTAGCATGCATTTCACAGCCTCTCTGGGGCCAGCTGTTCCTTTCTCTGCTCTCAGGGCCTGTTTGCTGATCCCCTCTCCACCTCCCTCCTCCCCACACCCCTCCCAGTCCCTGTGCAAAATTGCTTTTGAAAAGATCCACTTTCTGCTTAATTAAACAATGAGGAGGTCCCCTCGCACATCTGTAAACCTCCTTCTGAGGCCAGTTTAGCCCACAAACTGCTCCATTCTTACCCCCATTCACTTGTAAATGGCCCCTCTGATGTTCCCTCCACCCCCTCTCCTCTGTTACTCCCCCCTTGCCAGCTCTTTCTTTTCCCTTTTCAACTGAGGCCTGGGGTGGGCTCTCCGAAGAGCCGTCTTGGAGCCTGGTGGACTTGGTGGGGACAGAGGCAGTTTAACCTGTGGAAGAGAAGACTTAGGGGATCCTTTCTTCCAAATCTGAAGGGCCATCCTGGGGAAGAGGGGGTGCATTTGTTGGCATGGTCCCCGTGGACCATTCAGGCCCAGTGGGTGGGAATGACAGGAAGACAGATTTCTGCTTGGGAGAAAAGAGCTCTTAACAATCAGAGCCGCTCCACAGAGGAGCTGACCTCCTGTCCCTGGAGGTGTTCAAAGAGAGGCTGGATGAGGGTCTGTTACGCCTGCGAGTCAATATCAGATACGACTTTGAGGTTGTTCCGTTTCAGTCCCACGAGGCTGAGGCTGACACCCTTTGGGGCCCTCCCACAGTGGGCAGTCAGTGTCCCCCAGAATAGGACAAGTCCACCGGGGCGAGGGATTCTGGTGGAGCTTGCGTCGGTGCTCTCCACAGTGGGTATCCTCCCTTTGGCAGCAGCCTTTAGAAGGTACTGGAGCCCAGAGGATGAGGAATCTGAAGTCACTGTGGGCTTACAGCTCAGAGCAGCCATCTGTTGAGCGTGTCCTGTGTGTGTGACACTGCCAGGCCTGCCTTGGGCATTGTGCCTTACGTAATCCTCAGCAGCTCTTGGTGTTTGGATTATTATCCCTGCTTGTCAGAGGATGACACTGAGACAGCAAGATGAAGTGACTTCCTAGCTAAGGCCATCGAGCACACAGCCGAGGTCCTCTGGCTGTAGACTCAGAACTCAACCACTCCAGCATAGAGCAGCAGCTCTCATTGCCTGCTCTGCCCCCGATGGGCAGGCCAGGTGCCAAGGTATCCTGCACTGGAAACCTTGTATTAAGTGCCCATCTCCTTCCTCTGGTGCTGTGTGCCCGGGGGCAGCCTGGCCGCCAGCACCTACAGACTCAGAGTGTCATTCCTACCACCTGGGTTGTACTGGGAGCATTGGCCAACCCCAACATCTTGTGGGTTCAAACATCTAACACAGAAGGAAGGTCAGTATCTAGGACCCCTCACTACTCTCGCAGTCCCCTCATTCCCTTTCCAGCTTCTGATGGGAAGATACGGGATGCCACAGAAAACCCCAGCCGGTCCCAGCACTATCTGATTAATGGTTGGCTCTACCTTGCCCTCTAAAGCTGAGGTGCCAGGCCACTGGGCAGAGCGTGCAGAAACCCAGAGAGCGCGAGGGGTATAGGTTCTTCCTCTGGATCCTGGAGTAATTACAGCATTGATATGCAGGGCACAGTGCTGAGAGCTTTGTATATATCGTCTTATTTGATCCCCCACAATGACCCTATGAGACAATGTTAACATCCCCATTTTACAAAAAAAGGAAGCCGAGGCTTCCTATTACCTAAGGTAATAGAACTAGTAAGTGATGGAGTCCAGCTCAAAACCAGGCCTGTCTGACTCCAGGGTCCATACTCTTAGTCTCTTTCTTCCTCCCTCCTTCCCTCCCTACCTCCCCAGTTGTCCACTCAAGTAATGGTAATGGTAGTGCCATACATTTGAGCTGGATCGTGATTCAAGTGTTGAGTCAGAGACACATGGAAGCACAGGCCTGGGCAGTGGGGCCTGGTTCCCAGGAAGCACATACCTGGGAGATACCGCTGAGGTTCACTGGGAGGGAGAGGCCCCTACGGGAGCAGGCCCGTTCTCAAGGCCTGGCCCCATCTCCTGCTGAGCTTCTTACCTTCTCTGTTCTGCTGCCTTGAACCTGCCCATTCCATCCTGCCCCAGCCTTCCCATGTGTTATCCTTCTGTCCAGAATGCTCCCCACCCCACTCATCCTTCAGACCCGAGCTTCACTGTTTAACACCCTCAGTCAGGCCTCTCCTGATCCCAGATGAAGGAGATAGCATTTGTCACAACTAATTAAGTATGGTATGTCTCCCCTGCTGACCTCTAGCTCCCTGAGGGTAGGTAGCTCTGTTTCCCTCTTGCCCACTACCATCTCCCTAGCATCTTGCACATAGTAGCTGCTCAATAAATATTTTTCTCCTGCATGATCACACGGGATCCCAGGAGGGAGACCGCCCCTAGTAGGAGAGGGAAGACAAGAGGACACAGAGTGGGAAGGTGAAAGTGAGAGTCTCCAGCCCCTATCTATCACAGAGCCATCCATCCCCAAGCCACCAGCCCCTGACTCTGCTTAACCCTTCCTCCTCCCCTGGGCGCCTTTGGAAGCCGACCATCTGGCTTGGAGGCTATTTGCATATTGTCTGTGCCTCAGCAAGCCTAGCAAGATGTCCCTGGGGGTGTGTTTCAGGCCAGGCCGAGTGGCCCTTGCATCCTGCGAAGGGAGCCATGAGTTCCCCCTCTCCCCACCCCCAAATCCAGGCATGGGGGAACAATACGAGTGGCGATGCGGTAGCCTCACCATGGTAACAGGCTATCAAAAATGTGGGCAGGCCTGGGTGGGGGGCGGGCAGAAGAGGGAGGGAGTGACCTCAGCAAATAGGAGCATCATGATAAATGAGCCCGCACTGGGCAGCAGACTCATCCCCCAGCTTGTCCCTCTGGGACTCCATGCTGGTGCCATCGTTTGGATGACTCCACCATGACCACTAGCCCTTCCCCCACCCCCAGGCCTATCCAGAGTGGAGCAGAAGCACCTTCCCTTTGGAGGGAGTCAGGGCTGTCCCCTAATTGAGTCCTGGTTCCATGCAGGCCAGGCACTGCCCAGACCTTCTCGCCGCCTCCACACACACAGGCACACCCCCGCCCGCTAGGGCTGGCTGATGGATGTGTCAGACCCCGGTGGCTCTATCGAGCAGCCACAAGATGTATGGGTTGGCGGCCCACCAGACAGTACCAAGATGGAGGCCAAGGGGATTCAGAGCCAAGGGGAAACCTCTGAAACCCAGACCTCAGGGAGGAACCCAGCCAGGAGTCCAAGTGAGCTGCAGCTAGTTGGAGGCAGCATTTTCCCCATCCCATGCCTGCTCCAGGGACCGTGAAGACTCTGATCTGCTTTGTTTAAAAGGAGACATTAAAATGGAAAGGCGGCAGTCTCAGTCCATGGACACTTTGCCCGTGGCCCTGTGCTTTGCTGGCGTACGATCCAGGCAAGTTGGCACCAAGCAAAGTGGACCATCCAGGCTGCAGGCCTGTCAGAGCGAGGGGGCACGCGTGCCAGCCAGCGTGCCTTAACTCCCTGCCCAAGGCTGGGGCCGTGTGTGCGTGCCACACTGTGGGCCCAGACAGGGCAGAGCAAAGTCTCCCTGAGTCCTAGCCACCTTTCCCTTGCGTACACTCTGGACTCCAGGCAGGAAAATCAAGGCCTCACCTGGGACTTCTCCAGCTTAGCCCTGAGCTTTGTCTCAGGCATTAGTCCAGGACAGCAGACCCCTCTGGACGCTGACTCGGGATGGGGTGCTTAACCCCAACCTGTCTGCTGGCTTCCCAGAGGCGAGTTGTCTCCCTGGGACCTTTATCCTCAAGTCGTCTAAGAGAATGAGAAGGAACTCCTCAGCCTCAGGAGAATGGCCCTGTTTCGGGGGCGGACAGTTGAGGACCATAGGCTTCGAGGTGTTTATAGAGCCACATTTCTGTGTGCTGTGGCCCGATACTGCTGCCCCTAGGAAAGGACAGGTGACCCTGAAGACAGGTGGCTCTGAGCCTCCACATGACATACAAGGAGGCTGGTGGCTCCCCCAGAACCACAAGGAGGCAGATCTCAGTGTTAGCTGAGCTGGAGAGGCCCTGTCACCCGAACCTCTGGCCACCGCTGGCGCGGAGGGCTCTGGAAGCACAGGGTGGTGGCAGGGGAGTGGAGCAGGGATTTGTCAGCATCCCTAGCTGGTGAATGATCCTTCTCTCCCTCTGCCAGAGGAAATTAACTGATGTTATCAGCTCAGCAATTGTTTTTTTCCCCTCACAAAGGGAAATATATGCAGACCCCTCCAAGAGCAAAGCCGAATCCTCCCCATCTGCGACTGGCTGGAGAGATAAAGGTGGAGGGGGCTCTTCAAGGTCCTCTCAGAAGTCCAGCCATGGCAGTTGGAGACTGGCTTCCAGGACTTGTGGGTAGGGGCCTGTCTCCTAACCCTTTAGATGCGACAGTCCTCCCGCCGTCTGCCTTGAATCCCCCCACTATAGGTAAATCCCATTGCCTCTTCTCCAGGACTTCAGCAGTGCCAGGTGCAGCTTTCTCTGAAGATCCACCTGGCAAGTCACTGGCCTGTCCTAACCTGTTTCCTCACCTTTGGAATCTACAAGTTCATGGGCTATCACAGCCTGGTCTAAAAGAAGCCCTCTAAACACCGTGTGTATTTCCTTGTGGGCCAGGCAAGGCTCTGGGGGTGGGCAGGTGCTATTTGGGTTTGACAAGAGTTTGTTCTGTGCATTCCTTTCCAGGGGACATCCGGAACCTGCTCATCTGGATCAAGAAGAATTTGCTAAAAGAGCGGCCAGAGTTGTTCATCCAGGGAGACAGCGTGTGAGTCCCACTCCTCCCTTCCCTGAAGCAGGTGGAGGGAGGGACGGATATTTGAGCCCCCACCCTCGGGTTCAGTCCTGGCCTTCTCTGAATCCGGTTCTCCCCTTCCTCCTCCCTAACTCTTCCAGCTCTGAGATCTGTTTTCAGTTTTCTTGTTACTAAACCGAACTCTTGAGGATTTTTTAAATCCCAGATGAAAGGAGCCTGGTGAATTTCTCAGAAAACTTGGATTCTGCCCTCTGGTTGCCACAGACTTGCTGTGGGACCTTAGGCGACTTACTTCGCTTCTCTGGGCCTCAGTTACTCTCTACACAGAAAGTGCTGAGGAAAAAACGTAGCTAGTACAACTGAAGAGCTAAATATTCTGTTTTATTTCATTGTAATTTAAATAGCCACATGCAGCTAGTAGATTACCATACAGTGCAGCACGGGTCTAGAATTCCAAGGAGTCATTGACTCTGTGCGTGCACACACCCATGCACATGCACACACACTCACTGGGGACACCCCATAGAAGCCCAGTGCAGTCTCCTTGGAAAGGACCAGGTTCCAGTTGCCACGAAGTTACTTCTAAAACAAGGCCAGTCCCCCACGTGAAAGGTGGCCGGTGCAGTTGTGAGGCTCGCTTATTTGCCTCGAAGCATAGGTCACTGTCAGGTCCTAAGGGATCAGGCCTAGGGGATCAGCCCTCCTTCAGGTCATGGTCCAGTGGTCCTGGAGGCCACCTCTAAGGCCAGCAGTGCTCCTTGGGCCATTACCAGTGGGAGCCAGGCTAAGCTGCCTGACCAAATGTTGACCTACCCTGCCTTATGCCAGGCAGGACTGCACGTGAGCATTGCCATGTGGCATGGCAACTGATTCGGAAGAGGCAAAACAGCCTTCTCTCCAGGATGGGCATGCAGAGGCCTAAAAAAAAGCCGAAGTTCTTTTCCAGGGCTAACGAGAATAAGATTAGACCCCTGGAAAAGTCCTACTAATGGTTACCATGACAGTGTGGCAAGCACTCCACACATATCAGCTCATTTCGTTTTCGTATAGGCCTTGTGGGTTAGACAGTATCACTTATCCCATTTTCAGATGAGGAACCTGATACTCAGAAACAAAATGACCTGCCCATGGTCTGGGTGGTGGTGCTGGCTGGCATTTGCACCCATTTTCCATCTGGCTACAAAGACCATGCATGACTGACCTGGTTTCCTTCACACTCAGACCAGCCTCCCCTTCCTGGGATATCTTTAGCCAGACCCCAGGAGGAAGGCTCCTCAGCACACTCTCCTGCAGCCCAAAGCTCTCAGCCTCTCTTCCTCTGTGCTACTGCCTCCTGCCTCTCACTCCTTGCTACTCACCACCATCTTTCCCACAGGCGGCCAGGAATTCTGGTGCTGATTAACGATGCCGACTGGGAGCTACTGGTCAGTACCTTGGGGGACATCCCTCCCCCAGCCCCTGCCCTTGCTGCTTCAGTGGGAAAGCGTTGGGCCTCTCCTCAGGCACATATAGAGTGGCTGGGTAATCCTCCGCCCCACTCCAGCCCCACACTGAGGCTGCTGGAGTCTCCCACTCCAGGTGAGGAAGGGATGGGTAGCTGGGGACATGGGAGTACTCCTCCATCCTGAAGATTTGCAGGTTGAGGTATAGGATACCCATTTTTCTGGTAGAGTCTGTCTCTTCCAGAGCAGCCAGTCCTCAGCCCCTGTTCTCCCAACTCCTGGGGTGGACCTGGGAAGGTGGCCCTGAGGGTCTCCCGCTCCCCTCTCTCCCGCACCAGGGTGAGCTGGACTACCAGCTTCAGGACCAGGACAGCGTCCTCTTCATCTCCACTCTGCACGGCGGCTGAGGGCCCTTCTCTGGGCCTGGGCACCCTTAGAGGGGAGAACGAAGCAATCAGACATCCCCTTGGGCCCTGCTTCCAGGTCTCCCTGTCCCCCTTGCCTGCCTTCTTCCCTGCTCTGTCCCCTAAGCTCCCTCCAGGCAGGGAAAAGAGGCCAGGTGCTAAAAATGAGCCTTTCTCAAGCACGTGAGCAGCGGAAGGCAGACAGGCGCCAGAGCCCAGCACTCCCTTTTCCAGCAGCTGTGGTGGGGGAGGGTTCCCCTCCAGTTTGTCAAGAGTTGAAGGAGGCTCTGTGGCCAGGTGACCTGGCTGCCTTCCACTCCTTGTACCTCAGTCTAAACATGGAGTGGCCGCTGACAAGGCGCTCCAGCCCCAGAGCCAGCGTCTTCATGGGGAAGATGAATGGACCTGAGTAGCTGAAGGAAGGCCCCTCCCTACCCAAAGACTGGAGGCTTCTCAGCCTCAATTTCCCTGTCTGTACAGCTGAGGGCTCTGCCTGTCCCCCACTGCTATCAGTATGGAACCCCAGCTGGGGTCCCCTATTGAGTGCCGACTCCCCCCACCGCCAGCAGCTGCTCCTCCAGCCACACCCCTCCTGCTCCCCCCACCCCTAGCCCTTGACCCTGGCTGGCCTGCCCCGCTCCACAGGCCACCAGATGGGCTCCTGAGACCCTCCCCAGGCTGCTTACAGCTCATTCTGCTGGGGGTAGAGATGAGGGGAGGGAGTAAGTTAAACCTTGGACTAGCAAGTAGAAGCCTGGGGGGATGCGTGTGCCTCAGTTTCCTCCTCCACAACTGAATATAGTGGCTGAAAACTGGGGAGATACTTGATGGCGCGAATGTCCGTTTTCTCTCCCTTCCCACCTCCTGCAGGAAGCAGGACGGGGCAGGCAGCACCTGGTAGGCACAGTGCTTTGCCCCTCCTCCCCTTCCCTTCTGGAAGTCTTGGGGCCTCAGTGCTTGCAACAGCCGGCCTTGGGCAAATAAAAGACTAGGTTGTTTACTAGCCTTGCTTGGAGCTTCATCCTTGGAAACGGGTGGCACCTCATATCCCCCCAGCCGTGGTCTGTGATACAACCTCTCCATCCTCAGCCTAGGGCCTCAGAGCTACCCTTCACCCAAAAGAGGGGTGGGGGTGAACACTCAGACAATCTGAGAGGGGGTAGTCTAATAGAGCCATCTGGAGAAGGGAGTGGCAGAGCCAGTCTGTGCTGACCAGTCTGTGTCCCGGGACGCATCCCCACCCGTCTGTCCAAGGCTTTGTCCCACCAGCTGCAGCCAGCAGCCTCAGAACCCAAAATGAGGGTAGCATAGATAAGACTGCTGAGCCCCCTTTCTGTGGTCTTTCCTTTCCATGACCTAGAGAAAAGAGCTTTGCTGGAGGGAGACCCCCAAAAAGAATTAGGGTGCTAACATCCCACCAAAAGCATCATCCCACCCAAAATGTTGCTTTTCATTCTATGTCAATAATTTAAGGTGGAATTTCTCTCACCCTGTGGAGATGAAAGTGGCAAAAGGTTGTCCCAGCAGTGTTGGGGGATGGGGTGTGCACATCATTCTTTTGGGGGTAGATGACCTGCTGGCTGGTGGGCTTTTCTCCAGGACTACTGCAGGTAGAGACCCTCTGGGCTTGTGTGGAGTGGGAGCAGCCGTGTTGGGACTATGGGGAGGAGCTGGTCTGGGTGCAAATTAAGGCCAGTGTTGGGGTCTGAGTGCTGTCCAGAAAGGCTGTGTGACCAACCCTCACTAGTTCCTGAGGTCAGGGTCTCCATGTTAGGGAACAGAGCAAGAGACTTGGAACAGCTCCCTACAGCTGCACTTCTAGAAGGTCAGCCTGTCCGATTCTTGTAACCTGGAGGTCCCTCCCCATCTGCAGCCCCCTGAGCTGCAGGAGCGGCCCCATCAGTGCACCTGATTGGAACACACTAGATTTCAGGTCCTGGAAACTGGGCGCTAGGATCCGTTTCCCTGGCTGCAGAGAGTGGGAGGTGTGATGTGGAATATCCCTTCTCCCAGCACACCCCAATTAATACTGAAGAGTAGGGCAGGAGGAGGTGCTGGGAAAACCGGGTTTCTTGGCACATGGGGGTGCAAGCACTGTGGTTGAAATTGGCCATGTCCAAGGCACACCAGACGATTTCAGGTCATTTTTAGCCCTAGACTGGAAAGGGGTCAGGGGACAGGTGACCTGGGCTCAGCCCCCAGCAGCTCCCAACTGCCCCTCTCCCAAGCAACTCCTGATCCCTGCTTTTGAGGAAATAAACAAATAAAACCCCGCTATCTCCGAAGATTTTTCTTTAATGAAAAGGATTCGTTTTTCCAAATTCTATTTCCAAAGCCGAGGAGATTGCCGGGCTGGAGCGCATCGTTGGTGACGCTTGCCCGTCGGACCCTGGCAGCGGCTGGAGGAGGCTCAGCCCATCGGTCCGTCCGGAGGGGCTTGCGGGAGGGGTTGGTTTGTTTGGGATTTAGGGGTTGGTTGAGGATTTGTTTTGTTTAGGTAGGGAGTATTGGGGTGATAAGTTAGAACAACTGCGAAACGAGTTAGCGGGCGCATTCGGCCGGCCTCTTCTTTCACCCCCGACTTCATGCGGCTTGGGCTGAGGGCGGACCACATTCGGCCCCGCCGCTGCGTGCCGGCTTCGTTCCGGCCGAAATTTGAAAGGAGGAAAAACGACGCGATCGACTGAAGGACCCTGCCGGCCGGGACTGGTCACCCGCAGAGAAGGAAGAAGGACGAGGATGCGGATGGCGGCGCTGGTGGCAGGGACCGGCGTCTCTGTGCGCGCGGGCCGGGACCGCGATCCTCGCGCTGGGGCCAGCCAGCCGCCGCCCCGAGAGGTCTCGCCCGCGCTGAGCCCTGTCCCTGGGGCCCCCGCCCCTGTTGCGCCCGGAGCTCAGCCACAGATGTCCAGCCACAATTCTCGGTTGGCCGCAGACTCGTACAAGAATTGCGTTTGGACAATCAGTGGCGAAGCCCCTGAGTTCAGGGCCCTGGTCTCCTGCGGGGTTCCCCTTCGCTCCTAAAAAGCGCCAGTCCAGGACAGCTCGGAGCTGCGCGTCGGACCACCTAGCAGGCGCTCAGCAGCGGCTGCCCATCCGGCGGTAAGGTGGACTAGCAAGCACGCGGATCCTGACCCTGTGCGGGGATCCCCATCGCCCCTGGCGTGGCTCCTTCGATCGCGGCCCGGAGTCCGCAGAGTGGCCCGCGTTGGGTCTCAGCGCCGCCCCAGGTCGAGGGGGAATCTCCTCTGTCTGGCCTGGGGAACCCCGACTCCCCTCTCCCTGCCCCCAGCCTGGGATCTCCGGGAATCCGGAAGGCAGGAGCCCCAGGCCGGGTCGCGTTTCCGAGCCCGGGGTCCGGGCTGCTGGATTCGTGGGTCCCCCGCCCCCGCCCAGCCCCGCGCACGCACCGGCTCGGGCGCTCTCCGCTTTCCTGTGGCTGAGTCGCGGCCGGGGCGCCTGCGGTGGCGGTGGCGGCGGTGGCCCGGGCGGCGGGGAGTGCTGGAATGCGCCGCCGGGTCACCTGCAGCGCCCGTGGAGCCGGACTGGGAGCCGGCGGGCTGCCGAGGCGCAAGGCTGAACCCGAGCAGGCGCCTCTGGCGGCTCGGGGCCGGGGCGGGCTTTTAGTGGGCCGCTCCAACAATACGGGCCTGGCGCGGAGAAAGGGGCTCGGCTGCAATTGGTACTGGATTTGAATAACGCCACGGGGCCATCAATGGTCATTGTGTCGGCGGGTAATGAATCTCCGCTGTCTCTCGGGCTGGCCAGGCAGCTGCAACCTGCGCTCAGGCAGCTCTTAAAGACATAGCGTGCCCCTCCCCGGGGGCCGCCTCCCCCTCTGCACCGGCCGGACCCCTCGTCCTCCCACCCCCACTCGGCACCCTCAACTCCCGATGCCCCGCCTGCTCCCTCGGCCTGACCCCTTTGCCCATCGCCCCCTCCCTTCTCCTGGGCCAGGCACCAGCATCCCGGCCCTGCTCTCCCGTGGACCTGACTCAGGCCCCGGCCTTGGCTGAGCTCTCCAAGAGCACCCAGGGCACCCCAGAGTCTTTTACGGCCCACCCCCTGTCTCCCAGCTGCATGGAAACCAAAGGCCTCTGGAGCCCCCTCCCTAGGCCCCTGCCCAGGGGCTTCCACTGGAGGGTGAGGGGGAACAGTCTGGAAGTCAGAGGGTCACCCCCTGAGAAGACCATGCTGAAGGATAAAGGAGAAGGGGGTACAGTCCCCACCCCTGGGCTGAGGATGCCATCCCTGGAGACCACACCCCACGCGGGAGCTGGAGCCTGCCCCCTCCCCCGACCAAGGACCAGAGCTTGATTCCCAGGCTCCAGCAGGCTCCTGGGTACCTCGGGGCTAGCAGCAAGGGTGGGGGGAGGGGAGCAGGTGGGTGTGAGAGGGGCGTGGAATCTGTGAATGCTTGTCTTGTCATTGTCTCTTCCATTGGACAGTCCACCCATCCAGGAGAGCAGGGGCTCTGTCCAAGGTCTAATGCGCCCCCAGCCCCACCCCCAGCCTGGTCTGGCAGAGACGGTTCTCAGTCTATTGGGTAAATACATAGCCAGCTTCTCACCCCCAAAGCCCAGCCTGTCTTTCCCAATGAACCTCACACCCTAAAGTGGGAGTGTGTGGCCATTTTTCCCATACAGCCTGCCTTCCATTCACCCCAGAGTTCTCCAAGCACCCAGAATACCCCTGCCTCTGTCCTGGCACACCAAGCTGCCTTGCTCTGAAATGCTCTCCTGTCCTCACAATCTCTGGGTGGCCTTGCCACGTGCCCGGCTGAATTGTGAATATCGGTTTGTCTGAGTCTCCTCCCTAGGACAGGAAACGGGTCCTACGGATCTTTGTGCCTCCAGGGCCTAGTACAGTGCCCTCCCCCCAACCAATCATTAAATATCTGTGGGTGGTTGCACGCATGCCCGGTGACTTTAAAATGAGCCACATAGACTTCTTGGAGTTTCTTATAAAAGTTGAAAGAATGTTGCTTGTGGGAGGTAATTCTTGCAGCCCGGGTTTTACAGGGAGGGAGTCCTGCTAACCAGATCCCAACTCCTGGGAATGCTCCATTTGGTAATAATAACAGCAAAGAGTGTATTGTGTGCCAAGCACTAAGCTCTTTGAAGGTAGTAGCTCACTGATTCCTCACAACAACCCTGGAAAGTAAGTGCTGTTATCAGCCCCATTTTACAGATGAAGAAACTGCAGAGCCCTCCTTCCTTAGGCTCCTCCCTGGAGCTTCCAGCTGGAGAGGGAGGGGGAGCATTCTGGAGGTCACAGGGTCACTCCCTGAGAAGACCATGCTGGAGGATAAGACAGAAGGCATGCAGCCCCAATCCCCAACCTCCAGAGACCGCACCCACTAGGGATCTAGAAACCCAGAGCTTTAGGACTTGCTGCACACTCTAGTTTCCAAGCCTTTATTTAGTGGGTACAGAGGGGATGGATGTAAATGCACTTAAAACGGCTAGACCCAGGAGACACTCTGTGTCACCTTATATTAATACATTATAATCCAGTCCCAGCCCACCCCAGCCTGGCATGAACACAACCAAGATGGACTGGGCAACAATAGTCTCTGATTACCAGGTGCCATGGCTGGTGTCCATAATCCCAACACTTTGGGAGGCCGAGGCTGGAGGCCAAGGCAGGAAGATTGCTTGAAGCCTGAAGTTAAATACCAGCCTGTGACAGGTGAGGTGACTCATGCCTGTAATCTCAGCACTTTGGGAGGCCGAGGCGGGCGGATCACTTGAGCCCAGGAGTTCAAGACCAGCCTGGGCACATGGCAAAACCCCATCTCTACTAAAAACACAAAGATAAGCCGTGTGTGGCGGCAAGCGCCTGTAATCCCAGCTACACAGAAGGCTGAGATATGAGAATCACTTAACCTGGCAGGTGGAGGTTGCAGTGAGCCTAGATCGTGCCACTGCACTCCAGCCTGGGCAACAGAGAGACTTGGTCTCAAAAAAAAAAAAAAAAAAAAAAAAAAAAAACCAGCCTGGGTAAAAAAGTGAGACCCCCATCTCTACAAAAATAAAAATAAACTATTTATTTATTTATTTTAAGAGGGAGTCTCGCTCTGTCGCCCAGGCTGGAGTGCAGTGGCACAATCTCGGCTCACTGCAATCTCCACCAACTGCGTTCAAGCAATTCTCCTGCCTCAGCCTCCAGAGTAGCTGAGATTACAGGTGCCCGCCACCATGCCTGGCTAATTTTTGTATTTTAGTACAGATAGGTTTTCACCATGTTGGTCAGGCTGGTCTCAAACTCCCGACCTCAAATGATCCGCCCTCCTCAGCTTCCCAAAGTGCCAGGATTACAGGCCTGAGCCACCACACCTGGCCAAAATAAAGATTTTTAAATAAAAATTTAAAAAAGAGTTGGGGGCTGGCCGGGTGCAGTGGTTCACACCTGTAATCCCAGCACTTTGGGAGGCCAAGGTGGGCGGATCACGAGGTCAGGAGATCGAGACCATCCTGACTAACACAGTGAAACCCCGTCTCTACTAAAAATACAAAAAATTAGCCGGGCGTGGTGGTGGGCGCCTGTAGTCCCAGCTACTCCTCGGGAGGCCGAGGCAGGAGAATGGCATGAACCCGGGAGGCGAAGCTTGCAGTGAGCCGAGATCGTGCCACTGCACTCCAGCCTGGGCGACGGAGCGAGACTCCGTCTCAAAAAAAAAAAAAAAGAGAGTTGGGGGCTCCCAAGCTAGGTCCTAGCTGCCTTCTAGGAGAAGGGCTTTTCTGTCCCCAGGGTACATTAGAGCCAATTTCTTTTTTTTCTTTGAGATGGAATCTCGCTCTGTCCCCCAGGCTGGAGTGCAGTGGCGCGATCTCGGCTCATTGCAAGCTCCCCCTCCCAGGTTCATGCCATTCTCCTGCCTCGGCCTCCCGAGTAGCTGGGACTACAAGCGCCCACCACCACGCCTGGCTAATTTTTTGTATTTTTAGTAGAGGCGGGGTTTCACCGTGTTAGCCAGGATGGTTTCGATCTCCTGACCTCATGATCCGCCCGTCTCGGCCTCCCAAAGTGCTGGGATTACAGGTGTGAGCCACCGCACCCGGCCAGACAGCCAATTTTTTTTTTTTTTTGAAACGGGTATCTCCCTATGTTGCCCAGGCTGGTTCTCGAAATCCTGGGCTCAAGGGATCCTTTCACCTCAGCCTCCCGAGTAGCTGAAATTTGACAGGAATGTTCCACCATGCCCAACTGAGGTATTTAAAGCCCATCAGTACTGGGCAGAGAAGTGAGTTGCCCTCACCCGCACCCTCAGGGAAATGAGGAGCCAAGAAGGCTGCTAACTGCAGCCACTGAACAGATATTGATGGAATGCCTACTGTGTGCTCGCCCAGGACTCGGCAGAGGACAGATGTCCCCAGAGGAGACGCACAGTGTGGGACAGAGGCAGATCCTGGGGGAGGAGGAGTGGGGAGTTAGGTGAAGGCGGGCACTGTCCCAGGCGGAGGGAACAGCGTGCTCTAAAGAAGTACTTGGCGAGCTCAGAGAAGGAAGGAAATTTGGTGTGGCTGGAGCGCAGTGAGGAAGGGGAAGTTCCACATAAAGCTGAGGTCGACCTTGCCAGGCTCTTAGGCTATTGGGAGGATTTGCGATTATATCCTAAACGCGGTGGGGATCCTGAAAGGTCTGACAAGTTCAGATTTACATTTTTAAAGGTTTGCTGGGACTGAAGTGTGGAGAATAGGGGGAGGGGGGATGGGGGGATAGGGCAAGTTTGATGACCAGAGACCAGTTAGGCTACTGAGCCAGGTGAGGGCCAGCGGTGGCAGAGCAGGCTCTGGAGCCGTGTTCTTGACGGTCTATCTGAGTGATTCTCCATGAGCAACGCTTAGTGGACCGATGTTTGCAAAGCACTGTGTGTGCGCTGAAGGTAGGGGAAGGGAGAAAGGCAAATAGTGTCATTGCCCCCCGGAAGTACCCGGTATCCAAGTGGACCAACAGACACAAATACCCAGCCAACTCTAATGAAAGCAGAGCCCCGGGAAAGCACGGTAGCTGAAGAATTAGCAAGGTTCTGGGGATTATAGAAGACAGAGATTCATTCCAACAGGGAAGCTGTGGGAAGACTTCAGGAAGAGCCAGCATTGCCTTGGGCTTCCAGGACAAGTGATTCCAGGAGGCTGAATCTTAGTGACAGCCTCTGTGCCTATCCATCGTGCCTGTCCTGCCTCTCTAGAAATGGGTGGGTGTTAGGAGGATCCAAACACCCTCTGCATGTGCTTGCAGTTAAGTAATGTGTCATCATGAGCTTCCACCATCACCACCATACACCCCGGGTGTGCATGCGCACACACACACAGCACACACACACAACCAACTCTCAGGAAGATGGCAGAGTCAGCAGGATGCAGTGGCTCACACCTGTAATCCCAGCAGTTTGGGAGGCTGAGACGGGCGGATCACCTGAGGTCAGGAGTTTGAGACCAGCCTGGCCAACATGGTGAAACCCCGTTTCTACTAAAAATACTATAATTAGTCGAGCGTGGTGGCAGGTGCCTGTAATTCCAGCTACTCAGGAGGCTGAGGCAGAATTGTTTGAACCCAGGAGGCGGAGGTTGCAGTGAGCTGAGATCCCACCAGTGCACTCTGGCCTGGGTGACAGAGTGAGACCTTGTCTCAACAAAAAAATTAAAAAAGAAGACCAGGCGCTGTGGCTCACGCCTGTAATCCCAGCACTTTGGGAGGCCGAGATGGGTGGATCACAAGGTCAGGAGATCGAGACCATCCTGGCTAACACGGTGAAACCTCATCTCTACTAAAAATACAAAAAAATTAGCCGGGCGTGGTGGCGAGTGCCTGTAGTCCCAGCTACTCGGGAGGGTGAGACAGGAGAATGGCGTGAACCCGGGAGACGGAGCTTGCAGTGAGCCGAGGTCACGCCACTGCACTCCAGCCTGGGCAACAGAGCAAGACTCCGTCTCAAAAAAAAAAAAATTAAAAAAGAAGACGGCAGAGTTGTCCACACTGCCAGTTAAGCAAGCCCTTCCTTCCCACCAGGACTGGCTTTTTTTTTTTTTTTTTTTGAGACGGAGTCTCGGTCTGTCATCCAGGCTGGAGTGCAGTGGCGTGATATCGGCTCACTGCAACCTCCACTTCCCGGGTTCAAGCAATTCTCCTGCATCAGCCTCCCAAGTAGCTGGGACTACAGGCACGTGCCACCACACTCAGCTAAATTTTGTATTTTTAGTAGAGGTGGGTTGAGACCAGGATGGTCTCAATCTCTTGACCTCATGATCCACCCGCCTCAGCCTCCCAAAGTGCTGGGATTACAGGCGTGAGCCACCGCACCCGGCTTTTTTTTTTTTTTTTTGAAGTGGAGTCTCACTCTGTCACGCAGTCTGGAGTGCAGTGGCACAATCTCCATTCACTGCAACCCCTGCCTCCCAGATTCAAGCAATTCTCATGCCTCAGCCTCTCAAGTAGCTGGGACTATAGGTGTGTGCCACCATGCCCAGCTAATTTTTGTATTTTTAGTAGAGATGGGGTTTCACTGTGTTGGCCTCAAACTCCTGACCTCAAGTGATCCGCCCACCTCAGCCTCCCAAAGTGCTGGGATTACAGGCATGAGCCATCGCACCTGGCCTGGCCTGGCCTGGCATTTTACCAAGGATTTTTTTTTTTTTTTTTTTTTTTTTGGTTATGGAGTCCTGCTCTGTCACCCAGGCTGAAGTGCAGTGGCGCAATCTCGGCTCAGTGCAACCTCCACCTCCCAGGTTCAAGCAATTCTCCCTGCCTCAGCCTCCCACTTAGCTGGGACTACAGGTGCCCACCACCACGCCTGGCTAATTTTTGTATTTTTAGTAGAGTCAGGGTTTTGCCATGCTGGCCAGGCTGGTCTCGAACTCCTGACCTCAGGTGATCCTTCTCGGCCTCCCAAAGTACTGAGATTACAGGCGTGAGCCACCGCACCAGGCCTTTACCAAGGATTTGACCAAACATTGTGCTCAGCACAAAGGACATGCTCAGTAAACATCTGTTGAATGAATGATGAATGAATGAATGAATTGATGAATGCTTTATTGAAGTAATAATTAAATGAATGGTAGATGGAGACGGATGCATGAAAAAGCAGACTTTGGGACAATGGAGTGAAAGATGAAATTAATAAGGAATTGACAGTGGGTGCACGGATGTTTGCAGCCAATCAGCTGAGGTTCTAGGTGTGGCACTTGAGATATTGCTGTGGGTGAGGCTCATTGAAGGGGGCTGGGAGGGGCTTCTGTCATGCAGCAGCCTCAGTTCTGCACTTTAAGGCAAGTCCAGGACCCAGAGCATGCAGACAGATGCCCAGGGAACAGCTGTGGCGACAGGCTCCACCTCTGTGCCAGATCTTTCCATCCCTAGATTCCTGTCCCCAAGTGTTTCTGTCAATCCGGGTTTCACTGTGATTTGGCCTGGCAGCCTGGGATAGAGGAAAGAACCCTATTGCTATTCAGTGTGCCTCCATAGGCCAGGCCCTTGCCCACTCTGGGCTTCAGTAGCCAGAACCATTTATACAAAGAGAATTCTCTAAGACTGGCCGGCACTCTTACATGGTGACTGGCCAGGTGTCCTACCTCTAGAAATGAACTGACAACCTGACTCACTCCAGTCTCAGAAGATGCCAGAGCCAGGCCACCTGTCCCCACTCAGAGGGGATCCTAAGAACCCCTCCACCCTGCCTAGCATTTTTCGGCTTACAGAAGATGTTCCTCTCTATGAAGTGAGTGAAGGCAGGGCAGGGAAGCCTTCCAGGTTAAAACATGCACCTGCCCGGCACGCTTCAGCCCATCGTGCTGTGTTGATGTCTTCCTTGACTGGATCACTCCCTGAAAGTGTCATATTTACCAGCTGTCTTGTTTGTCACCTACTAGAACAGAAGCTGTATGAGGGATCACGTCCTGTTCATTACTAAATCCCCAGCACCTAGAACAACGCCTGCCCCTTGGAAGGTGCTAAGTTTTTTTGTTTTGTTTTGTTTTGTTTTAGATGAAGTTTCACTCTTGTCACCCAGGCTGGAGTGCAATGGCGCGATCTCGGCTCACTGCAGCCTCCGCCTCCCGGGTTCAAGCAGTTATCCTGCCTCAGCCTCCCGAGTAGCTGGGACTACAGTGGCCTGCCACCACACCCGTCTAATTTTTGTATTTTTAGTAGTGACAGGGTTTCACCATGTTGGCCAGGCTGGTCTCAAACTCCTGACCTCAGGTGATCCGCCCACCTCAGCCTCCCAAAGTGCTGGGATTACAGGCGTGAGCCACCGCGCCCGGCTGGAAGGTGCTAAATTTTTGTTTTTCTTTCTTTTTTCCTTTTCTTTTTTTTGAGACGGAGTCTCACTCTGTCACCCAGGCTGGAGTGCAGTGGCGCGATCTCGGCTCACTGCAAGCTCCGCCTCCTGGGTTCACGCCATTCTCCTGCCTCAGCCTCCCGAGTAGCCGGGACAACAGGCGCCCACCACCACACGTGGCTAACTTTTTGTACTTTTAATAGAGATGGGGTTTCACCGTGTTAGCCAGGATGATCTCGATCTCCTAACCTCATGATCCACCCGCCTCGGCCTCCCAAAGTGCTGGGATTACAGGCGTGAGCCACCACGCCCGGCCGGAAGGTGCTGTTTTATTAAATACCTGGGTCAAGGAATAAATAGATACATGGACCATTGTAATCTGGACCATTGTAATCTAGTTAGCAACAACTACCATATATTAAGCACTGAGCACTGGGCTAAGCGCTTGACATGCATCACTACAGCCCTTCAGAGAAATTCTATCACTCTCCGCATTTTACCCACTAGGAACCTGAGGCCAAGAGAGAGCAAGCAACTTCCCCCAGGTACAGAGCTCCTGAATGACAGAGATAGGTTTTATTGATTTCAATTAATCTTTTTTTTTTTTTTTTTGAGACAGAATTTCGCTCTTGTTGCCCAGGCTAGAGTGCAGTGGTGTGATCTCGGCTCACTGCAACCTCTGCCTCCTGGGTGCCTCATCCTCCCAAGTAGCTGGGATTACAGGCATGTGCCACCACGCCTAGCTAATTTTGTATTTTTAGTAGAGACAGGGTTTCACTGTGTTGGTCAGGCTAGTCTTGAACTCCTGACCTCAGGTGATCCACCCGCCTCAGCCTTTCAAAGTGCTGGGATTACAGGCATGAGCCACCGCACCCAGTGTCAATTAATTATTATTATTTTTAATAGAGATGGGGTCCCAGGCCGGGCACGGTGGCTTGTGCCTGTAATCCCATCACTTTGGGAGGCCGAGGCAGGTGGATTGCTTGAGCTCAGGAGTTCAAGACCAGTGTGGCCAACATGGTGAAACCCCGTTTCTACCAAAAAATAAAAAAAATAACTGGGTGTGTTGGTGGGCACCCGTAATCCCAGCTACTCTGGAGGCTGAGGTGGGAGAATTGCTTGAACCCAGGAAGTGGAGGTTGCAATGAGTGTAGATCTCGTCACTGCATTGCAGCCTGGGCATCAGAGTGAGACTCTGTCTAAAAAGAAAGAAAGAGAGATCCTTCCTGGCTAACACGATGAAACCCTGTCTCTACTAAAAATACAAAAAAATTAGCCAGGCGTGGTGGAGGGCGCCTGTAGTCCCAGCTACTCTGGAGGCTGAGGCAGAAGAATGGCATGAACCTGGGAGGCGGAGCTTGTAGTGAGCCGAGATCGCACCACTGGACTCTAGCCTGGGCGACAGAGCGAGACTCCGTCTCAAAAAAAATAATAAAAAAGAGAGATGAGGTCTTGCTATGTTGCCTAGACTGGTCCTAAACTCCTAGGCTCAAGTGATCTTCCCACCTCTGCTTCCCAAAGTGTTGGTATTATAGTTGTGAGCCACCACGCCCTGCCAAGAGCTAGAGTTTTGGTTTTTTTTTTTTTTTTTTTTGAGATGGAGTTTCGCTCTTGTTGCCCAGGCTGGAGTGCAATGGCATGATCTTGGCTCACTGCAACCTCCACCTCCCAGGTTCAAGCTATTCTCCTGCCTCAACCTCCCAAGTAGCTGGGATTACAGCCATGTGCCATCACGCCCAACTAATTTTGTATTTTTAGTAGAGACGAGGTTTCTCCATGTTGGTCAGACTGGTCTTGAACTCCTGATCTCAGGTGATCTGCCCACCTCAGCCTCCCAAAGTGCTGGGATTACAGGCATGAGCCACCACACCCGGCCCTAGGTTTGTTTTAGACCTAAGTCTGCGTATCTGCAAAGACCACATTCTTCAATACTTCACCACCTCACTCCTCTTACTCTATTGCCCCAGTACCCAGTGAAGTAGGAACCATTGGAAGTTAAGGAGTTGGGACTCACGAGAGTTCAAGACCATCCTGGACAACATAGTGGGAACCCATCTCTGCAAAAAAAAAAAATTAGCTGGGCATGGTGATGGGTGCCTGTAGTCCCAGCTGCTTGGGAGGCTGAGGCAGAAGGATCACTTGAGTCTAGGAGGTTGAGGCTGCAGTGAGCCATGAGTGTGCCACTGCACTCCAGCCTGGGTGACAGAGAGAAACCATGTCTAAAAAATAATAATAATTGGGACTTAGACATACTGTATAATTCCATTTACATGAAATATCCAGAATAGGCAAATCTATTGAGACAGAAAGCAGATTAGTGGTTGCCTAGGGCTGGGGAGAAGGGCAGTTGGGGAGAAATGGGGAATGATGGCTAATGAGTATGGGCTTTCTTTCTTTCTTTCTTTTTTTGAGATGGAGTCTCACTCTGTCATGCAGGCTGGAGTGCAGTGGTGCGATCTCAGCTCACTGCAACCTCCGTCTCCTGGGTTCAAGCAATTCTCCTTGCCTCAACCTCCCGAGTAGCTGGGATTACAAGTGCCCACCACCACGCCCTGCTAATTTTTGTATTTTTCTAGTAGAGATGTAGTTTCACCATGTTGCCCAGGCTGATCTTGAACTCTTGACCTCAGGTGATCAGCCCACCTTGACCTCCCAAAGTGCTGGGATTACAGGTGTGAGCCACCACGCCCAGCCTGAGTATGGGCTTTCTTTTCAAAATAATGAAAATATAAAATGGCTTGTTGTGATGGTTGCACAATTCTTGAATATACTAAAAGCTGTTGAATGATACACTTTAAGTAGGCAAATTGCATGGCATGTGAATTACATCTCAACAATGCTGTTATGAAAAAAAAAGAGGCCGGGCACAGTGGCTCACACCTGTAATCCTAGCACTGGCCGAAGCGGCTCACACCTGTAATCCCAGCACTGGCCGAAGCGGGTGGATCATGAGGTCAGGAGATCGACACCATCCTGGCTAACACGGTGAAATCCCATCTCTACTAAAAATACAAACAATTAGCTGGGCATGGTGGTGGGCACCTGTAGTCCCAGCTACTCCGGAGGCTGAGGCAGGAGAATGGCGTGAACCCGGGAGGCGGAGGTTGCAATGAGCCAAGATCCCGCCACTCTGCCACTGCACTCCAGCCTGGGTGACAGAGCAAGACTCCATCTCAAAAAAAAAAAAAAAAAGATAAAAAGAGAGGGATGGGGCTCAGGAATCCCACCTCTGCCACTTACCTGCTTGGCACATGACTTCATACCTCCCAACCTCAGCTTCCTTAACCAATAAAATAGGAAAAATAAACATCTCCTGGGTCTTTTGTGAGGATTAAATGAGATAATACATATTATTATTCCCATTTTATCAAGGAGGAAACAGGCCCAGAGAAGGGAAGTGACTTGGGTGCAGATGGCACAGCTGGTGGGTGGCAGGTGAGAGACTCAGGCCTGGGTCTCATGGCACCACCCCATCTTTTAGCATTGTGTAGAGTGGACCAGTGTCTGCACACTCCACCCACCCCTTCACCAACACTCTCTTCCATCTCCCTCCTTCTCTTGGGCTCTGGGGCCCTGTCTCCCCACTGCTCACGCTCAGAACAAGTGGAGGTGGCTGAGTCCCCCCAGAGCACAGGACACCCTCTCCCCCAGCCCCCACCCTGCTCCCCTCCTGGGGCCATGATGCTGTCTTGCTTTTGCTTGTAATAAAGAAAATATCTCAGCTACCCTTCCATGGTTGCTTGGCAACCCCGAGGGGGGTTGGGTGGGGGGGACCAAGGGGAGGAGGGATGGGGGAGGATTCTGGAGCCAATCTGGAGACAAAGAGTAGGATTTGGGTGACATGGAGCCTGTTCTTAGTGCTAACCTGGCCTGGCTGGGGCGGCGGGTGGGGGCAGCGGGCTTCCTCCCACCCCAGTGTCTCACACCAATAAATATGGATTAGGGAAATGGGCTGAGTTTTTCCCACGGGCCTGAAAGGCCGCATCTGACCTTTCTACCCCCTTTATGTACCAATGTGACAGTCAGAGACAGCAAAGAGCAGGACCCCCTGAGATGCCTCCCCCATGGCCTTCTGACTTGGGGAAACTTTTCACCCTCCTCCTTCCCCTGGCCACAGACCAGGTCACAGCTCTGCCTGGGCCCTTGTTCCGGGGATGAGAAGGAGGCTGGTTTCCAGGTGGGCGCCAGGAGCTCCCATCCTCAGTGTCCACTCCGGGCCCTGCTGGCCGTGACCGGTGCAGAGCCAGGCTGTGAGGCCCTGGACTGGTTAGTGACGGCCCTGCCTGCCTCCTAGACAGTCCTCTGCTCTGTGGCTCCCCCATCCTGTCCCTGCCCCATCTCTGCCTGGGCCGCCTCCATCAGGAGCCCTATCGTCCGTGTCCCTTTGCGTCCCTCTCCTCAGATACTTCCCACCACCCTCTTCTCGACTTGGTTTCCCTCTTTCTCTCCTCCTGCCAGCCCCCCACGCCCCAGTCGTCCATGAAACTAGGAAGCCCTTGTGGCTGAGGTATCTCCTGCAGTGAAGAGGGCAGGAAGGGTTGTGGAGGGGGAGGTGGGGGCCGTGATCTCACTCCCTGGTGCCCTGACTTTCTGGTCGTTGGCCGGGGGTGGGGATCGGCTGCTCTGAATGGAGTCAGTGTAGAGGCAGGAAAAGCAAACACCTCCGTGTGGGCCCTGCTGGCAGTGGATGGGAGCGGTCGGGGGGCAGGGGCCTGGGCTCCTCTCAGCCTCCTTGATCAGACCTCTCCCCACTCCTGAGGCTCCCTGTCTTCCTGGACCTTTGGCCTACAGTGTCCAGAAGGAGAGTGGGGTGAAGGTTTAGGGGGAAGCCCTCTGGGAGACGTCTTTGCTCAAATCTTTCCCTGCTCCTCTGCCCAACCCCCAGCCAGTGCCCTTCCTGCCCAGCAGATGCCAGGAAAATCTGTGCCCGGGAAGGGCGGTCTGGCACCTGAGGGCCCCGCCTGACCAGTCCTTCTCAGCAGCAGGAGCTGGGTGGGAGTCACCTTATGCCAGAGACGCCCCAGCAGTGCCATCCACCTCCTGGGCTGAGGAGTACCCCCAAGAGGCTCTGCCCGGGTGAGTGCTCCTCTGGCCCCACAGCCAGGCAGTGAGGGAGGGAGAGGTTGTCCATGTCGGGGCTCCCCAAGACCCCCACAATCTCCGTGAGTCCTCATGGTTCTGTGGCCTTTTCTGTTGTGACTGTCTCACCCTCTGTCTGGGACTCGTGTGTCACTGATGGTTTGGTGAGGGGAGCTGAAGGGATGGTTAGAGAAGCTGGAGGAGAGGGCTGGGAATGTGAGGAGGTAGGAGGGGCTGGAGTCTAGGGTATAGGACTCCTGGATTCCCAGCCAGGTTTTTGTGTTTTATTTTTATTTGTATGATTTTTAAATTTCTGTTTTAAAAGATGAGGTCTCTCTTGCATGGAATATATCTTTATATTAAAAAAAAAAAAAAAAAGATAAGGTCTCACTATGTTGCCCAGGCTGGTCTTGAACTCCTGGGCTCAAGCAATCCTCCCACCTCAGCCTCCCTAAATGCTGTGATTACAGGCCTGAGCTACCGCACCCAGCCTAGCCAACTTTCTGATTAGATTTGTGAAATCACAGAGGCTGCTGTAATGGTTTCCTTTTAACACTTTGGATTCTAAAAGACCTTTGGAATGAGCTCAGAGAGAGTTAGCAGTTCATCCCGGGTGACACAGCAAACTGCTGGTACTCAAACCCACCAGGCCCCCTCATCACACCGCAGGCTGTTTGTGTTATGGAAGCCATCTTTGACCACCTCTCTCTTTCCCTCTCCACATGCAGTTTCCCCCTGAATTTAAGAGGCTGAGGGGTGGAGGGAGCCGACTCTGCCTAGCACCTCCAGGCCTTTCCTTTCTGTTGTCTCTCCAGGCACCATGCCCAGGGCCCAGCCTAGTAGCAGGAGCAGCCCCTGCCTGGGCCTCAGAGCGCCACAATCTCCTCTGACTATCCCTGGGAAGCCGTGGTTGGCTTTTGCCTTACATCCCCCAGAGAATGGCGTCTTTGTTCTTGGTGTCTAACCATAGTCCCTCATGTTGTCTTTAAAGCCCAACCACTTCCCAAAAAGCAAGGTCAACAGCTGACTGCATACCACAGCACCCCAGTGGTTCCTGCTTTGAGGTGGGACCTGGCTGGGGGGACCCTGCCGAGTAGAAACAGGCATTCCTCACTGGGTCAGGCTCTGTTCTGAGGTCGTCCACGTACCTTGCTGAATGGTGGTCACCACATTCCTGCAGTGTGGAGTCAGTTTTACAGATTGGAAAACTGAGACACGGAGCATTGAAGTGACTCATCTGTGGACACACTGCGAGAAAAAGAGCTGGGATTCAAGCCCATAGCTTGGCTGCAGAGCCCAATCCCTTAAACGTTCTTCCATAGTGCCTCTGATTCCTAGGAGGCCTCCGCTGGAGGTCATTGCATTCAATCCCCTGCATCTGGATGTCTACCCAGGCCCACCTCTGTTCACAGATAAAAATCAATCAAGCTTTTTTTTAAATAAACTTTATTTTTATTTTTTGAGACACAGTCTCACCCTGTCGCCCAGGCTGGAGTGAATGGCCACCATGCTTGGCTGATTTTTGTATTTTTTGTAGAGATGGAGTTTTGCCATGTTGCCCAGGCTGGTCTTGAGCTCCTGGGCTTAAGTGATCCACCTGCCTCAGCCTCCCAAAGTGCTGGGATTACAGGCGGGAGCCTCCCAAAGTGCTTGTCCAACCTCGTTTTTAAAGGCAACTGCAGCTGGGCACAGTGGTTCACGCCTGTAATCCCAGCACTTTGGGAGGCCAAGGAGGGCTGATCACAAGGTCAGGAGTTGAGAGACCAGCCTGGCCAATATGGTGAAACTCCATCTCTACTAAAAATACAAAAATTAGCCAGGCGTAGTGGCGGGTGCCTGTAGTCCCAGCTACTCGGGAGGCTGAGGCAGGAGAATCGCTTGAACCCGGGAGGTGGAGGTTGCAGTGAGCCAAGTTCGCGCCACTGCACTCCAGCCTGGGTGACAGAGCGAGATTCTGTCTCAAAAAATAAATAAATAAATAAATAAATAAATAAATAAATAAAGGCACCTGCTCCAAGGATGGAATTTCCCCTGGGGATAAGCAGACATTTCTTTATTCATAGCCTTCTGGCAGGGAGGGAAGACCCTCCCAGCCAGAACTCACCATGTCCAGCTGCCTCGTTGTTCCTCTCTCCTTCCCACTGGAGTATAATTTCAGGAAGGAAGCGGCTCCGCCTTGAGTATTGGCTCCACAACCTCCAGGCTGTGTGGCGTTGGACAAATGACTGAACTTCTCTGAGCCTTAGCTTATCAAGTGTAAAGTGGAGCTAATTATACATCTGCTTTGTGAGTCTGAAAAAGTTTACATGATAAAAGGGTATGAAGGTCTGAAAGGGCTTAGTGAGCACAGTGCCTGGCACCTCTGAAGTGCACAGGACCAAGTGGCAAATACTTCTCACTGCATCCTGAGGGGTCGTTCCCAGACCCTGAGATCCCACCCAGCCACAGCCAAGTCACCTTCTGGGTTGTCTTACTTAGCCATGGGATTGTCCCTGTTCCCCTGTCCCCTCCCTAGTCCGGGTTCTGGCCTCAAGAAAGAAGGCCCTAGGGGTAAAGGAGTTGGAGGAGGGGGGCTTGGCAGCACCACCATCACCACTGTCATCATCCTCATTGAAACTCTTCTACCTGCAAGATCAGAGCCTCGTGCTTTTGGCCTTATAGTTTAGCCTTCTTACTACAGATAGGGAAACTGAGGCCCACAGTGGGGAAGGACTTGCTCAGGGTCACGTAGCAAATTGGTGGTGGAGCAGGAACTAGCTCTCAGTCCTCCACATTCCCGGTTGGTTTCCCCTGTCTCTTCTTGATGACTGCCCACCTCAAGTCCTCCCCTGGTGTGCCTAGGGTGTGGGGCCTGGCACCCAGTCCTGCCTGGCAGAGCCTGGAGAGAAGTGAGCCGCGGTTGGTGGAGTAGTCGCAGCGGCCCGGCGCGTTCTCAGCCCGGCTCTTTGTCTGCTGCTTTGTGATGGTAAGTGCTGCTCCTAAATCAGTTCTGTGACACTGTTATTGTTGCCCAGGGCGCAAAGAGTCTAAACTTTTCCCCTGAGGTCAAGAATGTGGCTGGTCCCCAAGCCGCCCAGAGCAGAGGCCTGGGTGGCTGGGGGTGGGGATGGGGCCTCGCCCCGAGCTGGGGCGAGATGTTGGGGGGAGGGGGTCAGCGGGAACAAAACGCTTTGAAATGCCTCCTCTCCATCACTGCCAACATTGTCCGCTGCCCGCGGGGGGCCTGGCACCGCCTCGCCGGGGCTCCGGCCCCCAGCCCTGGCCAGGCGCGGCCCGACATCTGAAAATGGACAGAAGGTTATTGTCCCTTCCCGCAGCCCTTTGTCTGCCCCAGTTCCAGATGTCTAGGCTGGGACCAGGGAACTGACCCATGGTGGGCAGGGGGGAGAGGACAAAAAGGGAGAGCACGGGTCACTGCATCCTGAGGGGTCGTTCCCAGACCCTGAGATCCCACCCAGCCACAGCCAAGTCACCTTCTGGGTTGTCTTAGCCCTGAGATTGTCCCTGTTCCCCTGTCCCCTCCCTACTCCAGGTTCTGGCCTCGAGAGAGAAGGCCCTAGGGGTACAGGAGTCAGAGCAGGGGACCTTGGCAGACTCACGGACGGGGCTGAATCCAGCTCCACCCGGTAACTGTGTGATCTTGGACAGGTGTGGCCCTCTCCCAGCCTGCTTTCCCCATGTGGGGACCACGGACCAGGTTCATTCACAGGTAATGATGGAGCCCTCCTACGTACCAGCTCTGAGCTGAGCATGGGGGCACGCGGTGGTGCATGGGCCACTTGGATCCTGCCCTTGACCATTGTGGTTAAATAGAAGAGTAACAGGCAGCATTTCCCACCCACTACCTCTGGGTCAGGTCCTGGGCTAATCACTTCATCTGCGTCATCTCATCCTTTCCATAACAAAATCAAAGATGCAGAGGCGTTTTTCCTGTCTCCATTTTGCAGCTTTGGAGACTGCTAGACTCTTGAGAGGTCCAGTCACTTGCCCAAAGCCAGGCAGTCTGGAGGCAGCAGAGCTGGGATTCTAGCCCAGGCCGACCGTAGCCACCAGGAGGAGTAATTCGCTAATAAATACTTGGAAAGAATCGAGCACAGAACCTGACACAGCTCCAGACTCAGAACTGGTGGTGTTTACTCCATGCATAGAGTGTCCCCATTCCACAGGTGGGGCGACTGAGGACAGGGAGAGAAAGCCTGGGGCAAAAAGCTCCAGGGAACTTAAACAGTAACACCAACAGCAGTTCCAGAGTCACCAGGGCTGGCCAGAGTGAGACAGGCAGACTTGGTTTCAAACCCCAAACCCCAACTCTGGATGAGCTTGGCAAGTGATTTATTTAGATTCTCCGTGCCTCAGTTTCAAGGTTTCCTCTTCTGTAAAATAAAAATATTCCCAACTGGCCAGGCATGGTGGCTCACACCTATAATCCCAGCATTTTGGGAGGCCAAGGCGGGCAGATCACTTGAGGTCAGGAGTTCAAAACCAGCCTGGTCAACATGGTGAAACCTCATCTCTACTAAAAATACAAAAATTAGCTGGGCCTGGTGGCACGTGCCTGTCATCCCAGCTACTTGGGAAACTGAGGCAGGAGAATTGCTTGAACCAGGGAGGTAGAGGTTGCACTGAGTTAAGATAGTACCACTGCACTCTAGCCTAGGCGGCAGAGCAAGAATCCATCTCAAAAAAAAATTAAAAAAAAAAGATTTCCTGACTTCACAGGGTTGTCGTGAAAATCAAGTTATATAATACATTTAAAGCACTTAGCAGGCTGGGCACGGTGGCTCATGCCTGTAATCTGAGCACTTTGGGAGGCCAAGGCAGGTGGATCACCTGAGGTCAGGAATTGGAGACCAGCCTGACCAACATGGTGAAACCCCATCTCTACTAAAAATACAAAAATCAACTGGGCATGGTGGCGGGTAATCCCAGATACTTGGGAGGCTGAGGCAGGAGAATCGCTTGAACCCAGGAGGCAGAGGCTGCAGTGAGCTGAGATCGAGCCATTGCACTCCAGCCTGGGCGACACAGTGAGACTCCATCGCCCACCGCAAAAAAAAGCACTTAGCAGATGCCTGGTACACAGCAAACGGTTAATGATAGCTATGATTATTATTCTGAATAAGGTTAACATTTATCCCTTTGAGCCTCCTGCTGGGTTCACCTGAGGACAAGGCTCTGTGGAGTGGGGCGGGGGTTAGGAGTTGTTGAGGGGGGTGGGGATAGCAAAACTTGGTCTTCTTGGGGTCCCTAGAAGTCCCGAGATGGGCTAGTTCTGTGGGTCAGGGGGAAGCAGAAGGTATCAGGGCTGAGAGAGGGAAGGGGCTGCCTGGGCCCAGAGGAGTTAACAGCTCCCAGGACCTGGCTCAACAGGGCTGCCACGCTGCAGCCACAGCAACGATTTTAGCGGAGGAGCCAGGACTGCTTCCTGATGGGCAAAACAGCTGGCTGCCCAGAGAAAACAGCTGGCCTGGTCCCAGCCTCCTGAGAACAGAGGCAGAGCCTCAGAGGAGGACAGCTGCACATCTGGGATCCTGGGAGAGGAGGGCATGGCCAAAAGGGAGAGAGAGGGTGGTCCGTGGAAGTGTGTGTGGGTGTTGGGTGGACCCCCAGAATGGGGGGAGCTGAGGGCAGATTCCTCGAGCAGAGACCAGGGTGCGCTAAGTCTAAGCAGAATGGGCAGAGATGCCTCCAGCTGGGCTTTGAGGGTGTCAGTCTTCCCTCAAATAGGAAAGATGAGGGGCAGGGGAGGATATTGGGGACAAGCCTCTGCTCAGCCCTGGGTCCTCTTGGAACCGGGCTTGGAGCCGGAGGTGGGGAGGGTGTCCAAGCTGAGCTCCTGGATTCCCATCTGCCGAACTGCACCCAGAACCAGGAGTGGGGTGCGGGCCCATCCTCTGGCCAGGATCCTGGGCTCCCTTGGCCACAAAGCAGGACAGGGGACCAGAGATCCCCCAACTCAGGAGACGTGAAGCTGGCAGCTGGTAAGAGCATGCAAGCATCCTCTCTGCTTTGGGTCCCCATTTCAAGCCTGTTTGACTGCCAGGCCATGAGGACTCCCAATCCGGGGGCCCTACCTGGGCCCTGGGGCACCCCCAGGCTGCCCCTACCCATTGGCAAGGAAGCAGCTCCTGGGACCTCAAATGAGGTGGGGCAGGGTACGCAGAGGGTTAATGGGGGTGTGGCCAGAGTCCACTGGACCAGAGCAGCCTACCCGGGTTCCTGACCCCCAACTCCCAGTGGCCTGATACCCCTAGTTTCTCTTTGACCCAAAGGGGCTCTTGTAGCCCACCTCCCTAACATCTAGGAGTAGGGGTTGGCCCCCAGTTTGAGTCTGCCAGCCTCAGCTCCCCTCTCCCTGGTGGAGCCATGCTACAAAGTCTTTGCCAGGGGCAGGCAGGCCTTGGAACTGAGGCTCCCAGCGGGACGAAGGCGCTGGGGAGGGGGACGGTTCTTGCAGGGTCTCTACTCCAGGAAGCCAGAGTCAAGCCTGAGGCGCTGGCGCCATCACCTGGATTTGGTCAGAACTACAATGGCTGAAGTGGGTGAGGATGCTGCAGGCAGAAACCGGCAGCCCCACCAGGTGTCAACCCCATAGGATCCGGATCGTGCTCAGCCAGATGGGTCCGAGCAATCATTTTTTTCCAGGCATGACCCAGCTAATGAGGTCTTAGGCTCCACAGGACAGCACTTTTTTTTTTTTTTTTTTTTTTGAGACGGAATTTTGCTCTTGTTGCCCAGGCTGGAGTGCAATGGCGAGATCTCGGCATACAGCAACCTCTGTCTCCCAGGTTCAAGCGATTCTCCTGCCTCAGCCTCCCGAGTAGCTGGGATTACAGACACCCGCCATCACGCCCGGCTAATTTTGTATTTTTTAGTAGAGACAGAGTTTCTCCATGTTGGCCAGGCTGGTCCCAACCTCAGGTGATCCACCCGCCCCAGCATCCCAAAGTGCTGGAATTACAGGCGTGAGCCACCGCACCCGGGCTTTTTTTTTTTTTTTTTTTTGATGGAGTCTTGCTCTGTAGCCCAGGCTGGAGTGCAGTGGTGCGATCTTGGCTCACTGCAACCTCCGCCTGCTGGTTCCCAGTCCAAGAAATTCTCCTGCCTCAGCCTCCCAGGTAGCTGGGATTAGAGGCACGTGCCATCATGTCCAGCTAATTTTTGTATTTTTAGTAGGGATTACATGTCTGTAATCCCTGCACTTTGGGAGGCCGAGGTGGGTGGATCACGAGGTCAGAAGTTCAAGACCAGCCTGGCCAAGATGGTGAAACCCTGTCTCTAGTAAAAATACAAAAATTAGCCGGGCATGGTGGCGAGCGCCTGTAATCCCAACTACTCGGGAGGCTGAGGCAGGAGAATCCCTTGAACCTGGGAGGCGGAGGTTGCAGTGAGCCAAGACCATGCCGTTGCACTCCAGCCTGAGTGACAGAGTGGGACTACATCTCAAAAAAAAAAAAAAGAAAAGAAGAGAAAAGAAAAAAAGAAAATCCAAAACCCTGCCATATGGCTGGGCGCAGTGGCTCATGCCTGTAATCCCAGCACTTTGGGAGGCTGAGGTGGGCGGATCACCTGAGGTCAGGAATTTGAGACCAGGGTGGTCAACATTGGCAAAAGCCCGTCTCTACTAAAAATACAAAAGTTAGTCGGGCGTGGTGGCAGTTGCCTGTAATCCCAGCTGCTCGGGAGGCTGAGGCAGGAGAATCGCTTGAACCCAGGAGGCAGAGGTTGCAGTGAGCCGAGATCGCACCATTGCACTCCAGCCCGGGTGACAGAGCGAGACTCCTTCTCAAACACAAAACCAAAACCAAAACCCTGCCATAGTTTCAAGGCACTGGGTGACCTGGCCGTTCCTACCTATTTAACCTCACGTCTTACCATATCCTCTTGCTCACTTTGCTCCAATCACACTGGCCGCCTTTCGTGTTCCCACCCCGGGCCTTTGCTCTACCTGTTCCTGCATCTGGAACACTCTTCCCTCAGATCTCCCCTTGATTAACTCTTCCTTTTGTTCCAAAATGTCTTCCCTGAACCCTCTGTCTGAATGTTGCTCGACTCCCAACTACTCTCAGTTCTCTCTCTCTCTTTTTATTTATTTATTATTTTTGAGCCAGTGTCTGCTCTGTTGCCCCGGCTGGAGTGCAGTGGTGCAATCTCAGCTCACTGCAACCTCCGCTTGCCGGGCTCAAGTGATTCTCCCACCTCAACCTCCTGAGTAGCTGGGACTACAGGTGTGCACCACCATGCTCGGCTGATTTTTGTACTTTTTGTAGAGGCAGGGTTTCACCATGTTGGCCAGGCTGGTCTCGAACTCCTGAGCTCAAGCAATATGCCTGGCTTGGCTTCCCAAAGTGCTGGGATTACAGGTGTGAGCCACTGCCTTCAGCCTACTCTCAGTTCTTGATCATGTGTTTCAATTTGTTCATGGCATTTACCATTCCTTGAAATGATCTCTTCATTGATTGTTTTGCTTGTTTCCTGTTTCTTCTCACCAAAATGTAAGGAGCCTAGGAGCAGAGACTGCTTCTGTTTTGTGCACCTCTGTATTCCCAGCCCCTAGCGTTCCACCTGCACATAGCATGTGCTCGGGAAATAGTTGCTGAATGAATGGGATCATACAGAATGACCTGTAGGGATATGTCTCCCAGACATGGCATCAGGGAAATCTTTGCAGAGAGAGGAAGTTTTGGCTGAGACTATAGGACCCACAGTATAGAAGCTGCCCAGGAAGGGAAAGACCAATCCAGGCAGCGGGACCAAGGGAAAAAATAGAAAAGGATGTGGGAAGGTCCAAAAGCATGGAGTATTCTGGAAACTGTAAATTGTGCAATTTGGCTGGAGCATAAGGTCGGGTCAGGGGGAGGGCTTGCAGACCAGAGGAGGTGGAGAAGATGCAGGCAGGCCATGAAGGGCCTTGTTGCCCCTTGAGGGGTTGAGCTCTGTGCTCAGCGGTGGCAGCTCTGAAGGGAGTTATTGTCAGGCATTTTAGAAAGGCGTGCTGGCCGGACTCAGTAGCTCACACCCGTAATCCCAGCACTTTGGGAGGCCAAGGTGGGAGGATCACTTAAGTCTAGGAGTTCAAGACCAGCCTGGGCAGCATAGTGAGATCCCCGTCTATACAAAGTAAGTAAATAAATAAATATTAGGTATGCACCTGTAGTCCCAACTACTCAGGAGGCTGAGACGGGAGGATGGCTTGAGTCCAGGAGTTCGAGGCTGCAGTGAGCAATGATCATGCTACTGCACTCCAGCCTGGATACAGGTATGAGGAGGAAGTGTCCACTCGGGGGAGTGGTTGGAGGACTCTGGTCTCTGCAGGATCCACCTTGATGTGTGTCAAGCAGAGAATGGAAGGAAGTGAAGAGACAGGGAACAAGGTTCACATTCACCATTCAAGAGGCTTGGAGGAGTTATGGCCACAGCTAGAGGCCACAGGGGTGCCTTGGTGCTTTCTTATCTTTGGTTGTGGGAGATCCAAGTCCTTTGATATGTGGAAGGAAGGGCCTAGAAGAGAGGGAGGATGGGGATCCAGGAAGGGAGAGGGGACCAGGTGTAACCACCCAATGGGTTCACCTTGCTTGCTGCCTAGACAGAACCGATTTATCAAGACAGGGGAGGCTGGGCGCGGTGGCTCACGCCTGTAATCCCAGCACTTTGGGAGGCCGAGGCGGGCGGATCACGAGGTCAGGAGATCGAGACGACGGTGAAACCCCGTCTCTACTAATAATACAAAAAGTTAGCCGGGCGTAGTGGCGGGCGCCTGTAGTCCCAGCTACTCATGAGGCTGAGGCAGGAGAATGGTGTGAACCCGGGAGGCGGAGCTTGCAGTGAGCCGAGATCACGCCACTGCACTCCAGCCTGGGTGACAGAGCGAGACTCCGTCTCAAAAAAAAAAAAAAAAAAAAAAAAGACAGGGGAATTACAAAGGAGAAAGAGTAATTCACACAGAGCCGGCTGTGCGGGAGACCGGAGTTTTATTATTACTTAAATCGGTTCTCCCCAGTCATGTGGGGATCAGAGTTCTTAAATATAATTTGGCAGGTAGGGGCTTGGAAAGTGGAAAATGCTGATTGGTCAGATTGGAGATGGAATCATAGGAGGTGGAAGTTAGGTATTCTTAATGTCTTCTGTTCCTGGGTGCGATGGTAGAACTGGTTGGGCCAGATTACTGGTCTGGCTGGTGTCAGCTGATCCATCGGGTGCAGGGTCTGCAGAATATCTCAAGCACTGACTTTAGGTTTTACAATAGTGATGTTACCCCAGGAGCAATTTGGGGAGGACCCAAAGGCTGCATGACCCCTAAATTGTAATTTCTAATCTTATAGCTACTTTGCCAGTCCTGCAAAGGCAGACTGGACCCCAGGCAAGAAGAAGGGTCTTTTTGGGAAAGGGCTGTTATAAATTTTGTTTCAGAGTCAAACCATGAACTGAATTCCTTCCCAAAGTTAGTTCAGCCTACGCCCAGGAGTGAACAAGGACAGCTTAAGGGTTAGAAGCAAGACAGAATCAGTTAGGTCTGATTTGTTCCGCTGTCATAATTTCCTGAGTTACAAATTTGCAAAGGCGGTTTCACAGGGGCCGTTCTGTTGAGGAGGGGTGTGCCTCCTGAGGCTGGCTGAGGGCAGAGGTGGAAGGTTTGGAGGCTAGAAATGAGAGTTCCCAGGTAATGGCTTCTATTTTCTCCAAAAAGTAGTAGAGAGATCTTTGCTGGGGGAGAGGGGCGGTGGAATGGGGGCTTGAGAAGACTGGAGGCTTTGTTTTGTTTTGTTTTGTTTTGTTTTGTTGAGACAGAATCTCACTCTGTCACCCAGGCTGTAGTGCAGTGGCGTGATCTCAGGTCACTGCAACTCCCACCTCCTAGGTTCAAGTGATTCTTCTGCCTCAGAATCCCAAGTGGCTGGGGCTACAGGCATGTGCCACCACACCTGGCTAATTTTTTTTTGTATTATTACTATTTTTTTTTTTTTGAGACGGAGTTTCGCCTTTGTTGCCCAGGCTGGAATGCAATGGCGCGATCTCGGCTCACTGCAACCTCTGCCCCCCTGGGTTCAAGTGATTCTCCTGCCTCAGCCTCCTGAGTAGCTGGGATTACAGACACACGCCACCATGCCCAGCTAATTTTGTGTTTTTAGTACAGACGGGGTTTCTTCATGTTGGTCAGGCTGGTCTTGAGCTGCCGACCTCAGGTGATCCACTTGCCTCAGCCTCCCAAAGTGCTGGGATTACAGGTGTGAGCCACTGCCCCGGCCTTTTTTTGTATTTTTAATAGAGACAGGGTTTCACTGTGTTTCCTAGGCTGGTCTCGAACTCCTGGCCTCAAGTGATCTGCCCACCTCAGCCTCCCGAAGTCCTGGGATTACAGGCATGAGCCACCGTGCCTCAATGACTAGAAGCATTTGAAATGCCCTGAGGGGAGTGGGCAGGGGACACAGGGAAACAGGATTCTTGGGCTGGGTGAGAGCCCAAGTGAGGGTAGAGACCCTGAGTTTGCAGTTGCCCCAACCTGCCCCAAAACAAGATGGCTATTGGGTTTTCCAGGCAGGTGTGATGGGAAAACTCTGAGGCAAGAAAGTTAGTAACAGGCTGGACTCCTGGGGAGGGTGGGAGGACTTGGGGGAAGAGGAGGACTTGAGGCCAGGGAAGAATCAGGAAGCCCCCTGTCTTAGTCCGTTTGGGCTGCTATAACAACATATCTTAGACTGCATAATGTATAAACAACAGAAATTTATCAGCCGGGTGCAGTGGCTCACACCTGTAATCCCAGCATTTTGGGAGGCTGAGGCAGCTGGATCACCTGAGGTCAGGAATTCGAGACCAGCCTGACCAACGTAGTGAAAACCCATCTCTACTAAAAATACAAAAAATTAGCCAAGCATAGTGGTGTGTGGCTGTAATCCCAGCTACTCAGGAGACTGAAGCAGGAGAATTGCTTGAACCACCCCCCAACCCCTGGCCAAAAAAAAAAAAGAAATTTATTGCTAATAGTTCTGGGGGGTTGGGAGGTCCAAGGTCAAGGCGTCAGCAGATTTGGTGTCTGGTAAGGGCCCGTTCCTCATACCTGGGGCCTTCTAGCTGTGTCTTCATGTGGCAGAAGGGGTTGACAAGCTCCCCAGGCCTCTTTTTTCTTTTTGAGACGGAGTCTCGCTCTGTTGCCAGGCTAGAGTACAGTGGCATGATCTTGGCTCACTGCAACCTCTGCCTCCTGGGTTCAAGCGATTCTCTTGCCTCAGCCTCCTGAGTAGCTGGGACTACAGGCACGCGACACCACACCCAGCTGATTTTTGTATTTTTAGTAAAGATGGGGTTTCACTATGTTGGCCAGGATGGTCTTGATCTCTTGACCTCATGATCCACCCCCCTCAGCCTCCCAAAGTGTTGGGATTACAGGCGTGAGCCACCGCATCCGGCCCCCAGGCCTCTTTTATAAGGGCACTAGCCGCATTCAGGTGGGGCAGCCCACCCAATCAACTCCCAAAGGCCCCGCCTGTTTTTTTTTTTGTTTTTTGTTTTTTGTTTTTTTTTTTTTGAGACAGAAGTCTCGCTCCGTCGCCCAGGCTGGAGTGCAGTGGCGCGATCTCGGCTCGCTACAAGCTCCGCCTCCTGGGTTCACGCCATTCTCCTGCCTCAGCCTCCTGAGTAGCTGGGACTACAGGCGCCCGCCACCACGCCCGGCTATTTTTTTCTATTTTTTAGTAGAGACAGGGTTTCGCCGTGTTAGCCAGGATGGTCTTGATCTCCTGACCTCGTGATCCGCCCGCCTCCGCCTCCCAAAGTGCTGGGATTACAAGCGCGAGCCACCGCGCCGTGCCGGCCCCGCTTCTTAATACCCTGACATTAACATTAGGTTTTCAACATGTGAGTTTTGAGGGTCACGGACATTCTGACCATAGCACCCTTGGACCAATAGGACAGGCAGAGGCTGTGGAATGACTCTGGGGTGGGTGAAGTAGGGAACACTGCTTTGCTTTAGAAAGGGAATCCCTCTTCTGGGGCTGGGAGTGGCTTCCCGCAGGGGACTACCGTGCAAGGGAGAAGAAATCTGGCATCTCTCCAGAATGCTTCTCATTGCAGGGCCGCTGGCCTAGAAATGGCCTCAAATGGAAGCTGCCACCCGATCCTGGTGGAGGCTTTGAGCTAGGCTAGAGATCAGGACTCCAGGGTTCAGTGCGCACGTGCTGCCCCTGCACTAGGTAAGTTCCTTCCTCTATGGACCTTCAGCCCTCCCCTTGCAGTGGAGATAGTGTGCACAGCCCTGGCTCCCCTCCCTGACCCTGGGAAAAGGCTGAAGGGAGACCCCGTGCTGTTCCTAGGAAAGGAGATCTTCCCAGCGGTGGGAGGGTGAAGGGGGAGCCTCCCTCTCCTCCAGTCCTGTCTTCCCAGCCCCAGGGCGGAGCTCTTCCTGTGTGTAAGCCTCCACGCGGGAAAAGCTGCCAGTGCATTCATTCTCTCGAGGAATCCCTGCAAACCCTCCCAGATGGGTGGCGTTATCAGCCCGATTTTACCCGAGAGGCTCCTGAGGGAAAGGGACCTGTCTGAGGTTGGTGACAGACACCCAGTTCGATCCCATCTGTGGTGCCGCCAGGCCGCTCCCTTTTCTGCTCCTCTCCCGAGAGGCTGCAGAGTTCTTTCCCTCCCAGCAGGGTCCTAAGGACCCCGGCGGTGCTCCAGGGGAGCCAACATCCCCTGCTTTGGAGGACGGACGGGTCGGGTCGCAGTGAGCAGCTCCGTGGTGTCCCCTAGTTCTACACTCAGACCAAGAGAGGGCTGTGAGGGCTGTGCTCTTTTTTTTTTTTTCTTTTTGAGACGGAGTCTCGGTCTGTCATCCAGGCTGTAGTGCAGTGGCGCGATCTCGGCTCACTGCAACCTCCGCCTCCCGGGTTCAAGCGATTCTCCTGCCTCAGCCTCCCAAGTAGCTGGGAGTACAGGCACCCGCCACGACGCCCGGCTAATTTTTGTATTTTTAGTACAGATGGGATTTCACCATCTTGGCCAGGCTGGTCTTGAACTGATCTCAGGTGATCCTCCCGCCTCGGTCTCCCAAAGTGCCGGGATTACAGGCGTGAGCTACCACGCCCGGCCTGGCTGTGCTCTCTTAAAGGGCCGAAGCAATGCGGGTGCTGGCGACCGACGCAAGGAGGTGACGCACAGGGGACTTAAGGAGCGGACCGCCGCGGGAGGACGCGCCCAGCTCAGGGGGACTCCCTCTGCGCCCCCCACGCTGGGTCTCCGGCCCACGCGTGGCCCGGCTGGTCTGCGGAGCTAGCGCCAGGGCCGCCAGAGGGCGCCCGGGGCGGAGGATGGGGCGGGAGCCGGGGAAGCCCGGGAGGTGGTGGCCGAGTGGGCGCCGCCCCTCTGGGTCTGCGGCTCAGGTCGAAGAGTCGGCTGCGTGGGCCGGGGAATCCGGATTCCGGGGGTTCAACGCCCAGGGGTTCCATGAGCCCCTACTGTTCTCGGACGCCCGGCCGGCCCCGACGCACTCGTCCTAGCACCCCTCCCCTGTCCGGTCCTCCGGCCCCTCCGCCGTCGCCCCTCCGGGGTCCAGCCGGGCGGGGCTGCTCCAGGGTCGCGGCTGGCGCGGGTCCCCGGGCCCTGGCCCTCCGGTGCCCCGGGCCAAGGAGAGAAAACTTGAGCATCCACGCACAGGGGTGGGGAGCAGGATCCCACTCTGAGGGTGCACTGCCCCGCCCTCTCCGGGTCTGCCTCGGCCCCGCCCGGGCCCCAGGCCCCGCCCCCTCCCCTCGGCCGGCCCGAGAGCTCCGGGGGCCGCTGCAGCCGCCCAAGCGCCCGCCATGCGCGCTGCCCGCGCCGCGCCGCTGCTCCAGCTGCTGCTCCTGCTGGGGCCGTGGCTGGAGGCTGCGGGCGTTGCGGAGTCGCCGCTGCCCGCCGTGGTCCTTGCCATCCTGGCCCGCAATGCCGAACACTCGCTGCCCCACTACCTGGGCGCTCTGGAGCGGCTGGACTACCCCCGGGCCAGGATGGCCCTCTGGTGAGAGACCCGGGCATTGGCACCGAGTGGGCACCTAACCCCCAGCTTCGCAGATGGCCCCCGCCCCCGGCGGCCCTGTCTGCTCGCTCCCTGCCCAGACACCACCTAGACAGGCCCCTCCCCTCACAGACGGCCCTGCCAGCCCGAGCCGCCAGAGAGGACCCCGAGCCCCCTGCTGGGAGACGACAGACCTCTGAGGCCACAGGCCGACGCGGGACACCCACCCCTCCTTCTGGTCCCCTACTCCTTCCTCTTGGGGCCTTCCCTGGGTGTAGGTTGGGCCCAGCCAGCCCTTTTCACCCCAGCCTTCAGGGCCCAGCTCAACCCCAGTGGGACCTGTGGTTGGCTGGATTTGAAGAGGAGCAGACAGGAACCTCTGAAGTCCACTGGGGCCCAACGTGGCAGGGATCGACCACGCTGGAGGCTTCCGGGCACAGGTTGGGGGTGCCATCAGCACTGGGCTCCGGGCTGTGCAGGGGAGTCAGACCGGCCCCCCCACCGCCCCCGTGCTGGGGCCAGCTCTCTTGGTAGATCTTGGTAGAGGGGCGGGATCCTGTCAGCCAAGGGCAGTCCCCCTTCCTGGAGCCTCTCCCCTCTGGCATCTCTGTACCCCCAGGGCACTGGGATCGAAGGCCACAACCCCTGGTCTGTAGACACCAGAACAGGGAGGAGTCCCTGGCTGAGGTTGGGGGTAAACTGAGAAAAATGACAAGCCACCCTCTTCAACACACCACAGTTGGGCTGGGGGGGTGGAGCCCTGGCCTGGGGAGGCCGCCCACAATTACCACAGTTTGGGAGTTTGTTAGTTCCCACCCCTGTAAGACTTGACACGTAGTCTTCATTTCTGGGGAATTGGCTTAAAGGGGCAGCATCACCCAAAACCTGGGCACTTGGCTAAACCCCCACCTCTGTTATGGGGGCCCCTTCCCCAGGAGAGGGGAGGCTGTGCCCCATGACAGCAGAGCTTGGACCCATCTGCATTCTTAGGGACGCTTAGAGCATGGTTTGGTCCTTATTACAACCTGGGGGTGGAGGAAAGCAGCAGCTCTTCTGTCTAGTCCCCATTCAGAGAGGGACAGGGGCTGGCCTGTGGTCACACAGCCACAGGTCACATAGGTAGGTATCTGCCCACCTAACGAAGGTAACCAGGGAATGCACCAGGTGTGATCCTTAAAGTCGAGGTACTTTTCATCTTTCAAAATGCATTCGTTGGCCAGGTGTGGTGGCTCACGCCTGTAATTTCAGCACTTTGGGAGGCCGAAGTGGGCAGATCACCTGAGGTGAGGAGTTCAAGACCAGCCTGGCTAACATGGTGAAACCCCATCTCTACTAAACAAACAAAAATTAGCCGGGCATGGTGGTGCACACCTGTAATCCCAGGTACTCAGGAGGCTGAGGCAGGAGAATCACTTGAACCCGGGAGGCGGAGGTTGCAGTGAGTCGAGATCATACCACTGCACTACAGCCTGGGCGACAGAGCAAGATTCCATCTCAAAAAAAATGCATTATTCTTCTCTTATCTTTGTCCATGACATAAGCAGGACAGCTTAAGTTATAGAGGGAGGACGTGAAGCCCAGAGAAAGATGGGACTTGCCTGAGGTCACACAGCAGGTCACAGAACTGTGGTGGGGACCTGGCTGTGCTGCCTCCAGCCTCTCTGCTGTAGCACACCTACCCTTCACTGTTCCAAGGAGAGCTCGACCTCAAAGGTGTTAGTGCTTTGGGGTCAAGGCTGCCTTGGGGTTCAATCCTGTGGCTGTGCCCCCTCAGCCTTTTTTCTTCCCGTCCCCAGGTGTGCCACGGACCACAATGTGGACAACACCACAGAGATGCTGCAGGAGTGGCTGGCGGCTGTGGGCGATGACTATGCTGCTGTGGTCTGGAGGCCTGAGGGCGAGCCCAGGTGGTGATCTGAGGGGAAGGGTGCTGGGGAAGATGGAGAACAGCTGCAGCCCAGAGAGGAAAAGGGACAGCCCAGAGCCACAGCCTCCAAGCCAGGGCTCTGTCCACTGCCCTGCAGAGAGGGAGGGGCATGTACCCCATGGGAACATCTCACCTCTATCCCCTCAGGTTCTACCCAGATGAAGAGGGTCCCAAGCACTGGACCAAAGAAAGGCACCAGTTTCTGATGGAGCTGAAGCAGGAAGCCCTCACCTTTGCCAGGAACTGGGGGGCCGACTATATCCTGGTGAGGAAGTCTGGCTAGAATCGGGCTTCTGAAAGGCGGTAGTATCCGTCCCTGATAGAAATCTGGGTATAGGCTGGGTGCAGTGGCTCACGCCTATAATCCTAGCACTTTGGGAGGCCAAGGCAGGTGGATCACCTGAGGTCAGAAGTTCGAGACCAGCCTGGCCAACATGGTGATACCCCATCTCTACTAAAAATACAATAATTAGCTGGGCGTGGTCGCAGGCGCCTGTAATTCCAGCTGCTTGGGAGGCTGAGGCATGAGAATGGCATGAACCTGGGAGGTAGAGGTTGCACTGAGCTGAAATCATGCCACTGCATTCCAGCCTGGGTGACAAGAGTGAAACTCAGTCTCAAAAAAAAAAAAAAAAGAAAAAGAAATCTGAATGTGACTGACCCACCCGAAGGCTGGATCCTTCGGCAGGCTATCTGGGCCAGAGCCCAGACCAGATGTTCAGATTGGATCCCTATGTTAAAAGCTCAGACTAGGTACTAAGCCTGGACCCCTCAGATAGATCCCGTTGTATACACTTTACTGAGCCTCGATTTCTGGGCTAGAGCCCAGGGTATAAATTGAGCCTGGATCTCTGAACTAGAGCTCAGAGTAGGTGTTTGGATCCATTTTCTAAGCCAGATCCCAGATAAAGGTCTTAGATCAGTAACTCAGGTATAATCTCTGGACCCAGTCCCTGAGTCAGTGCCCCAGACTAGAGCCTTGGTCCAGAAACAGATGTACTGAGTTTGTGAGACCTCTGTAAGAGCATTCCCACTGGATCCTAGGAGCCACGCTGGGTCTCTGGCAGGACCACTCAGTGAACTCCTTGGGGGGCTGCAGCCCAGGCAGGGCTGGAGCCTGTGACGTCCCCTCCTCAAAGTTTGCAGACACAGACAACATTCTGACCAACAATCAGACTCTGCGGCTTCTCATGGGGCAGGGGCTTCCAGTGGTGGCCCCAATGCTGGACTCCCAGACCTACTACTCCAACTTCTGGTGTGGGATCACCCCCCAGGTGAGGCCGGGATGGGGGCCTTGGGTGGACTGAGGTCCTGGAAGGAGGGACGTGGAGAGCAGAGAGCCTGAGGCCTTGGGGTCTGTGGGCAGGGGCAGGGGAGCCCTCTCACAGCCCAAAGCATCCCTTTTCCCCAGGGCTACTACCGCCGCACAGCCGAGTACTTCCCCACCAAGAACCGCCAGCGCCGGGGCTGCTTCCGTGTCCCCATGGTCCACTCCACCTTCCTTGCATCCCTGCGGGCTGAAGGGGCAGACCAGCTTGCTTTCTACCCGCCACATCCCAACTACACTTGGCCTTTCGACGACATCATCGTCTTCGCCTATGCCTGCCAGGCTGCTGGTGAGGACCAGCCCTCCTTTAGCATTCCTTGGAGGCCTCTGCACATTTGCACATGCTATTCCAGCTGCTTACCATGCCCTTCCCTACTCTGCATTTCATCCTGTTAACCCATGAGTTACAACTTTGGGTCATGAGTTTTCTTTTCTCTCTCTTTTTTTTTTTTTTTGGTGTGATCTCGGCTCACTGCAAACTCTGCCTCCCGGGTTCAAATGATTTCCTGCCTCAGCTTCCCGAGTAGCTGGGATTACAGGCACCCGCCACCACACCCAGCTAATTTTTGTATTTTTAGTAGAGACGGGGTTTTGCCATGTTGGTCAGGCTGGTCTCAAAACTCCTGAGCTCAGGTGATCCACCCGCCTCGGCCTCCCAAAGTACTGGCATTACAGGTGTGAGCCACCCGCCCAGCCAGTGGTTACTTTTAAGATGAAAGGTTTTTTGTTGTTGTTGTTGTTGTTGTTTTTGGGACAGAGTCTCACTCTGTCGCCCAGGCTGGAGTGCAGTGGCCGATCTTGGCTCACTGCAAGCTCCGCCTCCCGGGTTCAAGCCATTCTCCTGCCTCAGCCTCCCGAGTAGCTGGGACTACAGGCGCCCACCACCACGCCCGGCTAATTTTTGTATTTGTAGTAGAGATGGGGTTTCACCGTGTTAACCAGGATGGTCTCGATCTCCTGACCTCGTGATCTGCCCGCCTCGGCCTCCCAAAGTGCTGGGATTACAGGCGTGAGCCACCGCGCCCAGCCAAGATGAAAGTTACTAGAAAGAGTTTGGGTATGGCCAGGCAAGGTGACTCAGACCCTAATCTCAAAGTCTTGGGAAGCTGAGGCTGGAGGGGAAATCACTTGAGCTCAGGAGTTCGAGACCAGCCTGGACAACATAGCAAGACCTCATCTCTTTTCTGCCCTTTTTTTTTTTTTGAGATGGAGTTTTGCTCTTGTTGCCCAGGCTGGAGTGCAATGGCGTGATCTTGGCTCACTGCAACCTCTGCCTTCCGGGTTCAAGCAGTTCTCCTGCCTCAGCCTCCCGAGTAGCTGGGATTACAGGCATGCACTGCCACGCCTGGGTAATTTTGTGTTTTTAGTAGAGACGGGGTTTCTCCGTGTTGGTCAGCCTCGTCTCGAACTCCTGACCTCAGGTGATCTGCCCGCCTCAGCCTCCCAAAGTGCTGAGATTACAGGCATGGGCCACTGAGCCCAGCCCAGCCTTTTTTTTTTTTTTTTTTTTTTGAGACGGAGTCTTGCTCTGTGGCTCCCAGGCTAGAGTGCAGTGGCACAATCTCAGCTCACTACAGTGTTGACCTCCCCCACCTCAGCCTCCCACGTAGCTGGGACCACAGGTGCACACCACCATGCCCAGCTAATTTTTGTATTTTTTGTAGAGATGGGGTTTTGCCGTGTTGCCCAGGCTGGTCTTGAACTCCTGGGCTCAAGTGATCTGCCCCCGCAGCCTCCCAAAGTGCTACAATTACAGGCGTGAGCCACCGCCCCCGGCTGCGAGATCCCATCTCTACAAAAAAATTTAAAAATTAACTTGGCGTGTTGGCCCACGCCTGTAGTCCCAGCTTCCTGGGAGGCTGAGGCAGGAGGATCGCTTGAGCCCAGGAGGTAGAGACTGCAGTAAACTGTGATCATGCCACTGTACTCCACCTTGGGCAACACAAGATGAGACCCTGTCTGAAAAAAAACAGAGAGTAAGAAAGTGTTTGGGTTTGGATGGAATAAATCCAGTCCTGGCCAGGTGCGGTGGCTCACGCCTGTAATCTAAGCACTTTGGGAGGCCGAGGCAGGTGGATCACGAGGTCAAGAGATTGAGACCATCTTAAGACGGTGAAACCCCGTCTCTACTAAAAATACGAAAAATTAGCCAGGCATGGTGGCGGGTGCCTATAGTCCCAGCTACTCGGGAGGCTGAGGCAGGAGAATGGTGTGAACGCAGGAGGCAGAGCTTGCAGTGAGCCGAGATCGCGCCACTGCACTCCAGCCTGGGCGACAGAGCGAGACTCTGTCTTAAAAAAAAAAAAAAATCCAGTCCTGAGGATGAGAGGGAGGGGTGGAGACACTGATGTTGGAGTGAAGCTCTTGAGAAGGCTGCAGAGAATATGTAATTCCGACCCTGAAGACTATCTGGTGCATGGAGAAGAACTTTGCAGGTGCTCAGGGTAAATTAGAGGTGACGATTTAATCAAGTAATCAGTGGCAGCCGGTAAGGAGGATGTTGTAATTCTTTGTTTTGTGCTGGAGAAGTCTGCAGTGTGCAGACATGCAAGAAGAAATCTTACCAAGTGCAAAAAGTGAGTGAAGGTGAAACAATTGGAGGGGAAAACACAAGAGGAAACAAAAGCATTCTGTTATTTTTAATTTGCTAGCCCTACTTCAAGCGACAGCCGTTGTTAATTGGTCAATGGTTTGAAGGAATTCAGTCTCTAACAGCCAGATACTACATCCCGGCTCTGGGCCAGGCTCTGTGCTCAATGCTGGGAATAGGGTTAGCTTTTATTTGTTTTTTGTTTGTTTTTTTTTAAGACAGAGCTTTGTTCTGTCGCCTAGGCTGGAGTGCAGTGGCGCGATTTTGGCTCACTGCAACCTCTGCCTCCCGGGTTCAAGTGATTCTCCTGCCTCAGCCTCCTAAGTAGATGGGATTACGGGCGGCCACCACCACAGCCGGTTAATTTTTGTATTTTTAGTAGAGATGGGGTTTCACCATGTTGGCCAGGCTGGTCTTGAACTCCTGACCTCAAATGATCTGCCTGCCTGGGCTTCCCAAAGTGCTGGGATTACAGGCGTGAGCTACTGTGCCCCGCCTAGGTTAGCTTTTTAATTGGCACTGTGTGCCTGCCCCTGAGGATAATTATAATAAAGGTAACAAATATTGGCCGGGTGCAGTGGCTCACGCCTGTAATCCCAGCACTTTGGATGGCCTAGGGTGGGTGGATCACTTCAGGCCAGGAGTTCGAGACCATCCTGGCCAACATGGCGAAACTCCGTCTCTACTAAAAATACAAAAATTAGCTGGATGTGGTGGTGCACACCTGTATTCCCAGCTACTCAGGAGGCTGAGGCAGGAGAATTGCTCAAACCTGGGAGACAGAGGTTGTAATGAGCCAAGATCGCACCATTGCACTCCAGCCTCGGTGACAGAGCAGGACTCCATCTCAAAAAAAAAAAAAAGGTAACAAATATTGAAGCCGGGGGAAGGCCACTCTGGCTGCCAGGTGAAAGACATCGTGGAGAGGAGCCCCAGAGGGTGTGAGGTGAAGTGGAGGGGTGTGGGGAAAAGGCGATGGCCCTTGGATCCAGGTGGGGTGGTGGGGATCAGGAGAGGTGGGGGGATTTAGGAGACAGAGCAGTGGGGCTCACTGGCACCCTGTGGCTGTGATGGGTAGGAGTTTGTCTGCTCCTGCCTCACCTTGATGCCCTGAGGGCAGGGACTCAGTCTTGCTCACTGCCGTAACCCTGGCTCCCAGCGGGTGCCCTGGACAGGTATATTGAATGAATGAACCATTTCAGTAGAAAGACCCCTTAGATATTGTGTGAGCCAAGCCCTTTCTCCCTCTGGTCCCACAGGTGGGGAAACTGAGTCCCAGAGAAGACTGACATGTTGGGTCACTGGCAGTGCTGGGCCTAGGACCTTTCAGCTGGGTTCTGAGAGCCCCACCCTCCACTGCAGCTCTCACTCAGCCTGTCTCTGCAGGGGTCTCCGTCCACGTGTGCAATGAGCACCGTTATGGGTACATGAATGTGCCGGTGAAATCCCACCAGGGGCTGGAAGACGAGAGGGTCAACTTCATCCACCTGATCTTAGAAGCACTAGGTGAGGGCTGGGGAACTGTTCCACCCACCTGCTGCCGGGGCTCCCTGCCTCCCCACGGTGCCCCTTTCCCTAGGCCCTGGACGGAGCGGGCATTGGCCTTGGGGTTCCAGCTTTGTCCCTAACTCGTTCCATGACTCTGAGAAAGTCCCTTTCCCTGTTGGGCCTTAGTCTAGCATCCCTACAATGGGGGCAGGTGGATCCTGTGATCTCTGAGGTCCCGTCCTGTGGGGTGTTCTGCCAAAGGGGGCAGGAATGAGGCTGGGGGCTAGGACTTCAGGGTGACTGCTAACAGGAGTCAGTAGGGACTCGTGCTTGGGGTGTGCTTCCCTTTGCAGTGGACGGCCCCCGCATGCAGGCCTCAGCTCATGTGACTCGGCCCTCTAAGAGGCCCAGCAAGATAGGGTTTGACGAGGTAAGTCCCCCAGCCTGTGGGCTCGCTGTTAGGAGGTGGATGGGCCCTCCTCTTCCGCTCCCTTGCACTTACCGCCCACCCCCCTGCCTCCTCCAGGTCTTTGTCATCAGCCTGGCTCGCAGGCCTGACCGTCGGGAACGCATGCTCGCCTCGCTCTGGGAGATGGAGATCTCTGGGAGGGTGGTGGACGCTGTGGATGGCTGGTGAGCCTGCCTGGTGGGGGGGGCCCTGTGCGCTTGGGGAAGCAGTGTGGTCCATCTCCTAGCCCGCTAGGACTGGGAAAAGCAGACAGGTTGAATGAGTTTCCTGTCCCATGTAGTATCCAAATAGGGTCTGAGTAATATCCTCTCAGGGAGTTCCGGAGCAGACACACGTGGGAGAAGATGCCCTCCTGCTGCTCACCAGAGGAGGAGAGCACAGTGGCTGAGGCTCCAGGGCCTGGGTTCCAGCTCTACCAGTTACTGAATGTGTGACCTCCAGCCAGCTACCCCCATCTCTCAGCCCGTTTGTATAAACAGCAGATAACTGTGCCCTTCTCTTAGGGTTTTGTGAGTTTAGTGAAGTTAGCCAGGGCCGGGCACATAGTTTCCAAAGGCTTAGGTGTCTCCCTTATTATTACTCTCCATCCTGGACTTGAGCTACTGATGCGTGGGGATTAGGAAAGGCCAGCCATGTTCCCCCGAGGAACCCAGAGGCTAGGCTTCTCCAGCCACCAGGGGTCCTATGGCCCCATATGTCGGCTGCCATTTGCTTCAAGTACTCAGCTCTTTTTATTTTTTTTTTAGAGACAGCGTCTCCGTCTGTTGCCCTCCGTCTGTTGCCCAGGCTGGAGTGCGGTGCCACAAACATGGCTCACTGCTGCCTTAAACTCCTGGGCTCAAGTAATCCTCCCACCTCAGCCTTCTGAGTAACTGGGACTATAGGTGTGCACTATCACATCCAGCTAATTAAAAAGAATTTTTTTTTTTTTTTGAGGCAGAGTCTCGCTCTGTCGCCCAGGCCTGGAGTGCAGTGGCGCAATCTTGGCTCACTGCAACATCCGCCTCCCAGGTTTTAAGTGATTCTCCTCCCTCACCTCCCAAGTAGCTGTGATTACAGGCTTGCATCACCACACCCGGATTAAAAAAAATGTTTTGTTTTGTTTTTTTTTCATAGAGATAGGGTCTCACTCTGTTGCCTAGGCTGGTCTTGAACTCCTGGCCTCAAGTGACCGTCCTGCCTCAGCCTCCTGAATAACGGACTACAGGCATGCACCACCATGTCCACCTAATGAAAAAAAATTTTTGACTGGGCACGGTGGCTCATGCCTGTAATCCCAGCACTCTGGGAGGTTATGGATGGATCACCTGAGGTCAGGAGTTCGAGACCAGCCTGGCCAACCAACATGGTGAAACCCCCTCTCTACTAAAAGTACAAAAATTAGCCAGGTGTGGTAGTGGGTGCCTGTAATCTCAGCTACTTGGGAGGCTGAGTCAGGAGAACTGCTGGAACCCAGGAGGCAGAGGTTGCAGTGAGCCGAGATTGTGCCATTGCACTCCAGCCTGGGCCGACAACAGTGAGACTCTGTCTCAAAAAAAATTTTTTTTTTGAGAGATGGGGTTTTTCTCTGTTGCCAAGGCTGGTCTTGAACTCCTGGCCTCAAGCAATCCTCCCACCTTGGCCTCCCAAAGCACTGGGATTACAGGTGTGAGACACCACATCCCCCGAGGTCTCTTGACCATAGGCTATCCATCCTTTGCTTGGGCCTCTGCCCAAGAAGTATCTATCATGTTCCCACATTCTTCCTAGAGTGCCTCCCCCTCAGGCAGCCCCCTACCATCCCACCCTTTCCTCAAGGGTCACCCCTGTCTTATCATATTAGGACATGTCCTAATAGTTATCCTCTCAGAACTCCCGAGGTGGCTGGGCGTGGTGGCTCATGCCTGTAATCCCAGCACTTTGGGAGGCTGAGGTGGGTGGATCACCTGAGGTCAGGAGTTCGAGACCAGCCTGGCCAACATGGTGAAACCCCATCTCTACTAAAAAAAAAAAAAAAACATTAGCTGGGCACCTGTAATCTCAGCTACTTGTGAGGCTGAGGCAGGAAAATCACTTGAACCTGGGAGGTAGAGGTTTCAGTGAGCTGAGATGGTGCCACTGCACTCCAGCCTGGGCAACAGGGGCTCCAGTTCCCCAGGTCCAGTCCCTTGACAGCTTCAGGTCACACAAAGGAGTTACAAGGCAGAAACCTTCTTCAAACCCGACTCCAGTGTGACTGTCCCCAACATGCACAGGCCTGGCCCCTCTGGAGGGGTCTCTGGCAGGCACCCCTCACCCCGCCACACCTGTGTCCCTCAGGATGCTCAACAGCAGTGCCATCAGGAACCTCGGCGTAGACCTGCTCCCGGGCTACCAGGACCCTTACTCGGGCCGCACTCTGACCAAGGGCGAGGTGGGCTGCTTCCTCAGCCATTACTCCATCTGGGAAGAGGTGAGGGTGCCTGCTTCCTCCATCCACAGCCTTCGGGGAGAACGGGGCCAGTTTGTTCTATTCACTGCTCTGTGAACGAGTGAGTGAATGAAGACATTCATCAAAACCTGGCCAGCAGCTTTCAATCTCCTCTGTGTTCAACACCCCAGTGGGCACCACTAAGCGGTGCTTGTTTTCATTCTGCAGTCTCTCTTGAGCATCTACTATGTGCTAGGAGATATTCTGCTCTGAGAACACAGAGGAGGACAGGAACAATGCATGTCTGCTCCTTCCTGCAATAAAGGGATCCCCCTGGGGCTCAGGGACCAGAGCGGGATTATGGAAATCAAAACCAAGCTTGCAGTGGAGGGGAGAGGTATGGGCCACTTTGAGAGGTGCCTCGTGTGGGAGGGGGTCAGAATGGACCTCACCATTGAGGGGCCGGGAGAAGAGGCTTCTAGGCAGAAGAGAACAGTGGGTGCCAAGGCCCTGAGGCAGGAAGGTGTTTAGGAGCAGAAAGAAGGAAGCCTGGGGCTTAGCATGTGCTCAGTACTTGGCCAAGAAGCCTCGGCCCAGGGGCTGGGAGTGTGAGCGCAGGAAAGAGGTTGCTGGACACGGCAGGAGAGAATGGGAACTGGGCCCTCCAAGGGCAGCCCTTCCAGGAGATGGGACATGGATTCCTTGTTTGTGTTCTCTGCTATAGCCAAATATATGTGCACGTGTATGTGAGCATTATGGGTTTTTGTTTTGTTTTGTTTTCTGAGATGGAGTATTGCTCTGTCACCCAGACTGGAGTGCAGTGGCACAATCTTGGCTCATTGCAACCTCTGCCTCCTGGGTTGAAGCGGTTCTCCTGTCTCAGCCTCCCAAGTATCTGGGATTACAGGCATGTGCCACCACACCTGGCTAATTTTTCTATTTTTAGTAGACAGGGGGTTTCGCCATATTGGTCAGGCTGGTCTCGAACTTCCAACCTCAGGTGATCTGCCCACCTCGGCCTCCCAAAGTGCTGGAATTACAGGCTTGAGTCACCATGCCCAGCCTATGTTGGCTTTTTTACCGTCCCTGAACAAATTGGAGGATGACATGGTTCACTACTTTTTTTTTTTTTTTTTTTTTTGAGACAGGGTATTGCTCTGGCACCCAGGCGGGAGTGCAGTGGCGTGATCTTGGCTCACTGCAGCCTGGACCTCCCGGGCTCAAGCAATTATCCCACCTCAGCACCCCCGAGGAGCTGAAACTACAGGCGCGCACCACCACACCCAGCTAAATTTTGTATTTTTTGTAGAGACAGGGTTTCGCCATGTTGGCCAGGCTGATCTCAAACTCCTGAGCTCAAGTGATTCCACCCACCTCAGCCTCCAAAAGTGCTGGAATTACAGGCATGAGCCACCGCTCCTGGCTTCACTACTTTCTGAGCTGATTTCCTTTTCACAGAAGTTATCAAAAGTAGTTTTCCAAAAGTTATTCTAAAGTAACTTTTCCAAAAGTTATCAAAAGTACTTTTTCTTTTGGATATTCGGGGCTGGGGTCTTCCCACCCCCCACCCAGCCCAGCTTCCTTTAGAAAATAGCAGGAGGCCAGGCCAGGTGCGGTGGCTCACGCCTGTAATCCCAGCTGAGGCAGACAGATCACGAGGTCAGGAGTTCAAGACCAGCCTGGCCAACGTGGTGAAACCCCGTCTCTACTAAAAATACAAAAATTAGCCCGGCGTTGGCCGGGCGCCGTGGCTCACGCCTGTAATCCCAGCACTTTGGGAGGCCGAGGCGGGTGGATCACGAGGTCAGGAGATCGAGACCATCCTGGCTAACACGGTGAAACCCTGTCTCTACTAAAAATACAAAAAAATTAGCCAGGCGTGGTGGCGGCGCCTGTAGTCCCAGCTACTCGGGAGGCTGAGGCAGGAGAATGGCGTGAACCCAGGAGGCGGAGCATGCAGTGAGCCGAGATTGTGCCACTGCACTCCAGCCCGGGCGACAGAGCAAAACTCCGTCTCAAAAAAAAAAAAAAAAAAAAAAATTAGCCCGGTGTGGTGGTGGGCACCTGTAATCCCAGCTACTTGGGAGGCTGAGGCAGGAGAATCACTTGAACCCGGGAGGCAGAGGTTGCAGTGAGCCAAGACCATCTTTTGATGGGAACTGCAAGCCACTTCCCCGCCCCCAGAGAGTTGGGCTTCTGGGCCCAGCCACCATCTGTCATGCTTGCACTCAGGCAGCTGGAGGAGTGGGAGGGGAGATGGCTCCTGGTCTTGGCCATGGCTGCTTTGGCCTCCACCGTTCCTGCTCCTCTTCCATGCAGCCCCCTGACTTGGGGGGCCATTTCACTCCAGTCTGGGCAACAAGAGTGAAACTTCGTCTCAAAAAAAAAGGAAAATTGCAGGAGGCCAAAGTGACAAGCTGGGCCCTGGTGTTCAGCAGATGCGGGTTCATATCCCAGCTCTGCCACTTCCTGGCTGTGTGTCCTTGGACAGGCAGTTTCCCATCCCTGCATGTCCACCTCCTTCCTGCGATTGAGGATCATCATCTCCTGCCTCCTGAGGGCCCCTGCAGATACGCAGTGGCACAGCCCTGGGGCACAGTAGCACTCAGGGAATGTAGCAAGGGCCACGGTTACCATCATGATTCTATCTGGAGATCCTCAAATGCCAGAGCGAGGTTGGGATTTCCGGTCCCAGGCAGTGGGGCCCCCAGCAGGCTTTGGGGCAACTGCATGATGTGGCCAGGCCAACTGAGGCCAGGCAGAGGCTGTGAGCTTCAGCGTGGAGGGAGGGGGGTTGTTTAACTCCGAAGAGCCATCTCCCACCCCATTGTATGCCACAGGTGGTTGCCAGGGGCCTGGCCCGGGTCCTGGTGTTTGAGGATGACGTGCGCTTTGAGAGCAACTTCAGGGGGCGGCTGGAGCGGCTGATGGAGGATGTGGAGGCAGAGAAACTGTCTTGGGACCTGATGTAGGCAGCCTGCACCCTCAGGGACAAGGGGGCAGGGTGGGCCTCCGGAGTCTGCCTTTTCCTGCTTGGGACCCTGGCCGGCCCATCCCCTGAGAGCCTGGCCCTGTAGGAGCGGGTGTGGGAGGGTCCCATGACACCCAGGACCTAAGTGACTCCTGGGCCCCTTGGTGTCACTTACAGCTACCTCGGACGGAAGCAGGTGAACCCTGAGAAGGAGACGGCCGTGGAGGGGCTGCCGGGCCTGGTGGTGGCTGGGTACTCCTACTGGACGCTGGCCTATGCCCTGCGTCTGGCGGGTGCCCGCAAGCTGCTGGCCTCACAGCCTCTGCGCCGCATGCTGCCCGTGGACGAGTTCCTGCCCATCATGTTCGACCAGCACCCCAAGTGAGGCTCTGATGGGGGCCGGGCATGGCAGGGCAGAGGCGTCCCCTCCAGGAACTCACCTCAGTCAGCAGGAAGTCCCCTCACCTGGCAGATGGGGAGACTGGGACTGGCAAGGCCAAGCCACTTGGCCCAGGTCACCAAGGAGTGGCTCAGCCTAGCCTTAGAGTCAGTCCATTCTCGGTGTGTACTTTGCACAGTGCATGCAGGCTTTTTTTTGAAATGGAGTCTTGCTCTGTTGCCCAGGCTAGAATGCAGTGGCATGATTTTGACTCACTGCACCTTCTGCCTCCCAGGTTCAAGCAATTCTGCTGCCTCAGCCTCCTGAGTAGCTGGGATTACAGGGAAGTGCCACCACACCCTGCTAATTTTTATTTATTTATTTATTTATTTATTTATTTTTGAGATGGAGTTTTGCACTGTCACCCAGTGCGGTGCAGTGGCGCAATCTTGGCTCACTGCAACCTCCGCCTCCCAGGTTCAACTGATTTTCCTGCCTCAGCCTCCTGAGTAGCTGGGATTACAGGTGCCTGCCACCACACCAAGCTAACTTTTTTGTATTTTTAGTAGAGACAGGGTTTCTCCATGTTGGCCAGGCTGGTGTCGAACTCCTTGACCTCAAGTGATCTGCCTGCCTGGGCCTCCCAAAGTGCCGGGATTACAGGCATGAGCCACTGTACCCAGCCTCAATTTTTGTGTTTTTAGTAGAGATGGGGTTTTGCCATGTTGGTCAGGCTAGTCTTGAACTCCCGACTTCAGGTGATCCGCCCGTCTCGGCTTCCCAAAGTGCTGGGATTATAGGCATGAGCCACTGCGCTCGGCTGCATGCAGTTTTTAATCAAATGACTTCCTTGTTCTCAGCCTCTGTTTCCTCATCTGGAAAATGGAGGTAGTAGAAGTCCCACTGCTCAGGGCCGCTGTGAGGACTAGATGGCGGGGAGTGAGGTGCTTTGGGCAGGCAAGGTGCCTGGCTCCGGGCAGGCATGTGTCCGGGGAGTAGGGGCCCGCCTCAATCCCCCTGAGCTATCCTCTCACCTTACAGCGAGCAGTACAAGGCACACTTCTGGCCACGGGACCTGGTGGCCTTCTCCGCCCAGCCCCTGCTCGCTGCCCCTACCCACTATGCCGGGGACGCCGAGTGGCTCAGTGACACGGAGACATCCTCTCCATGGGATGATGACAGCGGCCGCCTCATCAGCTGGAGCGGCTCCCAAAAGACCCTGCGCAGCCCCCGCCTGGACCTGACTGGCAGCAGCGGGCACAGCCTCCAACCCCAGCCCCGAGATGAGCTCTAGGTGAGGCCAGGGCGGGAAGAGGCCCCAGCCCCGTAGACCTTGGCTTGCTCTCCCCTTTGATGGCATAACTGTGTCTGGGGCTGTTTTCCCCTTCTCAGCCTTCTCTCTCCCTCTCCATCTCTAGCTTTGCCTTTATGTTTGTTGTTGTTGTTGTTTGTTTGTTTTTTTTAGACGGAGTCTCGCTCTGTCGCCCAGGCTGGAGTGCAGTGGCGTGATTTTGGCTCACTGCAACCTCTGCCTCTCGGGCTCAAGAGATTCTCCTGCCTCAGCCTCCCCAGTAACTGGGATTACAGGCACCCACCACAAGGCCTGGCTAATTTTTCTATTTTTATTTTTATTTATTTATTTATTTTGAGATGGAGTCTTGCTCTTTTGCCCAGGCTGGAGTGCAGTGGCATGATCTCAGCTCACTGCAACCTCTGCCTCCCGCGTCCCGGATTCAAGCGATTCTCCTGTCTCAGCCTCCCGAGTAGTTGGGACTACAGGCGCCCACCACCACGTCCGGCTAAATTTTGTATTTTTAGTAGAGACAGGGTTTCACCATGTTGGCCAGGCTGGTCTTGAACTCCTGACCTGAGGTGATCTGCCCGCCTCAGCTTCCCAATGTGCTGGGATTACAGGCGTGAGCCACCGCGCCTGGCCTTTTGTATTTTTAGTAGAGACAGGGTGTCATCATGTTGGCCAGGCTGGTTTTCAACTCCTGACCTCAAATGATCCAGCCGTCTCGGTCTCCCAAAGTGCTGGGGATTACAGGCGTGAGCCACTGTGCCTGGCCTCTGTGTCTGTCTATAATTGTACCTTCAGCTGTCTCCGCATCCCTCTCTAGCTTTTTCCCTCTCTGTCTGTCTCTGCCCCTGTTTTCCTATATCTGTCAGTGTCTGTCTGTCTCTGATTCTGTCTGACTCTAATTCTCTTTCTCTTCCTGCTCCTCCTGTCCCACCAGGTCCAGGTGATGACTGCAAAGCAGTGTCCAGGAGCAGGCCACTACTGCCCAGAGAGCAGAGGAGGAGGTTGTTGGCAGGGACTGCAGATCCTGTCAGACCTGGCCACCACCTTGGGCATGGCCACTCTGCCCTCTGGACCTGTCTTTCATCGGGAGAAACCACTCAGAGATGGATCCCATTCCCTAAAGGTCTCACAGCAAAGGAGCAGGACTCCCAGGCCCCTGTACCCTGCCTGGCCTGATTCAGGGCCTTGTGGCCCCCAGCTTCTGTTTCAAGCTGGGCAGACCCCAGGATCCCTTCCCTCCCTAAGGACTCAGCTGAGGGGCCCCTCTGCCCCCTTCTACCTCCACCTCAGCACCCTCCCCCAGCTTGATGTTTGGGTCTCCCCAGCACCCTCCTCCCTGGCCGGTGCAAAGTACAGGGAGGTAAAGCAGGACCCTTGCAGACATGTTGCCCAGCACACAGTAGGCCCTCAATAAAAGCCATTTGCACTTTAAATATATATATGTATGTATATATATGTATATATATATATATATATATATGTATGTATGTGTATGTGTATATATATATATATATATATATATATATATGTATGTATGTATGTATGTATATATATATTTTTTGACACAGGGTCTCCCTCTGTTGCCCAGGCTGAAGTGCAATGGCGCAAACCCAGCTCACTGCAGCCTCAACCTCCTGGGCTCAGGCAATCTTCCTGCTTCAGCCTCCCATGTAGCTGGACCACAGGCACATGCCACCATGCCTGGCCACATTTTTTTTTGTAGAGACTGGGTTTTGCATGTTGCCCAGGCTGGTCTCAAACTCCTGGGCTCAAACAATCTATCCACCTCGGCCTCCCACAGTGCTGGGATGAGAGGCGTGAGCCACTGCACCCTGCCACTTTATATATATACATATATATACACGTATATACGTATATATACACGTATATATACATATATACGTGTATATACACGTATATACACATACACGTATATACACGTATATACACATACACGTATATACACGTATATACACATACACGTATATACACGTATATACACATACACGTATATACACGTATATACACACACGTATATACACGTATATACACACACGTATATACACGTATATACACACACGTATATACACGTATATACACACACGTATATACACGTATATACACACACGTATATACACGTATATACACACACGTATATACACGTATATATACGTGTATATATGTACACATACGTGTATATACATGTATATATGTATACATACATATATATACATGTATATATATTTGTTTGTTTTTAAGACAGAGTCTCGCTCTGTCACCCAGGCTGGAGTGCAGTGGTGTGATCTCGGCTCACTGCAGCCTCCGCCTCTTGGGTTGAAGCGATTCTCCTTCCTCAGCCTCCCTAGTAGCTGGGATTACAGGCATGTGCCACCACGCCCAGCTAATTTTTGTATTTTTACTTTATATTTTTTAACTCATGGCTGAGCCTCTGCATCTCAGCTGGCCTGGGAGGAGGCTTCCTGATCTATGGTTGAGCAATTGGAGGGACAGAGAGGGGAGGACAGGTGAGGAGTCAGGCCGATCCAGCATCACCTCTGTGCTGGGTGATCTTGGGTGGGTGCCATCCCTTCCCTGGGCCTTAGTCTACTCTTCGGTCATTGTGGCTGGTTGGGTATAGAGTGGCCTAGCCTGAGCCCGGCTCACAGTGAGTGCTCACCTGTTGGGGCTGATGTGGTCATCCCCGAAGTCATTACCAGCCTCACCTTGCTGGTCAGGGTGGGCCCAGCCAGTCCAAGGGCTGCTGATGTCCCCCGGCCCTTTGGATCATCTCTTGTGCAGCTGAAACCCTGGCTTAGGGGAAGAGGAACCGCCTGGGAGGGGCTGGGGGAGATCCTGGGTTCCCCTCTGGCACTAACCAATGTGGCCACCAGAGGGCGCAAGGTGGCAGAGCCTGGACTTGGCCAGGATGCTCTCTGCTGGGTTGGGGCCAACACCAGGAAGGAAGCATGGGCCATAGGGAAGCTCCCATTGGTGCTGGGGCAACCCGCAGCAGCTCTGCGTCTTCTGCTCTTCTGATGGGAACTGCAGGCCTCTCCCCTGGCCCCAGAGAGTCGGGCTTCTGGGCCCAGCCGCTGTCTGTCATGCCTGCACTCAGGCAGCTGGAGGGGTGGGAGGGGAGATGGCTCCTGGCCTTGGCCATGGCTGCTTTGGCTTCCACCGTTCCTGCTCCTCTTCCATGTGGCCCCCTGACTTGGTTGTGTGAGCACTCCAGTCCTGGCAGAGCCTGACAGGCACTCCCTGAGGTTGGGGTATCCCTTGGCTCTGTCCTGGGGTTGAGGTCCAGGACCTGGCACGGCTGTGAGAAGGACCTTGGGCTGGAGCTGTGGACTCGGTGCTTTATTCGTTCTAAGATGAAAGTCATTCATTCTGGATGGCTATGACCTTGAGCGACTCACTTCTCTCCAGGCTCCAGGTGTCCCCTTCATTCATTTGTTAACCTTTATTAAGCACCTCCCATGGGCCGCAGTCAGGCCCTGGGGATTCAGCAGTGAATGAAACTGACAAAACCCCTGACCTCATTAAACTGACATTCTTTTTTTTCTTTTTTTTTTGTGGCGGAGTCTCACTCTATCACCTTCTGTCACCACACCCGGCCAAAACTGACATCCTAATGAGGGATGCAGACAAAAACAAAGAAAGATCAGAGGGTGTGAATTGCTATAGAGAAAAATGAGAAGCGGAGAGATACAAAGTAAGATCTGAGAAGTTAACACCTGAACAAAGACGCAGGAGTGGGCCAGGCATAGTTGCTCATGCCTGTAATCCTAGCACTTTGGAAGGCCTAAGCAGATGGATCACTGGAGGCCAGGAGTTTGAGACCAGCCTGGCCAACATAGGGAAATCCCATCTCTATTAAAAATACAAAAATTAGTCAGGTGTGCTAGCGGGCGCCTGTAATGCCAGCTACTCGGGAGACTGAAGCAGGAGAATCACTTGAACCTGGGAGGTGGAGGTTGCAGTGAGCTGAGCTTGCACCACTGCACTCCAGCTTGGGCGACAGAGTGAGACTCCATCTCAAAAACAAAAGACTTCGCCAGGCAGGGTGGCTCACACCTGTAATCCCACCATTTTGGGAGGGCGAGGCAGGTGGATCACGAGGTCAGGAGTTCAAGACCAGCCTGGCCAAGAGGGTGAAACCCCGTCTCTACTAAAAATACAAAAATTAGCCAGGTGTGGTGGTGGGCGCCTGTAGTCCCAGCTACGTGGGAGGCTGAGGAAGAGAATTGCTTGAACCTGGGAGGCAGAGGTTGCAGTGAGCCGAGATCAAACCACTGCACTCCAGCCTGGGTGACAGAGTGAGACTCCGTCTCAAAAAAAAAAAAAAAATAGACAAAAAAAAAAAAAAAAAAGACTTTAAGGAGGGGAGGGGCTGAGCCTTGGGGATAGCAAAAGGAAGAGCTTCCAAGCAGAAGGAACAGCATATGCAAAGGTCCTGAGGCAGAAGCAGGACTGACAGTGCAGAAGAGAGGAGGACCAGTGTCTAGAGTTGATAGAGCCAAGGCTGGGGCCAGAGCAGGGATGGCCATGAAGGCCATTTTGGCTTTTACTCTGAGATGGAGCCCCCAGAGAGATGGAGGCAAAGAAGTAACCATCTAACTTACATTTTTACATGATCACCCTGGCAGAGATGTGGCATGATCTCATGTAGTGTTATAAGATCACACCGGCTACTGTGCTGAGAATAAACTGTAGGCAGGTCCATGGAAGAAACAGTGAGACCAGTTAGGAACCCACTGTAATAATTCAAGCATGGCTGGGCGTGGTGGCTTATGCGTATAATCCTAGCACTTTGGGAGGCTGAGACGGGTGGATCACCTGAGGTCAGGAGTTCGAGACCAGCCTGGCCAACATGGTGAAACCTCATCTCTACTAAAAATACAAAAAAGTCGGGCGTGGTGGTGGGTGCCTGTAATCCCAGCTACTCAGGAGGCTGAGGCAGGAGAATTGCTTGAACCCGGGAGGTGGAGGCTGCAGGGGGCCTAGATCGCACCATTGCACTCCAGCCTGGGCAACAAGAGTGAAACTTAGTTTCAAAAAAAAATTAGCTGGGTGTGGTGGTGGGCACCTGTAGTCTCAGCTGCTCAGTAGGCTGAGGTAGGAGAATCTCTTGAAGCCGGGGGCGGAGGTTGCAGTAAGCTGCAATCATGCGATTGTACTCCAGCCTGGGTGACAGAGACTGTCTCAAAAAAAAAAAATTGAGATCCAAAAGGGTATGTCAAGTAAGTAGCTGGATACACAAGTCTGGAATTCGGGGCCCCAGTCTGGGCTGGAGATAGAAGCTTGGAACCCCTCAAGCTGTATACTCCTCCACCACAGGAACCTGTTAAAAGGCACATTCCTGCCCGCTCCCAATTCTCTGCAGGTTCTGATTTAGTAGGCTATGGGTGAGGCCTGACTTTTTTTACTCTCTCTTTTTTTTTTTTTTTTTTTTTTTTTTTTGGTAGAGACACAGTTCTCACTATGTTGCCCAGGCTGGTCTCAAACTCCTGAGCTCAAGTGATCCTCCTGCCTTGGCCTCCTAAACTGCTGGGATTACAGGCGTGAGCCACTGCACTTGGCCTTTTTTATTTTTGTTTATTTATTTTTGAGACAGGGTCTCACTCTGTCTTACTCTGTCACCCAGGCAGTGATGTACTCGCCAGAGTACAGTGGTGCAACCACAGCTCATTGCAGCCTTGACCTCCTGGGCTCCACTGATCCTCCTGCCTCAGCCTCCCAAGTAGCTGGATCTCTAGGACCGTGCTACCACCCCTGGCTAATTTTTAAATTTTCTGCAGAGGTCGGATCTCGGTATATTACCCAGGCTGGTCTTGAATCCTGAGCTCAAACAATCCTCCTGCTTCAGCCTCCTAAAGTTCTGGGATTACAGGTGTGAGCCACCAGGCCAAGGCTGGTGTTTTGTTTTGTTTTGAGACGAGTCTCCCTCTGTCGCCCAGGCTGGAGTGCAGTGGCGGGATCTCAGCTTACTGCAACCTCCACCTCCTAGGTTCAAGTGATTCTCCTGCCTCAGTCTCCCAGGTAGTTGGGATTACAGGCGTGAGACACCACGTCCAGCTAATTTTTGTATTTTTATTAGAGACTGGGTTTCACCATTTTGGCCAGGCTGGTCTTGAACTCCCGAGCTCAAGCAATTCCCCCCACCTCGGCCTCCCAAAGTGCTGGGATTACTGGTGTGAGCCACCACGCCTTACCAAGGTGATGGCTTTTATAGAAATCTGTTCCCTGACTTTTTAAGTAGCGAGTAGTACCTTCTCTTGTAAAATCGAATTGTAAGTGCTTCTGGTTCCCTGTCTGCTGAAGTCAGGGGCTATCGGCCCCTTTGCTGAGTGCCCCAAACTGCAGAGTTTCCTGAGCTCCTTTGTCTGCTTTTAAAGTTCTTTTGCTTCCTCCTTTGCTGGCATGTTGCCAGGATAAAGAACGTGGAATCTGGAGTGGGTCCCACGTGGGCTGTAGTCCTGACATGGCGTGGGGAATGTGTGACCTTGGGCATGTTACTTAGCCTCTCTGAACCTTCATTTCTCCATCTGCAAGTGAGGGCAATACTACCTTGTAGAATGCAGGTAAGGCACAGTGAATGGTATTTGATTATCTGGTCTTCTGATTATCCCAGAGCTGTGAGTAAGGATGCTTTTTGCTGTAAGGGACCAACTCAAACTGACTTAAGAAGACCATGTACAGGCTGACATAACACAGAGTGCAAAGCTGTAATCCCAGCACTTTGGGAGGCCGAGGTGGATGGATCACTGGAGGGCAGGAGTTTGAGACCAGCCTGGCCAACATAGGGAAACCCTATTTCTACTAAAAATACCAAAATTAGCTGGGCGTGGTGGCAGGCACCTGTAATCTCAGCTACTCAGGAGGCTGAGGCAGGAGAATCACTTGAACCCAAGAGGCAGAGGTTGCAGTGAGCCAAGATTGCACCACTGCACTCCAGTTTGGGTGACAGAGCGAGACTCCATCTCAAAAAAAAGAGTCACTTCTAGGCTGGGCATGGTGGCTCACGCCTGTAATCCCAGCACTTTGGGAGGCCGAGGCGGGCGGATCACAAGGTCAGGAGATCGAGATCATCCTGGCCAACCCAGTGAAACCCCGTCTCTACTAAAAATACAAAAGCAAAATTAGCTAGGTGTGGTGGTGGGCATCTGTAGTTCCAGCTACTCGGGAGGCTGAGGTGGGAGAATGGCGTGAACTCAGGAGGCGAAGCTTGCAGTGAGCTGAGATGGTGCCACTGCACTCCAGCCTGGGCGACAGAGCAAGACTCTGTCTCAAAAAAAAAAAAAAAAAAAGTCACTTCTAGATGCTTTTGAAGAAAGAACCCCAGCCAGTCTCTCCACATTGGCCCAAATAGAGTCACGTGTCCATTTCTGAACGAAGTGTTGACAATCACTGACAAGGAGGTGGGATTATCAACAGGCCAAGCAGACTCATCCTCAGAGCCAGGCTGGGCTCAGCCTCCTCTGCAGCGGTGTGCCATGGGCACTCAGTGTGATTTATTGGCAAGTGAGCCAATAAATGTTGATCAGCACCCTCTTTGGGGCAGCTGGGCAGGGCCTATGGTGGCCTGTGTGGGGCAGGATTCTATTTTATGTCCATGGTTCCTGTGGAAAGTGAACATGTTCTGATGAGCTAGCTCGGCCAAGGTGGGGGTCCACACCCCAGACATCCACTTAAGCAGTCAGCTGCATAGGACGCCACTGCTTGTCTTGGACAGGGGACCCATGGACCTCCTGCTAGAGGAGTTCTGGTCCCGTGTGCCCAAGGTGCAGCTGGCCCAGGAAGGAGGAGGCTGGTGTGCATCGCTCCTGGGGGTGGCTCCCCAGCTCCATCTTCACAAATTTCAATACTTCCCATCTGTTTGCAACTAACCTGTTCTCCTACTGGCATCTGTGACAGCTTTTTTTTGAGATGGAGCCTTGCTCAGTCGCCCAGGCTGGAGTGCAGTGGTGCAATTTCGGCTCACTGCAACCTCTGCCTCCCGGTTCAAGTGATCCTCCCACCTCAGCCTCCCAAGTAGCTGGGAATACAGGCATGTGCCACCATGGCTGGCTTTTTTTTTTTTTTTTTTTTTTTTTTTGGTATTTTTTGTAGAGATGGGGTTTCACCATGTTGACCAGGCTGGTCTCAAACTTCTGACCTCAAGTGATATACCCACCTTGGCCTCCCACAGTGCTGGGATTACAGGTGTGAGCCATCACGCCCGGCCCAAGTCTTTTTTTTTTTTTTTTTTGAGACAGAGTCTTGCTTTGTCACTCAGGCTGGAGTGCAGTGGCGCGATTTCGGCTCACTGCAAGCTCCACCTCCTGGGTTCAAGCAATTCTCCTGCCTCAGCCTCTGGAGTAGCTGGGATTACAGGTGTGTGCCACCACGCCCGGCTAATTTTTTTATTTTTAGTAGAGAAAGGGTTTCACCATGTTGGCCAGGCTGGTCTTGAACTCCTGACCTCAGATGATCCTCCCACCTCGGCCTCCCAAAGTGCTGGGATTACAGGCATGAGCCACCCTGCCCGGCTGGCCTAAGTCTTTAAATGTAATTGCAACTGGGCGTATGGCAGCAGCCAGGGGTCCCAAGTCGGTGGAGGACCCAAGCCCGGGGAGTCAGTGCTTCTTCCCTCCCTTCCCTACTCTTCTCCCCACTCCCTCCCTCCCTCCCCAAGAATCTTTGGAGGATTGTCCTGTGGATGAAGTTGAAGATGCATTTCAGGGCCTGGGAAAAGAAGATGAGGAAATTGAACAATTCAGTGATAAGACATTCGGGTCAGGTGCAATTGATGATGACTGGCGGGAAGCACATGAGTGCCTGGCTGAACTGGAAGTAAAGCAACCAGTGGCAGTTATTGAACAAACAGGCAATGGAGAGAGGGATGAAATGGACTTGTTGGATGACCATGAGGAGAATCTGGCAGAAAGGCTCAGTAAGATGGTGATTGAAAATGAACTAGAAGATCCAGCTATCATGAGGGCAGTGCAAACCAGGCCAGTTTTATAACCCCAACCGGGAAGTCTGAATTCCAGTATCTGGGATGGATCTGAAGTTCTGAGGGGAATCCAAAGACTACTGTTCAGGAAATGCCTACAGTGTCTGTATTAAAGTGTGCCTTGCCTCAGAGGCCCCCAGGTTCCAGAAGATGATCGGGACCTTTCTGAACATGCATTACCAAGGCGGCCAACTTCACCTATCATTGGCAGTCCTCCTGTTAGAGCTGTCCCCATAGGCACCTCACCTAAGCAGATGGCTGTATCCAATCTCACCCAACACTTTCTGTGTCTGACGCCTGTCCATGTTCAGCCCCCAATGCCACCACAATATCCTGCTCCCTATAGTGACAGGACATCAAGCCAGCTCTGCTGTGTCCCGCTACAGTCTGGATGTATGTCTCCCAGCCAGTTCGCCTGGGTCCCTGGATTTGCTGGTAGTCTACTTGCTGCTATGAATCCCAAGTTACTACAAGGGCCGGTTGGGCAGATGCTTCCCCCAGCACCAGGCTTCTGTGCCTTCTTTAGTGCTCCACCCCTGCTGCACCACCTCCACAGCAGCACCCTCCTGGCCCAGGACTTCACCTGCAAAACCTAAGATCTCAGGCCCCAATGTTTATACCAGACGCAACTCACTTTCATCCACAGCACTGTCGACTCTTGCATCAGAGACAGCAACAGAATAGAAATCAGCATCAGAGTCTCAATGGTGCAGGAGATAGAGGAAGTCAATGGAACAGTCATCAAGATCATCTCTGAAAGGATCCATATGCCAATCTCATGTTGCAGTGGGAAAAGGATTGGGTCCCTAAATTCCAGATGATGCAACTGCAAAGCACTGATCCCTGGATTATTTTTATTACCAGAATTACTTGGAAAAACAGTCAGCTGCTGAAGAAATATAAGGTGATGGCCCGAAAAAGGAGCGCACCAAGCTCATCACCCCTCAGGTGGCTAAACTGGAGCGCGCCTATAATCCAGTGCAATTTGCGGGCTCTTTGGGAAAGCTGACTGTTTCTAGTGTAAATAATCAGCAAAAAATGATTGATGCTGTTGTGACATCTTGGAGTGAGGATGATGAAACAAAAGTTTGAGACAAGAGGAGAAAAACCCTTGTCATGGCCGAGCGCAGTGGCTCAAATCTGTAATCTCAGCACTTTGGGAGGCCAAGGCAGGCAGATCATGAGGTCAAGAGATTGAGACCATCCTGGCTAACACGGTGAAACCCCGTCTCTACTAAAAATACAAAAATTAGCCGGACGTGGTGGCGGGTGCCTGTAGTCTCAGCTAGTTAGGAGGCTGAGGCAGGAGAACCGCTTGAACCTGGGAGGTGGAGGTTGCAGTGAGCTGAGATCATGCCACTGCACTCCAGGCCTGGCGACAGAGGGAGACTCCATCTCAAACAAACAAACAAACAAAACCCTTATCATAATTGAGAAAACCTACAGATTACTCCTTGATGTGGAGGACTATGAAATAAGTTATTGCCTAAAGCTAGAATGGATGACGGAAAGCACAAAATTTGTAGCATGTATGACAACTTAAGGGGGAAATTGCCTGGACAAGAGAGGCCTAGTGATGACCACTTTGTACAGATCATGTATATCCAAAAAGAGAAGAGAATGGTTGCCTGTATTCTTCCTCTGCTCTCCACAGAGCAAGCAGCTGACATTCTCCTGATAACAGCCAGGAACCTCCCTTTCTTTATCAAGAAGGATGCACAAGGGCCAGGCGCCCTGGCTCACTCTTGAAATGCCAGCACTTTGGGAGGCCAAGGCGGGCAGATCACTTGAGGTCAGAAGTTCAAGACCAGCCTGGCCAACATGGTGAAACCCCATCTCCACTAAAAATACAAAAATTAGCCAGACATGGTGGCACGCACATGTAATCCCAGCTACTTGGGAGGCTGAGACAGGAGAATCACTTGAACCTGGGAGGTGGAGGTTGCAGTGAGTTGAGATTGCGCCAATGCACTCCAGCCTGGGTGACAGAGCGAGACTCCATCTCAAACTAACTAAATAAATAAGTTAAAAATAGCCGAGTGTGGTGGTGTGCACCTGCAGTCCCAGCTACTTGGGAGGCTGAGGTGGGAGGATCATTTTAACCCAGGAGTTCAAGGCTGCAATGGGCTATGATCACAGCACTGCACTCCAGCCTAGGTGACAGAACGAGACACTGTAGCTAAATAAATACATGTGAAATGTGAGCTTGCTTCTATGAAAATAACTTTTTATGGCAGGTTTCATGTTTGAAACAGCTACACACAATTTCTGATAACTTTTTATCAGGAGAAATAGGCTTTGTAATGGTAGTCTCTTAAGAAATTCTTGATGGCTACTAATAGTGAGAACCTTTATTCACAGCTGCAGGTGATATAAAATTTGGACCTTTTTAGGCCAGGCGTGGTGGCTCATGCCTATAATCCCAGCACCTTGGGAGGCCAAGGTGGGCGGATCACCTGAGGTCGGGAGTTCGAGACCAGTCTGACCAACATGGAGAAACCCTGTCTCTACTAAAAATACAAAATTAGCTGAGCGTGGTGGCGCATGCCTGTAATACCAGCCACTTGGGAGGCTGAGGCAGGAGAATCGCTTGAACCTGGGAGGTGGTGGTTGCGGTGAGCTGAGATCGCACGCGCCATTGCACTCCAGCCTAGGCAACAAGAGCGAAACTCTGTCTCAAAAAGAAAAAAAAATTGGACTTTTTTTTTTTTCTTTTTGAGACAGTAACATTCTATCGCCCAGGCAGGAGTGCAGTGGCTTGATCACAGCTCACTGTAGCTTCCACCTCCCCAGTCTCAGGTGATCTTCCCACCTCAGCCTCCCAAGTAGCTGGGACCACAGGCACACACTGTGACGGCTGGGTTTTTTATTTTATTTTTTTGTAGAGACGAAGTCTCATTATGCTGCCTAGACTGGTCTTGAACTCCTGGGCTCAAGTGATCTGCCCTCCTTGGCTCTCAAAGTGCTAAGATTATAGGTGTGTGCCACCACATCCAGCCTGAAATGATTTTTTAATCTCTTTCCTTTCCTTTTTTTTTCTTTTTTGAGACAGAATCTCTCTCTGTCACCCAGGCTGGAGTGCAGTGGTGCCATCTAGGCTTACTGCAACTTCTGCCTCCTGGATTCAAGAGATTCTCCTGCCTCAGCCTCCTGAGTAGCTGGGATTACAGGCATGTGCCACCATGCTCAGCTAATTTTTGTATTTTTTTTAGTAGAGATGGAGGTTTCACCATGTTGGCCAGGCTGGTCTTGAACTCCTGAACTCAAGTGATCTGCCCTCCTTGACCTCCCAAAGTGCTGGGATTACAGGCCTGAGCCACTGTGCCCAGCCTCTTTTCTTTCTTAAGCTGTGTCCTGGCTATGTTAGTGTTTATTTTATTATAATCCTTAAACTAAACTTATACATTCTGTTATGGGTTGAATTGCATCCTCCCTGAATTCATGTGTTGAAGTTCTTACCCCCAGTACCTCAGAATGTGACCTTATTTTGTTTTGTTTTGTTTTTTTGAGACAAAGTCTAGCTCTATTGCCCAGGCTGGAGTGCAGTGGCACGATCTCAGCTCACTGCAACCTCCACCTCCTGGTTCAAGCAATTCTCCTGCCTCAGCCTCCTCGAGTAGCTGGGACTACAGGTTCATGCCACCATGCCTGGCTAATTTTTGTATTTTTAGTAGAGACGGGGTTTCGCCATATTGGCCAGGCTGGTCTTGAACTCCTGACCTCATGATCTGCCCGCCTCCACCTCCCAAAGTGCTGGGATTACAGGCATGAGCCACTGCACCCAGCTGCTCATTTGGATATAGGGTCATCGTAAATGTAATCCGTTAAGATGGGGCCCTGCTGAAGTAGAGTGGGTCCCTAATCCAGTATATCTGATGTCCTTACAAAAAGGGGAAATTTGGACACAAGCACACACACAGAACACCAGATGGAGGTTGGAGTTATGCTGCCAAGGAACCACCAGAAGTTAGAACAAGGTTGGGAATACATCCTTCCCTGGAACCTTCAGAAGGAGCACAGCCCTGCAGACACCTTGATCTTGAACTCCAGCCTCCAGAACTGCCAGACAATACATTTCCTTTTTTTTTTTTTTTCTTTCTGAGAGAGAGTCTTGCTCTGTCACCCAGGCTGGAGTACAGTGATGCCATTTCAGCTCATTGTAACCTCCGCCTCCCAGGTTCTAGCAATTCGCCTATCTACCTTGGGTGAAAAAGCCAGACCCTGTCTCAAACAAAACAAAACAAAACAAAAATCTCTTAGAATTGAGAGACTTTCAGTTTTCTACATGCAGGGATAGTTTGTCTAGCAGAGGGCATATTCGTTGCTTGTAAGACTGGCAAAATCCCTCCTGTTGTTTATAACACAGTAAACACTGGGTGAGTTTATGCATTCTCAGAAACTGTTGGTTGGGGCTCCAACACAGAAAGACAGCTGTACCTGTGCCATGTTAAATCAGAGAAAAAGGTTGTTGAATAGTAAGTGTAATATGAGTTGATTTAAGTGAAAAATATTTTCATTTGCCTTGAAAAGTCTGTAAGGTACACATTAAAAGGTCAACAGCAGTAAATAGGCCAGCGCAGTGGCTCATGTCTGTAATCCTAGCACTTTGGGAGACTGAAGCAGGAGGATCACATGAGCTCAGGAGTTCGTGACCAGCCTGGGCAACATAGCAAGACCCCATCTCTAATTAATAAATAATAATAACAATAAAACAGCAGTTAACATATATTAAAAAAAAAAAAAAAAAAAGAAACTGTTGGTTGGATATAAACTGGCCTAACCCTTTTGACAAGATTTCCTGTCTTTTTTTTTGTTTGAAACAGAGTGTCACTCTTTTGCCTAGGCTAGAGTGCAGTGGTGATCTTGGATCACTGCAACCTCTACCTCCTGCATTCAAGCAATTCTCATGCTTCAGCCTCCCCAGTAGCTGAGATCACAGGTGTGTGCCACCACACCCAGCTAATTTTTGTATTTCTAGGAGAGACAGAGTTTCACCATGTTGGCCAGGCTGGTCTGAAACTTCTGGCCTCAAGTGATCCTCCCACCTAGGCCTCCCAAAGTATTAGGATTACAGGCGTGAGTCACCATGCCTGGCTCCTACAGTTTATGTTTTAGCATACATAGGATCATATGGTATGTCTTGGGGATCTTCTCCTATTATTACTTATGGATGTACCTAATGCGTTTAAACTGGTATACAGATAACATAGATGTACTATGTTAATTGATTCCTCTGTTGATGCATATTTAGGTTGCTCCCAAATTTTTAACATTACTTTTAGACCCAAAAGTCTAAAAGTTTTAGAAGTTTTTTTTTTTTTTTTTTTTTTTGAGATGAGGTCTCACTCTGTTACCCAGGCTGGAGCACAGTGGCACGATCACTACTCACTGCAGCCTCAACCTCCCCAGGCTCAGGTGATCCTTCTAACTCAGCCTCCCAAATAGCTGGGACTACAGGTTAGTGTCACCACGTCTAGCTAAGTTTTGTATTTTTTTTTTTTTGAGACAGAGTCTTGCTCTGTTGCCCAGGCTGAAGTGCAGTGGCGCAATCTCGGCTTGCTGCAAGCTCTGCCTCCCAGGTTCATACCATTCTCTTGCCTCAGCCTCCCGAGTAGCTGGGACTACAGGTGCCCACCACCACAACCAGCTAATTTTTTTGTATTTTTAGTAGAGACGGTGTTTCACCGTGTTAGCCAGGATGGTCTCGATCTCCTGACTTCGTGATCTGCCCGCCTCAGCCTCCCAAAGTGCTGAGATTACAGGCGTGAGCCACCGGACCCAGCTTTAAGTTTTGTATTTTTTGTAGAGACACAATGTTGCCCAGGCTGGTCTTGAACTCCTGGGCTCAAGCCCAGCTCAGTCTCCCAAAGTGCTAGGATTACAGGCATGAGCCACACTGTGCCTGGCTCCCCAAAAGAAGTCTTTAAAGTTTATTTGATCCTTGATTGGACTTCTAAAGTGAAACTCTCAGAGCATCTATTTTGTGCTGGATTCTGTGGGACATGAAGAAGTGGCCCTTGCCTTAAGAGAGCACCCAGTAGGAGGTGGCACAAGATTTCCGTACACACACGAGTGCTTACAGCAGGGATATTGGGACCCATACCCAGGAGGGAGCCATCAGTGCATCCTGAGAAGTGGGAGCCACCGCAGGCCTCATGGAGGAGGGAGCATCTGAACTTGGCCTGGAGGGTTCCCACAGTTGCAGGGGCTGGAGATCCTGGCCCAGGCCCAGCCCCTGCGCTCCTGAAGTGGACACTCTAGAGACGAGTGGAGGATGAACACTGTTTCTGGTTTGGGTGGTTTGTGTGTTTGGGGCAAGGGAATTTCTCAGGTTGCCCTTATTTTCTGAAATGCACATACTCCTGGATGTTTCTGTGTAAACCATCAGCTCCATTTTGGCCAGAGCAGGAGTTCCTCTCAACTCTCCATGGGGACTGGGGAGGTGGAGGATGCAGAGATCAGACAGACTTATAGCCTCTGAGCTTCGGGGTGGCCTGTGGGTCTGGAGAATACTTCTGTGGTTCTCCAAATGTGATCCTTGGCCAGTAGCACCAGCATCACCTGGACATTTATTAGAAATGCAAATTTTTGGCCAAGCGCAGTGGCTCACTCTTATAATCCCTGGGCTTTGGGAGGCCGAGGCGGGTGGATCATCTGAGGTCAGGAGTTCGAAACCAGCCTGGCCAATACGATGAAACCTTGTCTCTTCTAAAAATACAAAAAATTAGCCAGGCGTTGTGGCAGGCGCCTGTAATCCCAGCTATTCAGGAGGCTGAGGCAGGAGAATCGATTGAACCCAGAGGTGCGGAGGTTGCAGTGAGCCGAGATCAATGCCACTGCCCTCCAGCCTGGGCAACAAGCGTGAAACTCTGTCTCAAAAACAACAACAACAACAAAGAAATGCAAATTATCCGGCCCCATCTCAAACCTATCGAATCAGGAACTTTTAGAGAATTGGTTCCTGTAATCTGTGTTTTAACAAGCCTGTGACTCTGGTTTGAGAACCACTGATAGCGATATTTACTCCAGGTGACCCAAGGAAGCGGGGCCCAGCCTGGGCTCCCCCGACCCCTGTCCACCATCCCCGACTGCTCCGTGCTCACCTCTAAGAGGGTGAAGCTGTTCCTGACTGATGGCTCGCAGGAGGATTGGGAGCTGGGATGCTGCTTGGCTAACGTCCTCTCCTGCAGGGAGGGGGTGAGGTCTACAAGGGGTACCCAGGGCATTCTCTGGAATGCTACCTCCCTTCCCGTGAATACTACCTCCCTCCCACTTAATGTACTAGGTGGCATTATTAATAGTATTATTAATCCATACATTCATTCAACATTTTTTTTGTTGATTGTCTACCGTTTACAGGTTGGTTTGGCTACTGGAGATACAGAAATGACTGTGATGTCACCCTAGTCCACAAGGAATCCATGGTCGAGTGGGGACACTGGGGTGGCCAGCAGGCAGTGACAGAGCAATCTCATACAAGTTTATATTACAACCAGGTGCAGTGGCTTGTCCTTGTAATCCCAGCTACTTGGGAGACTGATGCACCTCCTCGGGAGGTGGGAGAATCACTTGAGACCAGGAGTTAGAGACCAGCCTGGGAAACATAGTGAGACGGTCTCAAAAAAAAAAAAAAAAAATTAGTCGGGCTTGGTGACCCGCACCAGCAGTCTTAGCTACTCAAGAGGCTGAGGAGGGAGGATCGTTGGAGCTCAGGAGCTTGAGGTTGCAGTGAGCTGTAATCATGCCACTGCACTCTAGCCTGGGTATATTACATATAATATGTATGTATAAAAATGTGTATATTTATTTATGTTTATTTATTTATGTTTATTTTTTGAGATAGAGTCTCACTATTTCACCCAGGCTTGAGTACAGTGGCACAATCACGGCTCACTGCAGTCTTGAACTCCCAGGCTCAAGTGACCCTCCCACCTCAGCCTCCTAAGTAGCTGGAACTACAGGCATGTGCCACCATGCCCGGCTAACTTTTAAAAATGTTTTGTAGAGATGGTGTCCCCTATGTCGCCCAGGCTGGTTTGAAACTCCAGGTTTCAAGCAATCCTCCCACCTCAGCCTCCAAAAGTGCTGAGATTACAGGCATGAGCCACCATGCCCGGTGATTTTTTTTTTTTTTTTTTTTTTTGAGATGGAGTCTCACTGTGTCGTCCAGACTGGAGTGCAGTGGCGGGATCCCTGCTCACTGCAACCTCTGCCTTCCGGGTTAGCGCAGTTCTCCTGTCTCAGCCTCCCGAGTAGCTGGGATTACAGGTGCCCGCCACCATGCCTGGCTAATTTTTTTGTATTTTTAGTAGAGATGGGGTTTCGCCCATTGGCCAGGCTGGTCTGGAACTCCTGACCTCAAGTCATCTGCCTGCCTCGGCCTCCCAAAGTGCTGGGATTACAGACGTGAGACACCGTGCCCAGCCCCCCGCCTTTTTTTTTTTTAAGAGATTGGGCCTCCCCATGTTGCTCAGGCTGCTCTCAAACTCCTGAGCTCAGGTAATCCTCCCACCTCAGTCTCCCAAAGTGCTGGGATTACAGGCATGAGCCACCACGTCTGCCACCCCTGACCCCCAAATTTTGTTTACAGTTAATATTGCAAAGGCCTCCTCTCTCTACATGCTTTCTTGTCTTTCCAATCCATGCTCCACATTTTTGGAGATGGAGTCTCGCTCTATCCTCCAGGGTGGAGTGCAGTGTTGCAATCTTGGCTCATGGCAACCTCTGCCTTCCAGGTTCATGCAATTCTCATGCCTCAGCCTCCTGAGTAGCTGGGATTACAGGCATGCACCACCACGCCCGGATAATTTTTGTATTTTTAGTAGAGATGAGGTTTCCACATGTCTGCCAGGCTGGTCTGGAACTCCTGACCTCAGGTGATCTGCCTGCCTCAACCTCTCAAAGTGCTGGTATTACAGGCTTGAGCCACTTTGCGCTTGGCCACTATTTTTTTTTTTTTTTTTTGAGATGGCGTCGCGCTCTGTCGCCCAGGCTGGAGTGCAGTGGTGCAATCTTGGCTCACTGTAACCTCTACCTCCTGGGTTTAAGTGATTCTCCTGCCTCAGCCTCCTGAGTAGCTGGGACTATAGTCGCCGGCTGCCACGCCCAGCTAATTTTTGTACTTTTAGTAGAGACGGGGTTTCACCACGTTGGCCAGGCTGGTCTCAAATTCTTGACCTCAAGTGATCAACCTGCCTCGGCCTCCCAAAGTGCTGGGATTACAGGTGTGAGCCACAGCGCCCAGCCTAGAGTGAAATACTGAAAACCCTCTCATGGTTTTCCAGGCTTCTGAGGGATGAAGTCCAACACCTTAGGCTGGCCTATCAGACGCTGCATAGTCTGGTCCTGCTGACTTTGGCAGGATTTCTCTCATCGCTGGCCCTGTAACACTTCAAGGGACTGCAGTGATGATGCTTCATAGAATATGCAGTATTCTCTTGTACCTGCATGTGGTACCTGTGTACCTACTGCAGTCTGTTTAGAATTCCCTTTGCTGCTTGTTTGGCGAACTTCCACTCACCTTTCATGGCTCAGTTCCAATACCATCACCTCTGGGAACCATCTCCTGCCTGCCCCAGGAGGACCGGGACCTCCTTTTCCTGTCCTCTTTTCCTTGAACCTGTATATACTTTTTTTTTTTTTTTTTTTTTTTTGAGACAAGAGTCTCACTCTGTCACCCAGGCTGAAGTGTAGTGGTGATTTTGGCTCACTGCAACCTCCGCCTTCCAGGTTCAAGGAATTCTCCCTGCCTCCTCCTCCCTAGTAGCTGGGATTACAGGCACACACCACCATGCCCGGTTAATTTTTGTATTTTTAGTAGAGACGGGGTTTCGCTATGTTGGGCAGTCTGGTCTTGAACTTCTGACCTTAGGTGATCCGCCTGCCTCAGCCTCCCAAAGTGCTGGGACTACAGGCGTGAGCCACCGCAGTCTTAAATGGTTAATGAGGATTAGGAAATCTATCAATTATTCAACAGAGAGACAATGAATGGATCAAGGGATTGGGGAGCTCCCTGACATTACAGAACAAATTCAGTATGCAGTATACTGTGAAAGCGAGGCGGAAAAGCAGGTTTTGTTTGCGAGTCTGACTTTAGGATTGCAGGTGAAACACTTGTGTGACCCTGGAGCTGTGTGGCTAAGGTGCTGCGGGGTCACTGGAGAAAGGTCAAGGGACTGTGGCCCAGTTGGCCCGGAGGTGGTTCAGGTCTCCCAGATTCCAGGGCGGCATTATGAGCCACGTGACAGACCTCCCCTGACTGGCTGACAGTGAAGCATAATTGAGAAGATGGCGGACCAGCAAGGACCTCATCAGAATAGGTCTGTACACAGAGCGGCATAGAGAGTGCAGGAGGGTAGTAGACCGGGCGCGGAGGCTCAAGCCTGTAATACAAGCACTTTGGAAGGCCGAGGCGGGTGGATCATGAGGTCAGGAGATGGAGACTATCCTGCCCAACACGGTGAAACCCCGTCTCTACTAAAAATACAAAAAAAAATTAGCCGGGCGTTGTGGCGGGCGCCAGTAGTCCCAGTTACTCGGGAGGCTCAGGCAGGAGAATGGCGTGAACCCGGGAGGCGGAGGTTGCGGTGAGCCGAGATCGCGCCACTGCACTCCAGCCTGGGCAACAGAGCAAGAATCTGTCTCAAAAAAAAAAAAAAAAAAAAAAAAAAAAAAAAAAAAAAAAGTGCAGGAAGGTAGTGAACAGAACAGCAAGGGGAATGCCGACCCTTTCTCCTGTTGGGGCCAAGACAGAGGCGATGTGGGCAGGGGAGAGGCCGGGGAATGCGCAGAAGCCGACTCCATCTCCGCATTAATAGTGGACTAGGGGCAGGGCTGGATTTTCGGAGGCAGTGTGCAGCTCCCAATAACTAGTTCCATGGGTCCTCTGTGAGCCTAGTTTCCTGGTGGGTACCGAGGGGAGGGCGTCGGAACCGTACGCTCCTTTGAGTGAGGGGAATCCGGGAGGATCCAAGGCAGGGGAAACAGGGCCGAGCGGGAAAGGCCTTGAATGGGGGGCGAGACCCGGCCAGGCCCGCTGGACGCGTAGCACGTCTCCTTGGTGACGGGACGCGTGGCCCGGAAGTGGGCGGCCCTTCTGGCGGGGCGGGGCATCTCTGTGACGCTAGGGGCTGGGCCTCGATGGCGAAACCCAAGCGGCTCCCGGGGGGGTTTGAACTGGCCAATGGGCGAGCTGCCGACCGGGTGTCGGAAAAGGAGGCGGAAGCGGGGAGGAGCCGCTGCCAGAGCCAGACTGCATCCGCCGCGGCGTCTCCATGGCACGACCCTGGCCTCCGACTTCAACGACTTCATAAGGCGGCGTTTCTGGGCGCAGCCGTGTCGCTCCTGGTGAGAGGCCGCCGGCAGGCGGGATCCAGCGCCCTCCGGGGCACCGCGGGCGAGACCGTCGCCTTCGCACCCCCGGCGCGGTCGACCCCGCGGGGCCGTCGGGTCCTGGGTTCCCCGCCGCGTTGCGCTCGTCCCCCTCCTGTCAGAACCTGGGCCCCCGCCCCGCCCACCGGCGCGGGGCCTCTCCTCCTCCCGCTAACGGGCGGTCGGCCGCCTCCTTCCTCTCTTGGCTACCACGGGGCTCTGCCCCTCCTCTGCCGCCCGCGGGCAGGGCTTCACCTTTCTCTCTATGGGCAGAAACCGGTACCCTCCTGCCTGCTGGTGGGTGGCCGTCCCTTCTCTCCGCCGACAGAGGCTCTCCCTCGCTCTGCTGCCCGTCGGCGGCATCGCCCCGACCGCCTCGTCCTCTCCTCGGGCCTCCACATGGCAGTCACTTGTACGCCCTCCGTAGGCAGCGCTGTCCCCCGGGCACCGTCTCCGGCTTGCCAGGGCCCTCGCCCGGCGGGGGGGGGTCCCGCCCGCCCCCTCCCAGCCCGGCGTCTATCCTGCTCAGAACTCTGTTCGGTTTTCCCTCGCGGCGGGGCGCCCGGGGCCCGTGCAACCTCCGCGCCTCCCTCCTTTAAACACTATTGGTCCTCTCGGGCATCTGTTCTTCCGTAACGCCCCTTCTCCTAGGAGACAGTTGTCCGGCCCCGCCCCAGCATCCCCGCGGCTCCCTGCGCGGTTCTGGCCCTCTGGGGCCCACTTGGGGCCGAGCGGTTCTCACCCGCCCTCTCCGCACGTCCGCCGGCGCCTCAGGTTTCCCCCGGTAGCCACCGGCAGTCCTCCGCGTGGGACCCGGGCGCGGTGGTCCTTTCCCTCGCGGTTCTGCCCCGTCCCCTCCCCTTCCTCCCCTCTGCCCCCAGGTCGCTCAGCCTCTACTATTTCCCCCTACTTTGGCAGGACAGTTGCTGTGCGACTTGGACAGTAGAGGAGCGCCTCCCAAGTTTTCATCCAACTGCCAACCCCAAAGCTTCCACCCTTCTCCCCTCAGAGAGGACGTTTGATGCCGGGCCCCTTGAGAGGCTCATTGACAAGCCTGCCCCTCTGGGTCCCCCTGAGCAGAGCCTGCTGACCCAATTGCCCACCTTTGCGGCTTTGATGCCTAGCCATGTCTGCCTCATCCTCAGGCGGCTCCCCCAGGTATTGCCGATGTGGGAGGCGCCTGCGCCGGAGGGCAGGGAAAGGTGGCCAGGGGTCCCCAGGGCAGGCTCGCCTGAGGCTTCCAGCTTCCTCATTGTGTTTGCTGAAAGTCTGGACCAAAACGTTTAAAAATCGTTTTTAAAGGGAAGGGGGAACGAAATGTATACACAATCCTAGCTCTACCTCCCTCGCTCCTTCCCTCCCCAGATGTCACAGCTTCCTGGAAGCAAACAGGGTCACTCTTGTTGTCTTTATATAATAGAGTACTAGGTTCAGAGCCTTTTTGAAGGGAGTCGAGGTGTAAATAAATAACACGTAGGAGGTGGATGTGGCAGTTAGCAAGATAATGGAATCCAGGTGGTTTGACAAGAAACCCACTGAGAGATTTCCCAAAGCTATTGGCTTTACGTGAACAATGTTCTAAATGATTAGGGAAAAAAGCCTGTCTTCTCAGTTTTGGTATTCCTTGGCTAAAGGATCAGTAGAGGTCTATATATATATATATATTTTTTTTTTTTCCCCTCTTTTTAAAATCACGATGTAATACATATACAGCAAAACGCATACCAAAGTGCTCAAGTATTTTTTTCCTTGCATTTTGATGTTGCATTATTTTCCCCAAGTGTTTGTAAAGAGGGCAAGATGATAATTTTGGACCTCCCTGTCTCTGCCCCACCCTCCCTGCCACCCCCTGGTCGCTCCAGCCTCTCTGATCTCCCCCCACTTTGGGGGGCCAGGTGCGGTGGCTCATGCCTGTGCAATCCTAGCACTTTGAGAGGCCAAGGTGGGTGGATCACCTGAGGTCAGGAGTTTGAGACCAGCCTGACCAACATGGTGAAACCCCGTCTTTACTAGAAACATAAAAAATTAGCTGGGCATGGTGGCACACGCCTGTAATCCCAGCTACTCAGGAGCCTGGGGCAGGAGAATTGGAGAATTGCTTGAAGCCAGGAGGCAGAGGTTGCAGTAAGCCAAGATTGGGCCACTGCACTCCAGCCTGGGCGACAGAGCGAGACTCTATCTCAAAAAAAAAAAAAAAAAAAAGGCCAGGAGATGGATCAGATGGTTATTCCAAGGCCCTTCCCATCCTGGACTTTTTGGATATACTGCTGAAAGATTTTGGAGCAAATAGACTTTTGCTCTCTCTCTTTTTTTTTTTTTTATTTGGCTGTCTTTGCAGATCTGGTGATGGAGCTGTACAGTATATGTGTAAGCAAGGTGAATTAGACATGGCATTAAAAAAAAATCCCCTGCTGCTTGAGAGCTTAAAGGATAGCAAGTGGAATATTTTGGGAACTAGATACTTTTTTATTCTCTTAGGGGAATATTTGAGCCTTAATTTGATGAGTGTGCGTCACAGTGACCTCTCGTGCCTGAGCCTAATGCTCTTTGAAAAAATTTTTTTTTCTTTTTTGTTGTTGTTTTGAAACGGGGTCTCCCTCTGCCACCTAGGCTGGAGTGCAGTGGCGTGGTTACGGCTCACTGCAGCCTCCACCTCCCAGGCTTAATTGATTCTCCCACCTCAGCCTCCCGAGTAGCTGGGACTACAGACACACGCCACCACGCCAAGCTAATTTTTGTATGTTTTGTAGAGATGGGGTCTTGCCATGTTGCCCAGGCTGGTCTCAAACTCCTGGGCTCAAGCAATCTGCCTGCCTTGGCCTCCAAAAGTGCTGGGATTACAGGCATGAGACATGGCTTGTGGCCACTAATGCTCTATTTTTGTCACTCACTCACTGCATCTTTCTCCAGGGCCGCCTCTGCTCCAGGCACTGTCCTGGGTGCTTCTACCCTTGGCCAAACCAGCACATTGGCTTCTGTTCATGTGCTGCTTGCTTTTTGTCATCTGACAGGATGTCAGCTAGGCTTTTCAGCAAGGGTCATAATACATGTGATGTGACGATATGTTAAAAGTCCAGCCTGCAAATGCCTGTCACCCTATTTCCATCCCACTGCTGGGCACACCACGCACATCTGGTGCTCATCTCAGGGGAGTCAAGGAATTCCAGGCTGGTTTTCCTAGCCATGAACATGTTAGCTACCGTAGTCAGTGTGTAATTTCATGAGATCTGAAATATAAGATTGCCCTAGTTTTCTGCTTACAATCTGGTTCTTGTGCCTGGGTGCAGGTTTCCATCGTGTGGGAAGAACGGAGTAACGAGTCTCACGCAGAAAAAGGTCTTGAGAGCACCTTGTGGCGCACCCAGTGTAACTGTGACGGTAGGTGATGCACTCACGTAGCAGCCCTCTTTGGTCACCTTGCTAAAAATGCTTTTGCACACCGTTTCTAGGAGGTGCCTTACCCTGCTGGGCACCATCGCCGCCCAGTTGCTCTGCTAGGTGCTGTTATACATACTCTGCTGATTTTTAATTATGATCATCATTTTTGCCTGTGGTGAGGCTGCCGGGTGTGAGGAAATTGTCTTAGACTTATTCTTCCAGCCAAATCCTAAAATCTTGAGATTTTTAAAATAAAGGAAAAGAAAAAGAAGAGAAAAAAAAAGTTTAAAGAATGAGGGGAAGGATAAGAGCTGGTGGTGGTTGAGGGGTTTGTAGCTGTGGTTCTGCCTTGCTCATGTTTTCTTTAGAATCTAGACAGCCTTCTCATCCTTAGGATTTCCTTCAGCTTTCTGTTTTCCTGTTCTTTGATCTGCCTGCTCTCTGATTTATTCTGCACCCTGAGCATTTTGTGTGTTTCCCACGCCAATCTGCATGCCCAGTTGAGATCACTGTGTAGAAGGATCCGCCTGCTTTCCGCTGTGCTTCACTAAATCCAAGGAGGAGCTGTGCATTCCAGCAGGTTTAGAGGAGATCCAGCCCTAAGAACCCTGGGGCCGGCGTCTGGGATCTGTTCTGGAACGGGTGGGTCTTGCAGACCCTCTCTTGAGTGGACCAGAATCTCCCTTGTGGTCTTCTGCTGGGATCTCTGCAGGAGCCTGCTGAATGATACTCCCGCCTTACTCCCTGCCTGCATGCCAGTAGTTGGTAGCTGTCCTGCTCGCTTGGTGGCTAGGCTTTTTGGTGGCCCCCAGAGGCTGTGAGCTCTGTTTTTATGCCCAGTTTACTCATCCACAGATCAACCATTTTTGTGTTGTCCTCCCCCACCTGCCAGAAGCCAACCATGAAGGACCGCTCTTCAACTCCCCCCTTACATGTTCACGTGGATGAGAACACCCCTGTCCACGTCCACATAAAAAAACTCCCGAAACCATCAGCGACCAGCAGCCAGGTAGGAGCATGCCAGTGGGGCGAGGTAGTAGCTGTGGATCTGGGTGATCCTGCTAAGCCCAGCCTCCTCGCACTCTGACTCCAAAGGTTTGGGAGACAAACACACTCTTTCGGAGGCCGGTTTCCTGGTTAGAAGGTAGGCAGGCCTGTCATCCAGGAGCAACAGCAGTAACATTAGTCAGAAGAGGCACTCTGCTAGTCGGAGAGGGATGTCACTAGCGTGGCACCGTGGCCAGCTGGGTGTGGAAGTGACCCTGGGTTTGTCCCTTTCCACAGAAATCTCACAAGCGAGGAATGAAAGGGGACACTGTGAATGTGCGGCGGAGTGTCCGGGTGAAAACCAAGGTACCTTGGATGCCCCCTGGAAAATCATCTGCCCGGCCTGTGGGATGCAAGTGGGAGGTAGGCTCACCCTTGCCCAGGCTTTTCTTCTCGGACTGCTCAGATCCTAGCAGGCCTCAGCCTCGGTATGATTCAGGGTCAGCTATAGCTACTGGAATGTCCTAACAGACCCCATTTACTGAGGGCCTTGCTAAACCCTGAAACTATGTGAATCTTCTTGAGTTCTTATGATACTGCTGTGTGGGAAGTCCTGCTGTCCAAAGGCAGAGATGAGGAACCAGACCTCAGAGAGAAGTGATTTTCCCAGAGTCACAGAGAAGTTAGCAGAGCTGGAGTTAAGATTCATTCTAGAGGCAGTACTCTTAGCCTCTCTGCTTTGCTTGTGAGGAGCCACATCACATGTATTTTCTTTTCTTTTCTTTTCTTTTTGAGACAGAGCCTTGCTCTGTCGCCCAGGCTGGAGTGCAGTGGCATGATCTTGGCTCATTGCAACCTCTGCCTCCCAGGTTCAAGTGATTCTCCAGCCTCAGCCTCCCTAGTAGCTGGGACTACAGGCGCCCGCCACCACTTACGTCTGATTTTTAAATTTTTAGTAGAGATGGGGTTTCATCGTGTTGGCCAGGCTGGTCTCGAACTCCTGACCTCAGGTGATCCGCCCGCCTCGGCCTCCCAAGGTGTTGGGATTACAGGCGTGAGCCACCACAGCCAGCCTATTTTTCTTATAGTTTATTACATTAGAAATCTTTCATACCAGCAGTGAAAAGAAAAAAAAATAGAAATGAAAAACAAAAGTAACTCCTTGAAGTTTATAGTCATACCTCATAAAACTATGTCAAAACTGACTCCTTGATTTACCAGACAAAGGAGACTCCTTTCCCTTAGAGACAAAGGGAGTATGGGGCTTTCTTAGGATTAAATGGAAACTGCTCTGACCAGTACAATAAATTAAAAGGATTGAAATTAGACTGCTGCCTTACATTTTTTACTACATATACTTCACTAATAATCAGTGAAATGTAAATTAAAAGCCACAGTATATTTTTTTTAAAACAAAAACAATGAGCTTTTTTCTTGAATGGAAAAAGTTTAAAAAATGACAACTATCTCCTGCCAGCAAGCATATGGGATATCAATGAATCTTTTTTTTTTTTTTCCGAAATGGAGTTTCGCTCTTGTTGCCCTTGCCCAGGCTGGAGTGCAGTGGCGCGATCTTGGCTCACCACAACCTCCGCCTCCTGGGTCAAGCGATTCTCCTGCCTCAGCCTGCTGAGTAGCTAGGATTACAGGCATGCACCACCATCCCGGCTAGTTTTGTATTTTTAGTAGAGATAGGGTTTGTCCATGTTGGTCAGGCTGGTCTCGAACTCCCGACCTCAGGTGATCAGCCCACCTCAGCCTCCCAAAGTGCTGGGATTACAGGTGTGAGCCACCACACCCGGCCCGAATCTTTTAAAACGTTTTTTATAGGACTGTGAACCTGATTCAGCTGTTCTGGAGTCAGTTTGGCAGGACTTGTCTAAACATTGATTCTGTAATTTTTCGTCTAGGAAGTTGTCCTAAAAACATCATAGAAGAGTACAGGGATTTTGTTTTTTTGTTTTTTTTTTTTTGAGACGGAGTCTCGCTCTGTCACCCAGGCTGGAGTGCAGTGGTGCAATCTCGGCCCACTGCAAGCTCCGCCTCCCGGGTTCACACCATTCTTCTGCCTCAGCCTCCCGAGTAGCTGGGACTATAAGTGCCCGCCACCATGCCCGGCTAATTTTTTATGGTAGAGACGGGGTTTCACCGTGTTAGCCAGGATGGTCTCGATCTCCTGACCTCATGATCCGCCTACCTCAGCCTCCCAAAGTGCTGGGATTACAAGTACAGGGATTTTTTGTAGATTTTTTGCTGTAGCATTGTTTGTAACAGAAAAATTGGAAGCAACCTAAATGTCCATCAGGAGAGTGTTGGTTAAATTATAATACATCTGGCTGGGCGTGGTGGGCTCACACCTGTAATCCCAACACTTTTAGGAGGCCCAGGAGGGAGGATCGCTTGGGCCCAGGAGTTTGAGATCAGCCTGGGCAACATAGTGAGATCCTATCTCTACAAAAAATAGAAAACTAGTTGGGTGTGGTGGCATGCGCTTGTAATTCCAGCTACTCAGAAGGCTGAGGTGGGAGGATCACTTGAGCCAGGGAGGTTAAGGCTGCAGTGAGCCATGATCATGCCACTGCATAGCCTGTGTGACACAGTGAGACCCTGTCTCAAACAAAACAAAACAAAAGAGAAATATGATACATCCATACAATGGAATACCATGCAGCCTTGCAAAGACTGAGGTAGAGGCTGGTTGCCGTGGCTTATACCTGTGATCCCAGCACTTTGGGAGGCCAAAGCAGGAGGATCACTTGAGCCCAGGAGTTCAAGACCAGCCTGGGCAACACGACGAGACCCTGCCTCTACAAAAGATAAAAAATTAGCTGGGTGCAGTGGTACGCACTTGTAGTCCTACTTACTTGGAGGGGAGGTTGAGATTTCAGTAAGCTGTGATTATGTCACTGCACTGCAGCCTGGATTACAGAAAAGGACCCTGTCTCAAAAACAAAAAGATTGAGACAGATATTTATGCATGATAATGAAGCATGGAGATGCACAACATATAACATTTGGCCGGCCCTATTTGTGCAGAAAATGGGCGTCTGTGTCCATGTATAAACGCATATGTTTGTATGTGCAGAACGTTTTCTGGGAGAATATGTTTATATCTACAGAACGTTTTCTAGGAGAATATGCAAGTAGTGGTAAGCAGTGATTGCCTCTGAGGTATGGCAAGGTTTAATGCTTTATTTTTATTTATTTATTTACTTTTTGAGAAAGAGTCTCGTTTTGTCACCCAGGCTGGAGTGCAGTGACGCAATCTCGGCTCACTGCAACCTCCACCTCCTGGGTACAAGCGATTCTCCTGCCTCAGCTTCCCGAGTAGCTGGGATTACAGGCACGCACCACCACACCTGGCTAATTTTTGTATTTTTAGTAGAGACGGGGTTTTGCTATGTTGGCCAGGCTGGTCTCGAACTCCTGACCTCAAGTAACCCGCCCACCTCAGCCTCCCAAAGTGCTGGGATAACAGGTGTGAGCCACCACCACGCACAGCCAAAAATGCCTTTTTTTTTTTTTTTTTGAGACGGAGTCTCGCTCTGTCATCCAGTCTGGAGTGCAATGGTGCAATCTCGGCTCACTACAACCTCCATTTCCCAGGTTCAAGCAATTCTTCTGCCTCAGCCTCCCGAGTAACTGGGACTACAGGCGTGCACCACCACGCCTGGCTAATTTTTGTATTTTTAATAGAGACGGGGTTTCACCATATTGGCCAGGCTGGTCTCGAACTCTTGACCTCGTGATCCGCCCGCCTTGGCCTCCCAAAGTGCTGGGATTACAGGCGTGAGCCACTGTGCCCAGCCCAAAAATGCCTTTTAAAAAAATAAAAAGCCTTGGTAGTTTGGGTTTTTTTGTTTTTGTTTTTTTGAGACGGAGTCTTGTTCTGTTGCCCAGGCTAGAGTTCAGTGGCATGATCTCGGCTCACTGCAACCTCCACCTCCCAGGTTCAAGTGATTCTCCTGCCTCAGCCTCTGAGTTAGCTGGGACTCAGGCATGCACCACCACACCCAGCTAGTTTTTGTATTTTTTTTTTTTTTTTTTTTTTTTTTTTTTTTTTTTGAGACGGAGTCTCGCTCTGTCGCCCAGGCTGGAGTGCAGTGGCGGGATCTCGGCTCACTGCAAGCTCCGCCTCCCGGGTTCACGCCATTCTCCTGCCTCAGCCTCCCAAGTAGCTGGGACTACAGGCGCCCGCCACTACGCCCGGCTAATTTTTTTTGTATTTTTAGTAGAGACGGGGTTTCACCGTTTTAGCCGGGATGGTCTTGAACTCCTGACCTCAAGTGATCTGCTCGCCTTGGCCTCCCAAAGTGCTGGTATTACAGGCGTGAGCCACTGTGCCTGGCCTCCTTGGTAGTTTTCAAAGTACACATCACAGAGATGCTGCTATGAAAAATTTTCCTGTTGACATGGGTTGCTAGGGGTAATAATCCCCTCTGAAAAGCATAATGCCACTTCCAGCCCCATTGCCAAATCCTAGAGGTGGAAGGTCCCAGAGAGGTGGCCTGCCCAGGTTCTCTCAGCACCTGAAACAGTAGCTGTCTTTTCTGCTTTCATTCTTGTGTCTGCCCCTTTCCACTTGCCAGTGGCTTCCTGTGGCCCTGAGAGGCCCTAACTCAACCCTGTCCTTCATGGACGGAAGGGGAACAGCCCCTGGAGGTGGAAGTTTGAGGAAGATATGGAAATGAAGACCAAAAGCTGCTGTATGCATGTGGGGTTCTTGTTTGATATCTTACAACTCCTGGAATATAAGATCAGCTTTGGGAGAAAGAAGGTCTAGGTTTTTTTCTTGCCTCTATTACTAAAAGTGATCAGCCGGGCGCGGTGGCTCACGCCTGTAATCTCAGCACTTTGGGAGGCCAAGGCAGGCGGATCATGAGGTCAAGAGATTGAGACCATCCTGGCCAACGTGGTGAAACCCCATCTCAACTAAAAATACAAAAATTAGCTGGGCATGGTGGCACGCTCCTGTAGGCCCAGCCATTTGGGAGGCTGAGGCAGGAGAATTGCTTGAACCCTGGAGGCGGAGGTTGCAGTGAGCTGAGATTGCACCACTGCACTCCAGCCTGGCGACAGAGCGAGACTCCGTCTCAAAAAAAAAAAAAAAAGTGATCTATTTTTATTTAGGGAAATTTGAAAATACAGAAAAATAATCAGCTACTCAATTCTGGCTGCTATTAAGTTTCAAAATTTCTTGTTGAAAAGTACAGGCCCAGGAGCAATGGCTCACTCCTGTAATCCCAGCACTTTGGGAGGCCGAGGCAGGCAAATCAACTGAGATCAGGAGTTTGAGACCAGCCTAGCCAACATGGCGAAACCCCGTCTCTACTAAAAATACAAAAATTACCCTGGCGTGGTGGTCGCGCCACCAATATCAGCTACACAGAAGGCTGAGGCAAGAGAATTGCTTAAGCCCATGAGGCGGAGGTTGCAGGGAGCCAAGATCGCGCCCCTGCACTGCAGCCTGGGCAACAAAGCGAGTCTCCATCTCAAAAAAAAAACAAAAAAAACGGAAAAGAAAAACGAAAAGAGGACTGGCCGGGCCTGGTGTCTCACGCCTGTAATCCCAGCACTTTGGGAGGCTAAGGCAGGCGGTTCACCTGAGCTCAGGAGTTGGAGACCAGCTTGGACAATGTGACGAAACCGTATCTCTACCAAAAATACAAAAAATTAGCCCAGTGTGGTGGTGTGCACTTGTGGTCCCAGCTACTTGGGAGGCTGAGGTGTAAGGATGGGTTGAGCCTGGGAGGCAGAGGTTGCAGTGAACCAAAGTTGTGCTACTGCACTCCAGGCTGCTTGACAGAGTGAGACCCCATCTCAAAAAAAAAAAAAATGGAAAAGTGCAGGGATGTACACCCATCAGAAGTGTATTGCTCCATGAATTTTCACAAGCTGAAGGTACCTGTGTAACGATCACCCAGCATCCTAGAAGCTGCCCCTGGCTTTTGTCTATGTCACTCCCTCCCCATCACAAGGAGTAAGTAGTCACACTTTCCCATATATATATATATATATATATTTGTCATTTTAAAAAATATATAGTCATGTGGCCGGGCGTGGTGGCTCACGCCTGTAATCCCAACACTTTGGGAGGCCGAGGCGGGCGGATCACAAGGTCAGGAGATCGAGACCATCCTGGCTAACACAGTGAAACTCCGTCTCTACTAAAAGTACAAAAAATTAGCCGGGCATGGTGGCGGGCACCTGTAGTCTCAGCTACTCGGGAGGCTGAGGCAGGAGAATGGCGTGAACCTGGGAGGCGGAGCTTGCAGTGAGCCGAGATTGCACCACTGCACTCCAGCCTGGGTGACAGAGCGAGACTCCATCTCAATTAAAAAAAAAAAAAAAAAAAAAAAAAAAAAAAAAAATATATATATATATATATATATATATATATATATATATATATAGTCATATATCAATTAACAATGGGGATATATTCTGAGAAACATGTTGTTAGGCACTTTCATCATTGTGCAAACATCATGGAGTGTACTTACACAAACCGAGATTGGTAAAGCCTGCTACACACCTGGGCTGTATGGTATAGCCTATTGCTCCTAGGCTACAGACCTCTACAGCATGATGCCGTACAGAATACTGTAGGCAACTAACACAATGGTAAGTATTTGCATATTGAAACATAGTAAATATAGAAAAGGTACGGTAAAAATACGGTGTTTTGGGACCACTGTCATATATGCAGTCCATTGCTGACTGAAATGTTACGTGGCACATGACTGTTTATACATTTTCCTATTTTTGTCATTTTAAGTATTAAAAGTAACTTCTTTTCTTCTAAAAGTAATATACATACCTGGATGTGGTGGCTCATACCTGAAATCCCAGCACTTTGGGAGGCCAAGACGGGCTTATCACCTGAGGTCAGGAGTTCGAGACCAGCCTGGCCAACATGGTGAAACCCCACCTCTACTAAAAATACAAAAATCAGCTGGGCATGGTGGTAGGTGCCTGTTATCCCAGCTAGTCGGGAGGCTGAGGCAGGAGAATTGCTTGAACCTGGGAGGCGGAGGTTGCAGTGAGCCGAGATGGCACTACTGCACTCCAGCCTAGGCGATGGAGTGAGACCCTGTCTCAAAAAAAAAAAAAAAAAAGCAAAGTGTTTACAGCTTTGCATAAAGTTTCCTGAAGCATATATGCATTTTAAAATATTTAAAAAAATATTTAAAAAGCTGAGACTACAGGCACCTGCTACCACGCCCGGCTAATTTTTTTGTATTTTTAGTAGACACGGGGTTTCAGTGTCTCGATCTCCTGACCTCGTGATCCGCCCGCCTTGGCCTCCCAAAGTGCTGGGATTACAGGCATGAGCCACCGCTCCTGGCCCTAAAATATTTTTTATACTGACGTATTTAAAAAGTATTGTATTTTTTTAATACAATACTTTCCAGGTATTGTACCATGTGCATTTATAATATTTTTCTACATCATCAAAATAACTGATTACTCCTAAGAGCATTTCTTAATATCATACAATATCTGGTCCTTTTTCCAATTTACCCACTTGTTTCTACAATACCTTTTCAGCAGATTCATCTACCTTTGTAACTAATCCACTATCAGCTATTCATATTCATTTAAAAGACTTTTGACATATTTCATTTCTACCCTAGGTATAAAAAAATGTACTGCCCTAAACTTTTGCCAACTTTGGGTATTATTAATGTTTTTGCTGATTTGTTATATTATTTCTTTATGAGTATTGTTATTTTTAGAGACAGGGTTTCGCTCTGTCACCCAGGCTGGCATGCAGTGGTGCTATCATAGCTCACTGCAGCCTTGAACTCCTGGACTCAAGGAATCCCCTGCCTCAGCCTCCTGATTAGTTGAGATCACAGGCATGTGCCACTACACCCACCTGATTTTTTTTTTTAGAAGGAGTTTCGTTCTGTTGCCCAGGCTGGAGTGCAATGGCGCAATCTTGGCTCACTGCAACCTCTACCTCCCGGGTTCAAGCGATCCTCCAGCCTTAGCCTCCTGAATAGCTGAGATTACAGGCATGCACCACCATGTCCAGCTAAGTTTGTGTTTTTAGTAGAGACGGGGTTTCACCGTGTTGGTCAGGCTGGTCTCAAACTCCTGACCTCTGGTCATCCACCCGCCTCAGCCTCCCAAAGCGCTGGGATTGCAGATGTGAGCCACCATGCCCAGCGCTAGCTAATTCTTTTACTTTTATAGAGACAAGGTCTCGCTATGTTGCTGAGGCTGGTTTTGGCTTCCCGCCTCGGCCTCCCAATATACTGGTTTTACAGGGTATCCAGCCTATGTTCTTTATTTTAAACTTAACATTGTAGCCCAAGCTTTTAATTTTGATGTTGGGAATTCTCCAAAACCATCATTTAAACATGGATAGGTAATGTTCCATCACAAGGGTTCAGAGTATGTTCTTCCTGGGGTCCCCGAGTTAGCTGTTACAGCTTTTCCCGTCTAATCAGTAAATAAGCCTCCAGTGGTGGAACTCGTGGTCAAGGTTCTGCCTTCTGAGTTCATGTGTTTCTCCCTCCTCTACATCAGAATCCACCTCATTGCCTGGAGATCACGCCACCATCTTCAGAAAAGCTGGTCTCAGTGATGCGGTTAAGTGACCTCTCTACAGAAGATGATGACTCAGGTCACTGTAAAATGAACCGTTATGATAAGAAGATTGATAGTCTAATGAATGCGGTTGGTTGTCTGAAGTCTGAGGTGAGGGAGGTAGGGGGCTGGGATAGCTACTACCCTGAGGATGTGCAGGAGCACCCAGGTGGATTTCCTGCCTGGTCCCTCAGCCTGCGTCTGCAGGCCTTCAGGCCTCCTCTGCAGGGTTGCCCCGGGCTTCAGTTGCCTGCCCCGGGAGGTAGCTGGGGCAGCATGGGATCCCATCCCACCAACAAGGGCCCTCTCTATTGAGCATGTAGCTGTCCTGGTGCTCCACATGGGTGGTCCAATTTGAATTTTTACAACAGCATGTGAAGCCAGTGGTGTTACTGTCCTCATTACAGAGATGAAATACCTAGGAAACTAGGGCCTATGCCTTCCGCTTTATATAAGGTTTAACAAAAACAGGCCGGGCATGGTGGCTCACGCCTGTAATCCCAGCACTTTGGGAGGCGGATCCCCTGAGGTCAGGAGTTCGAGACCAGCCTGACCAACACGGTGAAACCCTGTCTCTACTAAAAAACAAAAATTAGCCATGCGTGGTGGCGTGCACCTGTAGTCTCAGCTGCTCAGGAGGCTGAGGTGGTAGAATTGCTTGAACCCAGGAGCCAGAGGTTGCAGTGAGCTGAGATTGTGCCATTGCACTGTAGCCTGGGCGACAGAGAGAGTCTCTGTCTCAAAAAAAAAAAAAAAAAAAAAAAAAAAAAAAAAAAATATATATATATATATATATATATATATAAATAAAAAAATTAACAAAAACAAAGCCCCAAAGAGGCCAAGGAAGTTTGTCCTCAGTTGCCGTGCTCTCTCTTGGGGTGGGATGTGACAATGGAATTGGAAATAGAACCTGGAAGTCCAAGGTCCCCAACTAGGAAATTGGCAGAGTTGTCATTAAAATCCAGGCCTTAGACTTGGATTGCTATGTCAGCCTATGTCTTCACTGCTAACACGACCTGTGTCTTTAATCCTCCACCCTGTACTCGAGGTCCAGGGAACCTCCTGGAGAACCTAGGGCTGGCTGCCTAGAATAGGCCCTTCTTGGCCAGGCGTGGTGGCTCATGCCTATAATCCTAGCACTTTGGGAGACTGAGGAGGGCAGATCACTTGAGGTCAGGAGTTCAAGACCAGCCTGGCCAACATGGTGAAACCCCATCTCTACTAAAAATACAAAAATTTGCCAGGCACACGCCTGTAATCCCGGCTACTTGGGAGGCTGAGGCAGAAGAATCACTTGAACCCAGGAGGCAGAGGTTGCAGTGAGCTGAGATCGTACCGCTGCACTCCAGCCTGGATGACAGAGTGAGACCCTGTTTCAAAAGAAAAAAAAAAAAAGCCCTTCTTCCCCTATAACTCAAAGTGCAAGAGCCTTTTTGTGACATCTCTCCTCCTATGGTGTGCCAGCCAAACCACGGTTTGCAACCTGGCTTCGTTCCCAACCCACAAGTCACTGGGGCTCTCTGTACTGAGTTTCCTCATCTACAAAAAGAAAATCAGCATCTCCCAGGAGAGTCAGTCTTCATGGCAGTTAACTGAGATTGCACCCATAAGGCCCTGGCATGCAGCCTGTGTAGTTCTCAATTGGAAGGCTCCTTATTTTTTTGTTTTTGTTTTTTTTTTTTTGAGATGGAGTCTCACTCTTGTCCGCCCAGGCTGGAGTGCAGTGGGCACGATCTCGGCTCACTGCAACCTCTGGCTCCTGGGTTCAGGCGACTCTCTTGCTTCAGCTTCCAGAGTAGCTGGGATCACAGGCATGTGCCACCACATCTGGCTAATTTTTGTATTTTCAGTAGAGATGGGGTTTCACCATGTTGGTCAGGCTGGTCTCGAACTCCTGACCAAAAGTGACCTACCCACCTTGGCCTCCCAAAGTGCTGGGATTACAGGCGTGAGCCACCACGCCCGGCCGGGGCCTTATTTTGGTCCAAAGCATTGAGCCTAGCAATGTGGCATAGAGGAAGGACCTCCCTTCAGTGGCCCCTGCCTGGGTCCCCCTGCTCAGGTCAAGATGCAAAAAGGTGAGCGCCAGATGGCCAAAAGGTTCCTGGAGGAACGGAAGGAAGAGCTGGAGGAGGTGGCCCACGAACTGGCTGAGACTGAGCACGAGAACACGGTGTTGAGGCACAACATCGAGCGCATGAAGGAGGAGAAGGACTTCACCATGTAAGGTGGCTCCTGCTCTGTCCCCGCTGATCTATTCCTCCCTACCAGGCTGCCTTGAGCCCTGGGCAATAATGGAAAGCAACGTAGGAGGTGGGCACAGGCACTGTGCCTGTGCCCTGGAGCCTGTTCAACAGTCACACAATTAATTACAGTTAATTACCTGGTTGTGCTTATGATTTGTACTATGAGGGAAAGGGAGGACCCCGTGGATTGTGGTGTGGGACTGGGTAGCAGGGAACTGTTTCTGGAACAAGTGATATTTAAGGGGTGTCCTGCAGGATGGTTAAGCATTCGGCAGGTGGGTGCTAGGGAAGAAAGCACGCTACTCAGTGGGAACATCTTATGCGAAGGCCCCAAGGTGGGAAAGTGTTTGTAGCTGAGAAATGGAAGGCAGGCCAGAGTGGGTGGGCAGAGGATAAGGGGGCCACATAGGTTGGCAGGGGGCTGGCTCTCAGCAGCCACTTTGAGGCATTTGCATTGAGGGCATTTGGAAGCCATGGAAAGGATTTATTTTATTTAATTAATTTATTTGGCCGGGCGTGGTGGCTCACGCCTGTAATCCCAGCCCTTTGGGAGCCAAGGCGGGCAAATCACAAGGTCAGGAGTTCGAGACCAGCCTGGCCAACATGGTGAAACCCTGTCTCTACTAAAAATACAAAAATTAAGCCGGGCGTCGCGGCGGGCGCCTATAATCCTAGCTACTCTGGAGGCTGAGGCAGGAGAACTGCTTGATCCTGGGAGGCATCTCAAAATTTTTGAGATGGAGTCTCGCTCTGTCATCCAGGCTGGAGTGCAGTGGCGTGATCCTGGCTCACTGCAATGTCCGCCTCCTTGACTAAAGTAATCCTCCTGCCTCAGCCTCCCAAGTAACTGGAATTACAGGTGCCCACTACCATGCCCGGCTAACTTTTGTATTTTTAGTAGAGATGGGGTTTTAGCTGTTGGCCAGGCTGCTCTCGATAACACCTGATCTCAAGTGATCTGCCCACCTCGGCTTCCCAAAGTGCTGGGATTACAGGCTTTAGCCACTGTATCCAGCCTACAGCCATGGAAGTTTTAAAAGCAGGGAGGTGGCCTGACTAGCCTTGGCTGCAGTGTAGAGAAGAGGTAGAAGGGCTCAAAATCGTATCTGAAGATGGTGCGTAGGAGGGCGTGACAGTGGAGGGGGGCAGTGCAGAGATGACAATGGTGGCTGTTTGAGAGAAACAGGGCCACAGGTAGCTAATGTCTCCTGGTGTGGAGGCCCTGGTCTGGTGCCCAGGCAGATGTAACTTCTGGCCCTGGTCCTTTCTGAAGGCCACCCAGGCCAGAAGGGCTGTCCCTGCCCCCTCCCCTACTTTTCCCTGACCAGAGGTGAGCCCCCTAGGGCATTGTGAGGCAAGCCTTGGATCTCTGGGCATGCGGGGGCCTGGGAGGGCTCACAGAGCCGTCTTTCTGGCCCCAGACTTCAGAAGAAACACCTACAACAGGAGAAGGAGTGCCTCATGTCCAAGCTGGTGGAGGCGGAAATGGATGGGGCTGCGGCTGCCAAGCAGGTCATGGCCTTGAAGGATACCATCGGGAAGCTGAAAACAGTAGGTGGCAGGTGGCAGGACCCCAGCCATGGAACTGGCCTCGGGAGGGGGCAGCTGCAGGCTGGGCAGGGTCTTTACGCGTCATCAGGCAGACTTTATGACATCTTCAGGCTGGGGGAGAGCACGCTTAACTAGGCCCCCACCCACCACTCTCACTTCCCAATCCTTGACCCTTGAAGATGACCTCTGGTCACCAGGGCCTCTGAGGAGACCTCATCATGGGTCTCCTGGGATCACAGTGAGTCAAGGCATGTGGTTGATTCCTGCAAGTATCAGCCACCAGGTCTTGTCATCCTCCTTTGCTTCCTCCAGGAAGTCTGCCCTGACTGTGCTCACCCACACTGAGCCTTCCCACCCCTTTCTCCACCTTTGCTCGGAGCAGACTTAGCTCCTGCTTGTCCCTTTAGGTCCACCGCTTCCAGGAAACCTGCCCTTGATCACCTTGGCACTGTACACAGCCTGGTTCTCCTTGTCTGGGCTTTCTGGCACCAGACCTCTTGAGTGCCCATGGGGCCTGCTTCTTCCCTTCTCCCCCTGCATCTGTAAGACTGGCTACTTGTCTTCCAGGAGAAACAAATGACCTGCACGGACATCAACACCCTGACAAGGCAGAAGGAACTTCTCCTGCAGAAGCTGAGCACATTTGAGGAGACCAACCGCACCCTCCGAGACCTCCTGAGGGAACAGCACTGCAAAGAGGTGAGCTTGGGGCCTGGCTCTTTCCCTCCAGCTCTGCATGCCCATCCTCTCTGAGCCTTTCTCCTTGTCTGTAAAAAGAAAATAAGATTGGTGCCCGACCTGAGAGGTCCTTAGAGAGATGTAATGAAATTGTTCACATGAAGTGCTCAGCACCCAGTAGACAAGTACCATCTTAGATGCCGTTGAATCCAAGCCAGGCAGCACCGGAACAACCTTGAAAGTCAGGAGAGGGGCAGTGGGGGAGTCAGGGAGGGGTTCAGCCCAGGGCATAGAAAAGAGAGTTCCAGACCTGAGCTTTTTGTTCAGTAAGAGAATGATTAATGGCTGGCAGACACAAATCGTGTGGTCTCATTTTGTTTTCTTAAAATATGTTCTCTGAGGGTGGGCATGGTGGATCACTTGAGGTCAGGAGTTCGAGAACAGCCTGGCCAACATAGTGAAACTCCATCTCTACTAAAAATACAAAAATTAGGCTGAGCGCGGTGGATCATGCCTGTAATCCCAGCACTTTGGGAGGCCGAGGAGGGTGGATCACGAGGTCAGAAGTTCAAGACCAGCCTCGCCAACAGAGTGAAACTCCATCTACTAAAAAAATACAAAAATTAGCCAGGTGTGGTGGCGTGCACCTGTAATCCCAGCTACTCTGGAGGTTGAGGCAGGAGAATTGCTTGAACCTGGGAGGCGGAGGTTGCGGTGAGCTGAGATCGCGTCACTGCACTCTAGCCTGGGCGACAGAGCGAGATTCCATCTTGGGGAAAAAAAAAAATTAGTCAGCCAGGTGTGGTGGCAGGCGCCAGTAATCTCAGCTCCTCAGGAGGCTGAGGCAGGAGAATTGTTTGAACCCAGGAGGCAGAGGTTGCAGTGAGCTGAGATTGTGCCACTGCACTCCAGCCTCAGCGACAGAGCGAGACTCCATCTAAAAAAAAAAAAACATGTCTGGGCCAGGTGCGGTGGCTCATGCCTGTAATCCCAGCCTTTGGGAGGCCGAGGCGGGCGGATCACCTGAGGTCAGGAGTTCGAGACCTGCTTGGCCAACGTGGTGAAACCCCATCTCTACTTGAAAAATACAAAAATGAGCCTGGCCTGGTGGCAGGTGCCTGTAATCCCAGCTACTCAGGAGGCTAAGGTAGGAGAATCACTTGAACCTGGGAGGCGGAGGTTGCAGTGAGCCGAGATTGTGCCATTGCACTCCAGCCTGGGGAACAAGAGCAAGACTTTGTCTGAAAAAAAAAAAAAGTTGTCTGAACTTTATATGTTAGCAAATATAGTCGACCCTCTGTATCTGTGGGTTCTGCATTCGTGGATTCAGCCAACCTTGGATTGAAGATATTTGGAAAAAATTACATATTTACTGAACACCTATAGACTTTTTCTTGATATTATCCCCTGAATCATATAACAACTATTTACATAGCATTTACCTTGTATGAGGTATTATAAATAATCTAGAGATGATTTAAAGTATATGGGAGGAGGTACACAAGTATATACAAATACTGTGCCATTTTATATCAGGGACTTGAGCATCTTTGGATTTTGGTATCCACAGAATGTCCTGGAACCAGTCCTCCATGAATACCAAGGGATGACTGTAGTTCTTTTCTTATTTTGATAGTCAAATAAAAATTAATGATGTACAACATGTTTTGACATACGTACACAATATAGAATGGCTAAGTCAAGTTAATCAACATATGCATTGCCTCACATACTAAGATATTTGTGGTGAAAACACTTAAAATTATCTCTTAGCAATTTTCAAGTATACACATCAGTAACTATAGTCACCATGTTGAACAATTTCTCCTTGTCTAATTGAAATCTTATATCCTTGACCAATATTTCCCCAATGCCCCCCAGTTCCATCTCTGGCAACCAGCATTCTGCTTCTGTGAGTTCGACTTCTTTTTTTTTTCTTTTTTGAGATGGAGTCTTGCTCTGTCGCCCAGGTTGGAGTACAGTGGCGCGATCTCTGTTCACTGCAACCTCCGCCTCCCGGTTTCAAGTGATTCTCCTGCCTCAGCCTCCTGAGTAGCTGGGACTACAAGCGTGCACCACCATGCCCGGCTAATTTTTGTATTTTTAGTAGACACAGGGTTTCACCATGTTGGCCAGGATGGTCTCGATCTCTTGACCTTGTGATCCGCTCACCTCAGCCTCCCAAAGTGCTGGGATTACAGGGGTAAGCCACCGCGCCCGGCCGAGTTCAACTTCTTTAGGTTCCACATATAAATGAAGTCATGTGGTCTTTCTGGGCCTAGCTTATTTCACTGAGTATAATATCCTCTAGTTTTGTGCATGTTGTGAAAGGATTTCCTTTTTGAAGGCTCAGTAGTATTCCATTGTGTATCTCTACTGCGTTTTCTTCATTCATCTGTTGATGGACACTTAGGTTGATTCCGTATCTTGGCTATTGTGAATGATGATATATTAGCAAATATTGCAGAAAAGACTGACAGTATAAATGGTTGTCTCCTGCTTGGTTCTAAGCAAAGAGATGACAATAGTCTCAAAATGCCAGTGCTAATGAAATGGTGACGTTCTTCTTATTTTTGCTTTTTTATTTGAGACCGAGTTTCACTCTTGCCCAGGCTGGAGTGCAATGGCACAGTCTTGGCTCACTGTAACCTCCACCTCCTGGGTTCAAGTGATTTTCCTGTCTCAGCCTCCCTAGTAGCTGGGATTACAGGTGCATGCCACCACACCGGGCTACTTTTTGTAGTTTTAGTAGAGACGGGGTTTCATCATATTGGTCAGGCTGGTCTCGAACTCCTGACCTCAGGTGATCCACCTGCCTCGGCCTCCCAAAGTGCTGTAATTACAGGCGTGAGCCACCACACCAAGCCCTGTTTTTTTGTTTGTTTCGTTTTGTTTTAACATTGTCAACCTTGTTTTTATCTTTTTTTTTTTTCTTGAGACAGAGTCTTGCTCTGTCGCCCAGGCTAGAGTGCAGTGGCACGATATCGGCTCACTGCAACTTCTGGCCTCCCGAGTTCAAGTGATTCTCCTGCCTCAGCCTCCTGAGTAGCTGGGATTACAGGTGCGTGCCACCATGCCCAGCTAATTTTTGTATTTTTAGTAGAGATGAGGTTTCACTGTGTTGCTCAGGCTGGTCTCGAACTCCTAAACTCAGGCAATCTGCCCACCTCAGCCTCCCAAAATGCTGGGATTACAGGCATGAGCCACCGCGCCCGGCCTTATCTTTAAAAATTAATATATTGGCCGGGTGCAGTGGCTCATGCCTGTAATCCCAGCACTTTGAGAGGCCAAGGCAGGTGGAACACTTGAGGTCAGGAGTTCGAGACCAGCCTGGCCAACATGGTGACACCCCACCTCTACTGAAAATACAAAAATGTGATGGGTACCCGTAATATCAACTACTCGGGAGGCTGAGGCAGGAGAATTGCTTGAACCCAGGAGGGGGGAAGTTGCAGTGAGCCTAGATTGCACCACTATACTCCAGCCTGGGTGACAGAGCGAGACTCTGTCTCAAAAAAAAAAAAAACCTGTTAATATATAAAATAAGGCCAAGTGTGGTGGCTCACGCCTGTAATTCCCACACTCTGGGAGGCCGAGGTGGGAGAATTGCTTGAGGCCAGGAGTTTGAGACCAGCCGGGGCAACACAGTGAGACTTCATCTGTACAAAACATTTTAAATTTAGCCAGGTGTGGTGGCACACACCTATAGTCCTAGCTACTCGGGAGGCTGAGGTGGGAGGATTGCTTGAGCCCTGGAGGTCAAGGCTACAGTGAGCTGAGATTGTGTCACTCACTCAGGCTGAGTGACAGAGTTAGACTGTCCCCCCAAAAAATTATATATATATATAACAAGTAATGTAAAGTGGTATCCTCACTGCCCAGCTTTTTTTTTTCTTTTTTTTTGAGACGGAGTCTCGCTCTGTCACCGAGGCTGGAGTGCAGTGGCGCAATCTCAGCTCACTGCAACCTTCCCCTCACGGGTTCAAGAGATTCTCCTGCCTCAGCCTCCCAAGCAGCTGGGATTACAGGTGCCACTCCCGGCTAATTTTTGTATTTTTAGTTGAGACGGGGTTTCACCATGTTGTCCAGCCTGGTCTCAAACTCCTGACCTCAGGTAATCCACCCGCCTCAGCCTCCCAAAGTGCTGGGATTACAGGGGTGAGCCATTGTGCCCGGCCACTCACCGCCCAGCTTTTAAAATAAGTGTCTACATAGTTGATTCCCTTTTGTGTGTCATTTTGCAATAACCTTGTCTCCCTCCCCTCAGAGGGAAGCTTTATTAATTTTTTTGTTTGTTTTGATACAGAGTCTCACTCTGTCACCCAGGCTGAAGTGGCACAATCTCAGCTCACTGCAGCCTCTACCTCCTGGGTTCAAGCGATTCTCCTGCCTCAACTTCCTGAGTAGCTGGGATTACAGGTGTGCATCACCACACCTGGCTAATTTTTTGTATTTTTAGTAAAGATAGGGTTTTGCTGTGTTGGCCAGGCTGGTCTTGAACGCCTGACCTCAAGTGATCTGTCTGCCTCGGCTTCTGAAATTGTTGCACTCCAGCCTGGATGACAGAGCCAGACACTATCTCAAAAAGGAAAGAAAGCCAGGCATGGCGGCTCACGCCTGTGATCCTAGCACTTTGGGAGGCCGAGGTGGGCAGATTGCCTGAGCTCAGGAATTTGAGACCAGCCTGGGCAACACGGTGAAATCCCATCTCTACTAAAATACAAAAAAATGAGCTGGCATGGCGGTACGCTCCTGTAGTCCCAGTTACTCAGGAGGCTGAGGCAGGAGAATCGCTTGAACCCGGGAGGCAGAGGTTACAGTGAGCCAAGATCATGCCACTGCACTCCAGCCTGGGTGACAGAGTGAGACTCCATCTCAAAAAGGAAAAAAAAAAAAAGCCTCTTGCTCTAGCCAGTTTTCTCCTTTTTTGGTTTCTTAGCTTCTGTCATCCTGGAGTCCCATCTTCAATTGGAGATGAAGGGTCAGCTAATTTGAATTCCCACCCAAAAGTGGTGTTTTGTGCTTTGTCCAGGCTCAGCTCCTTGGTGCCCATCTGTGCTCAGGGCTCCCTCACCATCTCGGTGCTTGCTGGGTAGTGCTCAGTGTGGTGGGGAACTGCTCTGGTTCTGGAGTCCGAGTCGGCTCCAGGGCCCAGTACTACCCCTTCCAGCTGTGTGGCCTCACTTGCCTTCACTTCTCCCAGCCTTAGTCTCCTCCTCTGAGATGGGGGTAGTGATAGTGCATGGCTCTTAGAGTAGGGGGCTTTGGTGAGTTCATGCACATAGGATGGCAGAAGAGTTGGTCAGTGGTTTCAGTGCCCCAGGGGAGGCCTGGAGGGCAGTGAGAACAGCCTCAGGTTCTGCATCCGTGGCCAAGCCTTCTGTCCCAGGTTCTTTGCCTCTTGTTGCCAGAGAAACCATAATACTGTCTTTTATCAGTTCCTAGGTGCCCAGGAAACTTTGGGAACCAGAGAGCCCTTTTCTCTGGGCTTATGAAGGGGATCTGTGGGTCTGAGAGGGAAAGAGGGTGAACAAGATGTCCCTCCCTCAAGGGATACTTTGTTCAGGTGCCAAAGAAAAATAGGGACAGTCACAAAGACATAGCCCAGTGAGAAAATGGGCCAGGGCAGGAGCAGGAAGTTCAGGCAAGAGGAGACCCAAATGGCTCATATGAGAGGATGCTAATCCTCACTGGTAATTAGAGAAGTGCAAATGAAACCAGCAGGAGTGCTGTTGGCAGATGACTGGCAACAGAGGCAGAGGTTGGCTGCTGCCTGGTACTGGTGAGTGCAGGGAAGTGAGTCCTCCCATGTCCTGCTTGTAGCCCAGTGAATTGGTGCAGGCATTTTGCAGGGCATTTCAGCCACAAATCTCAGACCTTCCGACCTGGCCATTCCTCTTCTTGGTATCATCCCTAGAGAGGCACTTTGTATATGCCCAGCAACGTCTATTGCTGCAGTGTTTGTAGTTGCAAAACATGGGAACAGCCTCATTGTCCAGAGGTTGTGGGGAGAGGTTAAAAATGGCAGTGGCATATTAGAGACACGGAGAGGTTCCACATGCCATGGCATATTAGAGACAGAAAGCAGATCAGTGGTTGCTAGGGGCAGGAGTGGGAGGGAATGGGAATGGCTGCTTAATGGTACAGGGTTTCTTTTTTGGGTGATGAAAATGTTGTGGAGCTAGATAATGGTGATGGTTGTACAGTATTATGAATATACTAAATGCCACTGAATTTTACGCTTAAAAATGGTTAGCCAGGTGTGGTGGCACACACCTGTGGTCCCAGCTACTGAGGAGGCTGAGGTGGGAGGATCACTTGAGTCCAGGATATCAAGGTTGCAGTGAGCTATGATCCATGATTACAACATGCACTCCAGCTTGGGTGACAGAGCTAGACTGTGTCTCTAAAAGAAATAAAAAGGTTAAAATGACAAGTTTTATGTTACATATATTTTACCACAATTTTTAAAAGTTAATAATGGAATATACCAAAGCCATTTAATTGTATACTTTATTTTTTCTTCTAGCTTTATTGAGGTATATTTGACAAACAGAAGTAGTATACATTTTAAGATGTTCATCGTGATGATTTGATACCCATATACATTGTAAAGTGACCACCTCAATCAAGCTGATTAACACATCCATCACGTCACATGGTTACCTTTTTGTGTGTGTGTGGTGACAACACTTAAGATCTCCTAGCAGATTTCAAGTATATAATACATCATTAATTATAGTCACCATGCTGTACACTTTAAATGGTGTTCAAATTTATATCTCAATAAAGCTGTTTTTAAAAATCAAGTAACAGCTGGGCATGGTGGCTCACGCCTGTAATCCCAGCACTTTGGGAGGCCAAGGCGGGCAGATCACCTGAGGTCAGGAGTTTGAGACCAGCCTGGCTAACATGGTGAAACCCTGTCTCTGCTAAAAATACAAAAATTAGCCGGGCGTGGTGGCAGTTATCTGTAATCCCAGCTACTCGGGAGGCTGAGGCAGGAGAATCGCTTGAACCTGGGAGGCAGAGGTTGCAGTGAGCCGAGATCGTGCCATCGCACTCCAGCCTGGGGGACAAGAGCGAGACTTCCTCTCTAAAAAATAAAAAAAATTAAAAAAAATTAACACATAAATACAATATGATATTATTTTCCTAAAGTTACACATGAATCCCTTTCCCCTTCCCCCAGAGACAAACAGTATTTCTCTTGATGCAGCAAAATGCTGTTTCATTACAGAGAAACAGTATTTCAATACAGTATTCTGTACAGTATTTTCAATACAGAGAAATACAGTATTTCTCTGTAGATGTAGAGAAAAAGGATGGGAAGGATACTCCTCAAACTAATAGCAGTAGGGTAGGGTTTGGAGGTGGGTACAGGAGGAACTGTAGCTTTATTAGCATTCACTATTTTATAGTGAGAATATATTCACATTACTTTTCAAATTAGAACTACAGTTTTTTGGGCCAGGTGTGGTGGCTCACACCTGTAATCCCAGCACTTGGGGAGGCCAAAGCAGGCAGATTGTTTGAACCCAGGAGTTCAAGACCAGCCTGGGCAAACAGGGAGACCCTCCAACTCTACAAATAATAATAATGTTTAAAAAGTTGGGCATGGTAGTGCATGCTTGTTGTTCCAGCTACTTTGGAGGCTGAGATGGGAGGATGGCTTGAGCCCAGAAGGACCAGGCTGCAGTGAGCCATGATTGCACCACTGCACTCCAGCCTGGGCAACAGAGTAAGACTCTAAAAAAAAAAAAAAATACAATTTTTGGAAAAGGTAAAGAATCAATAAAATGTAGACATCTGGGTTTATTGCTTAATGACTTGACTTTTTCCTTTGCCTTTCTTTGAAGGATTCTGAAAGACTAATGGAGCAACAAGGAGCACTGCTGAAACGGCTGGCGGAGGCCGACTCAGAGAAAGCGGTAACTAAGGCTGCCCTTGTCTACTCTAGTGGGTACAGGTGGCAAGAGCGTCGTTCCACTACAAAGTGTAGAGGTGCTTGGATCAAGGCAGGAGGGCTGGAGCATTTCGCTAGGTCTTAGTTTCACGATCTGTAAAATGGGCTGATGTCCTCCTGTCACGCTTGTTCTGATAGGCTTGTCTAGTTAGTTACTTGAGACCTTGAGCCACAAAGCTGGACACCAACATAGAGAGGGTAATGATGATGTTGGATTTGTAAATCATCCGTGTCTGTTAAAGCTGGATTTCCATCAAATTAGTATTATGGATTCAAAGCCATCAAAAAGTACACACCTTTGGACTCAGTAATCCTAATTCTAGGAATCTCTCCCAAAGCAGCATGTTCCAAAGTCTGTTCATGGAACCCTAAGTTCCTCAAGATGTTAATGAGTGCAAGAAACCGAAGGGGAGGTTCCATAGCCAGTTAAATTTGGGAAACCATAGGCTGGCCTGAACATGAAGTTCAACAGCTTCTTTCAAGACTTTTTTGGAGTGTCTGCTGTATTAATGCTTTTGTAAGTCTCCAAGAGAGGGGAGGGAGACGGAGGCCCAGTTTCCCAAGGTGTGGTCTGTGGCCTCTGATGCTTAGTTGAGGAAGGAGTGGAGATGCAGCAAGCTCGGCGATAATGCCTAAATGTGCATTCCCAGCTCAAGAACCCTTGTTAAGTTATGATATACATCAGTAACTTGAACCGTCAAGCAGCTCTTTCAAAAGACACAGAAGATTTAATCACATTATGGTAAACATGAGCTTTTAGGCTATGGAACGAAGTAGGCATATGACTTTTTTTTTTTAACGGTGCTGAGCATATGAGTTTCAATGTGCATTAACTGGTTATCTCTGCATGGGGGGTTACGGGGTTTCTTTGGAGGATTTTTTTGGTGTGTTCTCAATGTTTTCTACAGTTAACATTGCTGTTCTTAAATTGCAAAATAAATACATGTTCATTGTTTTAAAAAAATGTTTTAATGCATATGTTAGGTGCTTCCTACCAGAATCTCTGACATGGGCCAATGTATGTAGGACCTTGGGCCCCAGTGGCCAGGTACTCACAAATCTCTGTCCTCCCTGGGCCGGGCCTCTTTGCCCTTCCCAGGGGCACCTGACAGCCTGTGTTCTCTCCCAGCGCCTGCTGTTACTGCTGCAAGACAAGGACAAGGAGGTGGAAGAGCTCCTTCAGGAAATACAATGTGAGAAGGTAGTGTGCTTTTTTTTTTTTTTTTTTTAGACGGAGTCTCGCTCTGTCGCCAGGCTGGAGTGCAATGGCGCGATCTCAGCTCGCTGCAACCTCTGCCTCCCGGATTTGAGTGATTCTCCTGCCTCAGCCTCCCGAGTAGCTGGGACTACAGGCGTGCGCCACCACGCCCAGCTAATTTTTGTATTTTTAGTAGAGACGGGGTTTCACCATGTTGGCCAGGATGGTCTTGATCTCTTGACCTCGTGATCTGCCTGCCTCGGCCTCCCAAAGTGCTGGATTACAGGCATGAGCCACTGCGCCCAGCCGCAGTTGTGCATTTTTATGAGCCAGTAGAATATAATGGATATGCAGAGAGCTGGGTTCAAATCCTGTCTTTGGGCCGGGTGCAGTAGCTCATGTCTGGCACTTTTTCGAGACCAGCCTAGGCCACTCCCTAGCACTTTGGGAGGCCAATGCAGGAGGACTCATTGAGGCCAGGAGTTTGAGACTGTCCTGGGCAACACAGGGAGACCCCATCTCTACAAAATTAAAATTAAAATTAAAAAATCAGCCAGGTGTGGTGGCATGCACCTGTAGTTCCAGCTACTCTGGATGCTGAGATGGGAGGATCACTTGAGCCTGGGAGACTGAGGCTGCAATGAGTCATGGTCACGCCACTGCACTCCAGCCTTGGCAACAGTGATACCCTGTCTCAAAAAAAAAAAAAAAAATTATTGACCATGCGCGGTGGCTCACGCCTGTAATCCCAGCACTTTGGGAGGCCGAGGCAGGTGGATCACTTGAGGTCAGGAGATCGAGACCAGTCTGGCCAACATGGTGAAACCCTGTCTCTACTAAAAATACAAAAAACTAGCCGGTTTTGATGGCACGTGACTGTAACCCCAGCTACTCAGGAGGCTGAGGCGGGAGAATCGCTGGAGCCCAAGAGGTGGAGGTTGCAGTGAGCTGAGATTGCGCCACTGCACTCCAGCCTGGGAAACGGAGCAAGACTCCGTATGAAAAAAACAAACAAAAAATTGTGCCTCCATCACTTTTTCCGTCTCTCCACAGGCTCAAGCAAAGACAGCCTCTGAGCTTTCTAAATCCATGGAGTCCATGCGTGGGCATTTGCAGGCACAGCTTCGGTCCAAAGAGGCTGAGAACAGTCGCCTGTGCATGCAGATTAAGGTACCTATTGGCCCCACAAGTGGGGAAAGAGGAGGCAAGGGCCTGCCAATTTGATGGTAGCGGCCTGGCCCAGATATCACACTCAGGAAGTGTGCCTCCAAAGGTTTCTGAGGCAGCTGATGACAAAATACTCAGGCCTCAGAGACATTCCAGGACAGTGGCAAGAGCAATGGACAGAGACCCAGGAGGTGTTGGGCATCCTTCCCAACAGTGACGGGGTTGCGTGCCATGCCCCCCAGGCCTATCACTTAATCCCCTAGGCCCTCAGTTCTCCTCATTACCCAAGGGAAAGGGATGGTCTCTTTGTAGCCCAGGGGTCCTCTGAGGTCATACTCTGCTGAGTGACCAAGGAACTATCTCTGACCACAAGGCTGGGAGTTCAGGGAAGGATTCCAGAGCAGTTCTGACCTAATATCAAGACCCCATGGGCTGAGAGATCCAGGGAGGTGTCGTGGGGAGCTGGGAGGGACTGTGTCTCTGGTCCGAGTTAGGGGAGCCTCTCACACAGCTAAGCACTTTTTTCTGTCTTCCTCGTTTCCTCTTTGCTCTTGCCTTTTCCTCCCTTTCTCCTTCACCCTCTGCTTTGCCTTCCCACAACCTCCTTGTCTCTCTTCTCCCTCTCTTTCTCACCCCTTCCCCCTTCCAGAATCTGGAGCGCAGCGGGAATCAGCATAAGGCAGAAGTGGAGGCCATCATGGAGCAGCTGAAGGAGTTGAAGCAGAAGGGAGACCGAGACAAAGAGAGCTTGAAGAAGGCCATCCGAGCCCAGAAGGAGCGAGCCGAGAAGAGCGAGGAGTATGCTGAGCAGCTACACGTGCAACTCGCTGACAAGGTCGCAGGCCCGCGGTGCCCAGCTCCTCACCTGCCCTGAGGAGGGCTGGGTGATGGCAGAGGGGTGGTCAGCCAGATGGGTAGCGGGGAGGGGTGGGTGGATGAGGGATGGTAGTGGTGGAAAGGATAGATGGCTGGGGAGGAGGGAGAGGGAGTTAAGGGGATCAAATGGGTAAAAGCTGGAGGGATGGGTGGCTGGAGATGATTGGAGGCTTTGTAGGAGAGTTCAGCCACATCAGCTTTGTGGGTGAGAATAATGGTTAAGGAAGGATTTACAAACAGGATGCATTTGATTGCTAGAAATCTGGGAGCACTAGCTGGGCTCCCACTGTTGCTTCCAGCGCCCTCTAGAAAGGTGAATTCCAGAATGAGGTTTAGGTTACCAGGGTGAGAAACCACCTAGGATGAGCCCGCTCCCAGCTCCTGGCAGCCTCACCACTGACACTAGGCTAACAGGCCCTTTTGTCCCGTGTTCCCAGGATCTTTATGTCGCTGAAGCTTTATCCACTCTGGAATCCTGGAGGAGCCGCTACAACCAAGTTGTAAAAGAAAAGGGAGACCTTGAGCTGGAAATTATTGTCCTGAATGAGTACGTCTTAGAGTAGGAGAGGGAATGTGGCGCTGTTGAGGGACTTGGGTGTGCAGGTGGGAGGGGCCTAGTGGCTCAGGGAAGGCCACGTGGCTGCTGTTTGTACTCTCCGGGTTGGGGGCTGCACTGGGCTGTGATGTGGGTAGCCCTGAGCTGGGCTTTCTGGTTGGAGCTGGGGTGCAAGCTCTGGCCCTAGTCCTGGGGTCCTACCCTACTGTCAGGCACTGGCTAGGGGCCGGGTCTTTCTGGTCAGAGGTGTGGGTCTGACTTCATCACCTGGGCCTGATCCTGTCCTCAGTCTACACAGCATTTGAAATGGGCACCGTGGTGTCCTCATTCCTATTGGGGAATGGGGCAGATGGTGACCCGAGTGTCTTCTCTCTGTTGTCTGTCCAGGGACAGCAGCTGTTTGCCAGTGCCTGCCAGTCAGTAGGTCAGTGGTATGGCATGGGAGTAGGGGGCAAAAGTGGCCTCAATTTGCAAGTGACTGAGCTGACACCTTTCTTGCCACTGGCGAACTGTGAATAGTGACCATTCCATCATTCTCCTTTTTTCCTTCATTTATTGGAAAAACATATATTGAGCATCTACCATATACCAAGCTGCTGTGTGCTGGCCACCAGGGTTACAGCAGTAAGAAGACAAATGCATTCCCTGCCCTCTACTCTGTAGAGGAGATAGGGCTACAAGAGGCATGGACTCCCTGGACTAAGGATAGGTCATGGGGGAGCTCATTTAATCTCCCAGGTCAGGAAAGTCTCTTACTGTATTCAACTCAACTTAGCAAACATGTTCTGAGAACTCACTATGTGCCAGGCTCTATGCCAGCTGCTGTCCTTAGGGAGTTCTCTGTCTAGTGGGAGAACATAGATACCTAAGACAGAAGCATACATGGTACAGGGGAGGGGTCAGGGACAAGATGTCTTGAAGTCTGAACTGGGTTTTTAAGTGTGAGTAGGAGTTTGCCAGGTAAACTGGAGTTGCCAGCAAACTGATATGTTTGCTTGGGCCTAGTCAGTGTTCAGTGGTGGACTGTAATTGGTCAATACTGAGAGCACATATTGTGCAAAGGGTTTTTGATGGGTCTGTGGTCAAGATAGAGGAGTAAGCACCTGTGAGCCCCAGGGCTCCTCTTGAGGCCACAGTCTCTGCTCTTTGACTGATGATGGCCTTGCTGAGTGACTGAGGCAGCAGCAGGGAGCAGAAGGGACTGGGGGTGGGGCAGGCAGCTGGCTTCTAAGTTGGCGTCTTTCTATTTGTGCCTTTTTCCCACACCACACTCATTGCCGTTCCTGCCTGTGTTAGGTGAGTGTTCATATGTGAATGAGCAATCATGGCACCAGCCCCCTGCTGGGGGTACAAAAGCCCAGGGTGCTCAGGGCCCTGCTGGAGAGGAATGCCTGGGTGATAATCCCTGACCACCAGCCTGGGAGTCCAAGAAGGGATTCCAGAAGCGTCTGTCCTAACACCAAGACCTGATAGGCAGAGAGATTCCAGGAGGTGTCATAGGGAGTTGGGAAGGGATCATGTCTCTGGTCCTTGCCTTCAAAGGGTATCTTGGCCTTATGAGAGGATCAAGATGGGTACACATCCCTCTCTCTCTCTCTCTCTTTTTTTTCTTAATGGAGACAAGGTCTTGCTCCTTCACCCAGGCTATAGTGCAGTGGCACCAGCATAGCTCACTGCAACCTTCAACTGCTGGGCTCAAGCAATCCTCCCACCTTGGCCTCCCAAAGCACTGGGATTACAGGTGTGAGCTGCCACACCCAGCCCACACTTCTCTTAATAAGTCATTGCTTATTGTTGAATTGTAGATGGTTTCTTGGAGGGGGAGGTATGGGAGACACATCTTAACGGACGTCGTTCAGAGGTGGGACAGGCATGGGAGTACCACAGCAGCAATGCCAAGGCAGGGCAGCAGAGTTGCTTCTCAGTGTGGAGATTGGGGAGCAGGCAGGCAGTATATTGAGTGATGAGAACGCTGGGTCCCACACCACACAAAGACCTGGGTTCTTTAGAACCTGTGTAATTGGCCGGGTGCGGTGGCTCACACCTGTAATCCCAGCATTTTGGGAGGCCGAGGCGGGCAGATCACGAGGTCAGGAGATCGAGACCATCCTGGCTAACACGGTGAAACCCCGTCTCTACTAAAAATACAAGAACTTAGCCGGGCGTGGCGGTGGGCGCCTGTAGTCCCAGCTACTCGGGAGGCTGAGGCAGGAGAATGGCATGAACACGGGAGGCGGAGCTTGCAGTGAGCCAAGATCGCGCCACTGCACTCCAGCCTAGGTGACAGAGCGAGACTCCGTCTAAAAAAACAAACAAACAAAACACACACACACACACACACACACACACACAAACAAACCTGTGTAATTGATTCTCTCTGTCTGCTTTCACTTTGTGATCTTCCAGCCGGGTAACAGATCTTGTAAACCAACAACAAACCCTGGAGGAGAAGATGCGGGAAGACCGGGATAGCCTGGTGGAGAGACTACACCGTCAGACTGCTGAGTATTCCGCATTCAAGCTGGAGAATGAGAGGCTGAAGGTTCGCAGTGAGAGCTGGGGACCAGGCAGCTGGATGGGGCCCAGCGAGCTGATGAGGGGTCTTGTCTTACGTGGGCCTGGGGGCATCTTGACTAAGAGGGAGTCAGAAAAGCCTGGATTTGACCAGGCATGGTGGCTTAGGCCTGTAATCCCAACACTTTGGGAGGCCAAGGCAGGTGGATCACTTGAGCCTAGTTCGAGACCAGCCTGGGCAACATGGCAAAATCCTGTGTCTGCAAAACATACAAAAAGTAGCCAGGCGTGGAGGCATGCGCCTGTAGTCCCAGCTACTCGGGAGGCTGAGTTGGGAGAATCGCTTGAGCCTGGGAGGTTGAGGCTGTGGTGAGCCGAGATCGCCCCACTGCACTCCAGCCTGGAAAACAGAGAGAGACTCTGTGTCAAAAAAGAAAAGAAAGCCTGGATTCAAGTCCTTACTCTGCTGCTTCCTGGCTGTAGGACCTGAGTGAAAAACATTCCATGCCTCTTCCTTAGGTAGAGGAAATGAGGTCCTTGTGAGAATGTGGTAACGCATGTGAAATGCTTAACATGGTGTACTCAGCCTGCGCACATGAGATAGAACTCATTTGAGGTTAATGTGGGCTCTCCTGGGGGCCTGCTGGGCCCCTTCACAGGCATTAATTCTCACTTAAACTGTCCAACCTGCCAGTAACATGATGATTATCTCCATTTGAAATGAGAATAAGGGGCCGGGCTCACGTCTGTAATCCCAGCACTTTGGGAGGCTGAGGCAGGCGGATCACCTGAGGTCAGGAGTTCAAGACCAGCCTGGCCAACATAGCGAAACCCTGTCTGTACTAAAAATACAAAAAAAATTATCTGGGCATGGTGGTGTGTGCCTGTAATCCCAGCTACTCAGGAGGCTGAGGCAGGAGAATTGCTTGAGCCCAGGAAGTGGAGGTTGCAGTGAGCCGAGATTGCGCCACTGCACTCCAGCCTGGGCAACAGAGCGAAACTCCGTCTCAAAAGAAAAGAAAAGAAATGAGAATAAGGAAACTGAGGCTGAGAGAGAAGTCAAGTGTCTTGCCAAGATTTTGCCCTAGGAAGTATCAGAGTTGAGATTTGAACCCGAGTCTGACTCGAGCCCTAGCTCTTAAACTCACCATACCCACTTCCAGCCTGCCAGGAGTGAGAGGCACCTGAGCAGAGGTTGACATTTCAGAGACAGGTTTTATCTTGCTCTTTTGTTGATCTGGGCAATAACATCTAGCTTTATTTTTTCACTGATTTTGTTTTTTCTTGTTAAGATTGATTTTAAGGAAGAATAACATATGGAAAAGTACACAGATCCTAGAATTTTCATAAAGTGAATATACTTTGTCCATCACTCACTCTGATTGAACCTTGCCTGCACCCTAGTGACCTTTCTTGTTACTAATACCCCTGTAAAGGTAACTGCTAGCCCATCTCCTGTCACCACAAATTAGTTGCCTGCTTTTAACTGTAGAGATTTGAATAGTTTGAATATCCCTGGGCCTGGCGTCTACTCTGCAAGTTTGTTGAGTCAGCCCCATTGTTTGGAGGAGTTTATTCATCCTCAGCGCTCTAGGGTATGTCGTTATATGAACACACCACAGTATATTTGTCCATTCTACTGTCAGTGGACATTTGGGTTTCCATAGTGTTGCTGTGAACATCTTTGTATGTCTTTAGGTGTACACATTTGGTGCGTCTTTATTGTTTATATACCTTGAAGTAGAATTGCCAGGTCATCATGGGGTGTGCATTAAGTCTATATTTGGTAGATGTCACTGAATAGTAAAGTGTGTCACTGAGTAGTAAAGTAGTTACTGGTAGATGTTACTGAATAGTAAAGTAGTTGAACAAATCTCCACACCTGTCAGTGGTGAGTAAAAGGATAACAGTTGCTCCTTGCCTCCTTGGCAACGCTTGGTAGCTTGGTATTGAGTGTCTTATTTTATGTTAGCTACTCCGGTGGGAGTGTAGTAGTATCTCATTTGTATAGTGTAATTGTCGGATAAGTTAAAAATAACATGCACGTCTTAACAGTTATTTAGGAGGCCAGCCATGGTGGCTCACACCTGTAATCTCAATGTGAGAGGACTGCTTGAGGCCAGGACTTCTAGACCAGCCTGGGCAACCCCAGCAAGACCCCATCTCTACAAAAAAATTTTAAAAGCCAACAACTATTTAGGGGATTAGTTATAGTATGGTGCATCTGTATAGTGTATTACAGTGTGGTCATTCAAAATGATGTTTGTAGAAGTATATTTTCCTAGTCTAATTTTTTTTTTTTTGAGACAGAGTCTTGCTCTGTTGCCCAGGCTGGAGTGAAGTGGCATGATCTCAGCTCACTGCAACTTCCACCTCCCAGGATCAAGTGATTCTCCTGCCTCAGCCTCCCAAGTAGCTGGGATTACAGGCATCCACCACCATGCCCCGCTAATTTTTTGTATTTTTAGTAAGAGACAGGGTTTTACCACGTTGGCCAGGCTGGTCTCGAACTTCTGACCTCAGGTGATCAACCTGCCATGGCTTCCCAAAGTGTTGGGTTTATAGGTGTGAGCCACCACGCCTGGCCTTTCCTAGTATAATTATAAAAGTTAAATATGCTCATAGTAAAAATTCAAAACATTACAGAAATGTGATGTAGACATGAAGATCTTCGCTAGCCATGAACATATATTTTTCTAGATTATCCCCCAGTACTAACATATCAAGCACACACACATCCACTCATCCATCCATTATTCTGTCACTTGCTTTTCTGATTTAACTATATTTACGGACATCTGTTAAGGTTGGTTTTTTGAGCTTTATCTCTCTTTTAAGTGACTACTAGTTACTTTATTCATTTGATACACCATGATTTATATTGTCCCATTTAAGATGAATAATTGGGTTATAGGAAGACATTTATTTATTTATTTATTTATTTTTAAAATTTCCCACCTGCATTATAAGTTGAGAGGACATTCATTGACTTGAGAGAAGTTCACAACATAATTTTTTTTTTTAAATATATTTTTGGTAGAGATGGCGTTTTACCATGTTGGCCAGGCTGATCTCAAACTCCAGACCTCCAGGCTGGAGTGCAGTGGTGCAATCTCAGCTCGCTGCAACCTCCACCTCCCAGGTTCAAGTGATTCTTCTGCCTCAGCCTCCCAAGTAGCTGGGACTACAGGCACATGCCAGCACGTCCGGCTGATTTTTGTATTTTTAGTAGAGATGAGGTTTCACCATATTGGCCAGGCTGGTCTCGAACTCCTGACCTCGTGGTCTGCCCACCTTGGCCTCCCAAAGTGCTGGGATTACAGGTGTGAGCCACCACATCCGGCCCACAACATATTGTTAATTTTAAAAGTGTGTTACAGCTAGATGTGGTGGCTCACGCCTATAATCCCAGCACTTTGGGAGGCCGAGGTGGGCGGATCACTTGAGGTCTGGAGTTTGAGATCAGCCTGGCCAACATGGTAAAACCCCATCTCTACCAAAAATATAAAAAATTAGCCGGAGTGGGGGTGGTGGTGTGTCCCTGTAATCCCAGCTACTCTGGAGGCTGAGGCAGGAGAATAGCTTGAACCTGGGAGGTGGAGGTTGCATTGAGCCAAGGTTGTGCCTTTGCACTCCAGCCTGGGTGACAGAGCGAGACTCCATCTCAAAAAAAAATAAACAAATAAAAAGTATGTTACATACAACCTGGCAGATCCCATGGTGGGGAAAAACTATGTTACATAGCAGTAAGTATAGTATAGTCTCATTCTTTTTGACAGAAACGAAAAAGTTATGCAGCTATAGATATATAGCCATATCCAAGTCATTAAGCATTAGGATTAGTGTGTCTTGGTTTTATCCCCATTTTCTTTTTTTTTTTTTTTTTTGAGACGGAGTCTTGCTCTGTCGCCCAGGCTGGAGTGCAGGGGCACGATCTCACCTTACTGCAAGCTCCGCTTTCGGGTTCATGCCATCCTCCTGCCTCAGCCTCCCGAGTAGCTGGGACTACAGGCGCCCGCCACCACGCCCGGCTAATTTTTTGTACCTTTAGTAGAGACAGGATTTCACTGTGTTAGCCAGGATGGTCTTGATCTCCTAACCTTGTGATCCGCCCACCTCGGCCTCCCAAAGTGCTGGGATTATAGGCGTGAGCCACCGCGCCCGGCCTGGTTTTATCCCCATTTTCTTTAATGATTATATATTGCTTTTGGATTAAGAAAAAACAGAAGTCATTTATTTGCATCTCTATTCACTTGAGGTGGTAACATTAGGAGTCTTACCTGCTTCTCGGTGCTTCTCTCAGGGAAAGTGCTCTGTGGGTTAGAGTAGGGGGCCTTTCCTTTTCTGGTTCTTTGGATAGAGTTGAGGGTAGGAGGTCCACCTGAAGCAGAACCTTCCTGTGGGTTACTCATGAGCCATCCCTTCCAGGCCAGCTTTGCTCCAATGGAGGACAAACTCAACCAGGCACACCTCGAGGTCCAGCAGCTGAAGGCCTCAGTGAAGAACTATGAGGGGATGATTGACAACTATAAGAGTCAGGTAGGCCTCACTGGGGCCCTGGCCCTTCTGAGCAGTGCCCTCCCTGCCCCCATCAGACTGGGGGCTCCCTACCAGGCCACTCCCAGGGAGGGTTGGGTATGGAAGATGGTTTTCATCAAAACGTGGCTCTACCTAAGATGAACCACAGTGTTGTTGGTCCCTAGGTGATGAAGACCAGATTGGAGGCTGATGAAGTAGCTGCCCAGCTAGAACGCTGTGACAAAGAGAACAAGATCCTTAAAGATGAGATGAACAAAGAGATTGAGGCGGTACTGCTTTCCTTCCTTGTTTTCTTCTCCTACCCAATTCCATATCTAACTCAATGACTGTGAGTCTGTTCCCCTTGTTTGCCTTTGACCCTACCTGATTTGGGCAACAAAGGTGAGCTCATTTTCTCATTGGTGGGCTCATCCACTCTACCCTGTGCCTCTCTCTCCTTTGTCTCTTTCTTGTTTCCTCTCTTCTCTCTCTCATGCTGCTGCTTTGTCTTTTTTTTTTTTTTCTCTTGGTTTTCTTCTACCTCCTTTTCAATTTTCTTAAAATAACAACAACAAAAAAACTCTCCTGGCTGGGCACGGTCTCTCACACCTGTAATCCCAGCACTTTGGGAGACTGAGGCAGGCAGGTCAACTGAGGTTGGGAGTTCAAGACCAGCCTGACCAACATGGTGAAACCCCTGTCTCTACTAAAAATACAAAATTAGCCGGGTCTGGTGGCGCATGCCTGTAATCCCAGCTACTCGGAAGGCTGAGGCAGGAGAATCGCTTGAACCCAGGAGGTGGAGGTAGCAGTGAGCCGTCATTGTGCCACTACGCTCTAGCCTGGGCAACAAGAGTAAATACTCTGTCTCAAAACAAACAAACAAACAAACAAAAAACCTCATGCTTGGAGCATCCAAGTAGACAGAAATCTACAGTTATGCCAGGTCTTTGGCATGCCTATTTCATTCTATATGGTGTCCTTATTTTGTACCAGCCAGAAAATATGTCTCCCATCCTCTTCCCAAAGAGCCTTATTCTTCTACAGATGGTTTGGCTGATTAGAGCAGCGGGATTATCTTAATGGTTACCTTGGAGATGGGCTGAGTCCAGGCTCAGCCACTAATTTGTTTCATAACCTTGGGCAAGTCAAGCCCCTCTCTGGTCCTCAGTCTCCGTGTTAAGTACAAGGATGGACTTAGACCAGATATTTCTCCCTTTCCCTCTGACCTGTAGCATTGTGACTGCTTTCCTAGGGGCTTTAGAGTTAGACTTTTAAAATTTATTTTATTTTTTTTGAGACAGAGTCTTGCTGTGTCACCCAGGCTGGAGTGCAGTGGTGTGATCTCAGCTCACTGCAACCTCCACCTCCCGGGTTCAAGTGATTCTCCTGCCTCAGCGTCCCAAGTAGCTGGGACTACAGGCGTGTGCCACCATTCCCAGCTAATTTTTGTATTTTTAGTAGAGACAGGGTTTCACCTTGTTGGCCAGGGTGGTGTCGAACTCCTGACCTCAAATAATCTGCGCCCCTTGGCTTTCCAGAGTGCTAGATTACAGGTGTGAGCCACTGCACCTGGCTTGGAGTTAGACTAGACTTTAATCCTGTGTTTACCAGTTTTTAGCTGAATGACCTTGGGCAAATGACTTAGCTCTCTTGATGCTTACTATACTTGTATGGGGACAGCATCACCTATTTTACAGGTTGTCTGAATTAAATGAGCAAGTGTGCAGAGAGCCCCTGGTACAATGCCTGGGTCTTGGTGTTTACTGTGTGGTTGCCATTGTTACGGGATAACTAAATGAATGGCAAGCCACCTGCTCAATGGCCAGCGGGGAGTGTAGGCCACACTTCTGCTGTGGATTTTGCAGGATCCTCCACTGGGGACTGTGTCAGCCCTGCCCTAACTCTAAAGGACTCTGCCTGGCTCCACTAGGAGCCAGGTCTTTCCTAACTGTGGGTCTTTCCTTCCTGTGGGTCTTTCCTTCCTGTTTCAGGCACGAAGGCAGTTCCAGTCTCAGCTGGCTGACCTGCAGCAGCTCCCTGACATCCTGAAGATCACGGAGGCGAAGCTGGCTGAGTGCCAAGACCAACTGCAGGGCTATGAGCGGAAGAACATCGACCTCACAGCCATCATATCAGACCTGCGCAGCCGGGTAAGGGACTGGCAGAAAGGGTCCCACGAACTGACCCGAGCAGGGGCCCGCATACCAAGATGAGCTGCACGCCCCCCAAGGGAGGACTACTTCCTTTTTCTTGGCTGCTGCTTTTTAAAAGGAGTGAGCTATCATCAGTGCTGTGAAATAAAAGTCTGGTGTGCCAAATGCCATGTGTTTGCACAAAGTGATTGTAGTTATAGGAGCCGTCACTTGCGTGGAGTCACTGGGCCCTCCTGCTGTTGCCCCCACCCAAGACTGCTGCCTCTGCCTGTGTGCTCCGCAGCTGTCCTCAGCTCCACACCCACAGCTGGGAGATGCCAGCAGACACCGAGCCGTAGAATTTCTTTTTTTCTCTTGCTTTAGCTGCTTCTCCTGACTCTTTAACAGATGCACTGCCTGAGATTCTGTCCTGAAAGAAGCAAGCATCCCTTTCTCCCAGAAGCAGTCTGTCTCTGGGTTACTGGAACCATGCCTACGGCCTGCAGTGTCCAAGAAATTATATACCACTCATTTGCAGCGTGACCTTGGGCAAGGCCCCTTTCCCACTCTTGACGTGTGTACTTGTGATAATTAGAAAAGGGGCTACCATTTTTTGAGCACCTCTTCTGTGTTCCTGCATTCTCTCATTTAATTCCATCAGGAACTCTGTGAGGTGCATGTGTTATTTTCCCCATTTTACAGAAAGCAGCCCAAGGCATAGAGAGGAGAAGTAATTCCCCACCATCACAGAGCTAGTACCTAGTAAGCAGGGATTGGAACCCAGCCAGCTCTGTCTGGTTCCCAAGCCCACATTCTCAGTACTGTAACCTTACATTGCCTGCCTTCTCCGTTGAACCTGAGCATTCTCAGGGACTTTGAGCCTTGATAGCTGAGGCTTCTGCATAAAACAGCCCTCTGGGTAAATTCTCAAACTTGCCAACTCAAAAGGATTGACAGATTTCCTGTTGTCTTGCCTGCACTTGTCCCCAGTTAAGAGGAGGTTGAGATCAATAGTACCAGCAACATAACAGGTAAAGCTCTGTGGTTGGTTTGTATGGGCCAGTTAGCCCTGCCAGCTGTTTCTGCCTTCTCATGTCTGTCCTGGATCCTAGCTGGGTCTCTCTGAGTGGCCTCCCCTGATCGAGAAAGCATCTTTGTCATTCTTTAGCATCAAACCTGGTTTCTCCCAGTGTGGGGAGAGCCTTTTGTCTTTGGAGTTGGGCCTAACCTGTCCCTGCTGTCCTTTCTCCTCTAGGTTGTGCGTTGAGACTTGGACACCTGCTGAGGGCACTGTGCCCCTTTCCTGGGTGTGGACAACAGGTCATAGGGAAAGGGGAGGGCTCTAGCGGGAAATTCCTTTGTAAACCAGTCTGTGTTCCTGTCATTTTAGATCGAACACCAGGGGGACAAGCTGGAGATGGCGAGAGAGAAACATCAGGCTTCCCAGAAGGAAAATAAACAGCTGAGTCTGAAGGTGGATGAACTGGAGAGGTTAGAGGCACTTGGTCCCATCTCTGTCCTCTTCCTAGGACCTGAGACTTTCAGCCACTTAGCTGTTTTTTGCTTAGTGTGCGGAAGTGTTGAGGGACTCGAGGCCCTGGAAGGTACTAGGCAGACCTCAGAGGAAAAGCTGCTTCCATTTCAGTGGTAAGCATTGTGGGAGAGAGCAAGGGGGCCTCTCAGCCTGGGGAGACACTCCATGACAGCATGATCAGGATCTGCCCACCTGTAGGCACCACCTGTCCCAAAAGGCATGCCTGGTCCAGGCCTGCCAGGAGGGCCCAGTTTGAATGGAGCAGCCAGTATACTGTGGTGGGGGCACTTCCCCACTCTTTTCTGCCCTTTCTTGCCAGTCACCCTTCCCAAGACCTTTCTGATCTGACCGTTCTCTGTTATTTACGGATTGTTGGAGGCAGTCAGAGGTGAAGGGTACGGCTTTGGGAATCAGAAGCCCTGGCCTTGGGGCCCAGCTCTGCCACTTACCAGCATTGTGATCTTGAGCAAATCATTTAATTCCTTTGAAGCTCAATTTCCTCCTTTTGAGGAAAGGGTCAAGGTAGAGTTTATCTATCTATCTATCTATCTATCTATCATCTATCTATCATGTCACTCTGTCACCCAGGCTGGAGTGCAGTGGTGCAATCTCAGCTCACTGCAACCTCGACCTCCTGGGCTCAAGCAATTCTCCTGCCACAGCCTCCCAAGTAGCTGGGACTACAGGCGTATGCCACCATGCCTGGCTAATTTTTGTATTTTTTGTAGAGATGGGGTTTCGCCGTGTTGCCCAGGCTGGTCCTGAACTCCTGGGTTCAAGTGATCCACCCACCTAGGCCTCCTAGAGTGCTGGGAGTACAGGCGGGAGCCACCACACCTGGCTGATAATAATCTTTTCATGGTGGTGGTGTGAGTCTTCAATGATATAATCCTGGTAAAGGTCCTAGCATGTTACCTGGCATAGAGAAGCGCTCAGTATAGCTTAGAACATGTTATTAGTTAGCTGGTATTATCCCAGTTTTAAATATGAGGAAACTGAGCTTGGGGAGGAGTTAAGTGACTTTCCCAGCATCACACTGTTGGTACCTGGCAAAGCATGACTTAGACCCGTGACTGTCTTCCTCGAGAGCTTCTGTGAGCATCTCTAAGAGGTAGGCAAGAGGCCGGGCGTGGTGTCTCACGCCTGTAATCCCAGCGTTTTGGGAGGCCGAGGCGGGCGGATCACGAGGTCAGGAGATCGAGGCCATCCTGGCTAACACGGTGAAATCCCGTCTCTACTAAAAAAAAAAAAAAAAAAAAAAAATATATATATATATATATATATATATATATATATATATATGTATAAAATTAGCCGGGCGCAGTGGCGGGCGCCTGTAGTCCCAGCTACTCGGAAGGCTGAGGCAGGAGAATGGCGTGAACCCGGGAGGCGGAGCTTGCATTGAGCCGAGATAGCACCACTGCACTCCAGCCTGGGCGAAAGAGCAAGACTCCATCTCAAAAAAAAAGAGGTGGGCAAGAGTCCTCCAGCCCTGGTCCCAGCCTTAGTTTCAGAGGTGAAGGTGCCTGACATCCTAGGAGGCCCTAAGTGCCTCAGGTGGCCAGTGCACTTGCAAGGAGGCTACAACCAAGTGGGCTCCTTCCAGGCTCCACCTCTGCTCTGCCCTGCCAGCCTTGGAAATGGCAGCTAGATCCCCCAGGCCCTGCAGAGCTCCTTAAATTGGAAGGCATCCTGGAAGTGCACTGAGGACAGTGTGTGTATATCGGGATGGCCATATTTGCCCTATGGCTGGTCACACAAGATGTTGAGTGGTGTAGCTGAAGTCCCTTTGCTGTGGGAGGCAGCAGTGAACAGCAGAAGTTGCAGGCTTAGGTTTTGGTTACAGACTTGCCAGCTGTGCTGACTTCAGGCCAATGAATTCCCCTCTCTGAGGCTCAGTTTCTTCATTTCTGAAGTGGGGATAATAATGGTACCATTTTTCTGAGCTGCAAGTTGCTGTGTTCCATGTGATGCTATCCACACTTAACAAAGCCCACGGTCAGTCTCTGCGTTCCCACCCTTCACTCTGTTCTCTAACCAGTTGCTCCAGCTGCACAGTTCTTTGGTCGCCTTGCTGATCTGCAGATTTCTTTGGCTTATTCCTGTGGCTCCTTGGAGATTCTTGGCATGATGAGATCCCCAGTCCAGGAGAGGCTGGCAGCCCCCTGGCGGGGTGGAACATGACAGGTTGGGGTATGCCCAGGATCTGATTGAGTGCTTTCACCTAGGAAACTGGAGGCGACCAGTGCCCAGAATATCGAGTTCCTACAGGTGATTGCCAAGAGGGAGGAGGCAATCCACCAGTCCCAGCTGCGGCTGGAGGAGAAAACACGGGAATGTGGGACCCTGGCAAGGCAGTTGGAGAGTGCCATTGAAGATGCGAGGAGGCAGGTCAGTCCCGATTTCATGAATGACTAGCTCTGTGACCTTGGGCAAATCACCTAAACTCTCAGCTTATTTCTCCATCTGAAAAATGGGCACACAGTAGTACCCGCTTCATGAATTAGTTGTAAGGATCACATTTTCATCGTAGAGGGCTCAGCACTTGATATCTGATGATTGCTCATTTACTCACTACCCTCTTGAGCCTCACATAGGCTTACCACATCTTAGGTGGTGACTCCTGGAGCACTGGCAAAGCTGGGTGGCAGGCATAGTCCCCATAGTTAGTTCCTGCCCCAGCGTTCTAGAGAACACAGTCCACAATGATGTGCAAGTGCTGTCTGCAAGACCAGATAGTGGGCCCAGCCTTCTCTTTGCCAAGTGTTCCCCATGTCCGGTAAACCAGTCTCATGTCTGGGCCTTTGAATGTGCAGGTGGAACAAACCAAGGAGCACGCACTCTCCAAGGAGCGAGCAGCCCAGAACAAAATCCTGGACCTTGAGACCCAGCTGAGCAGAACCAAAACGGAATTGAGCCAGCTGCGGCGGAGCCGTGATGATGTGAGTCAGGCTGGTGGGCCGGGCTAGGAGAGTGGGCAGCAGACCTAGCTTCTGTGGGGCCTGTGGGCCAAGGTGTTTTGTTGTTACTGTTTTTGTGAATATGACATGGTTTTATTTTTCTCCAATCACTTTCTATCCCTTAAGGATATCCTGGGTAGATATTTATTTATTTATTTAGAGACGGAGTCTCCCTGTGTCACCCAGGCTGGAATGCAGTGGTACGATCTCAGCTCACTGCAACCTCTGCCTCCTGGTTTCATATGATCCCCACCCCACCCTCAGCCTCCCAAGTAGCTGGGATTACAAGTATGTGCCACCATCCCTGGCTACTTTTTTGTGTGTATTTTTAGTAGAGATGGGGTTTCGCCATGTTGGCCAGGCTGGTCTTCAACTCGTGATCTCAAATGATCTGCCCATCATGGCCTCCCAAAGTGCTGGGATTACAGGTGTGAGCCACTGCACCCAGACTCACGTTTTGTTTTGTTTTGTTTTGTTTTGTTTTAGACAGAGTTTCATTCTGTCACCCAGGCTACAGTGCAGTGGTGCTGTCATAGCTCACTGCAGCTTCAAACTCCTGGGGTCAAGTAGTCCTCCCACCCCAGCCTCCTGAGCAGCTAGGACTACAGGCGCACACCATCACACCCAGCTAATTTTTGTATTTTTTGTAGAGATAGAGTCTCACTATGTTGCCCATGCTGGTCTTGAACTCCTAGGCTCCAGTGATCATTCCGTCCTGACCTCCCGAAGTGTTGGGATTATAGGCATGAGCCACTGTGCCTGGTCTTAGAATATTTTCAGAAAGAAACCCCATACCCATTAGAAGTCACTCCACACTCGCCTCCCCAAACCTCCTGGCAACTCCTAAGAAAGTCCCTATGTCTCTATGGATTTCTATTTTGGACACTGCACAGCGGGCCCATGCTCTGTTTCTCCTCGTTAGGCGGACCGCCGCTACCAGAGCCGGCTGCAAGACCTGAAAGATCGCCTGGAGCAGTCCGAGAGCACCAACCGCAGCATGCAGAACTACGTCCAGTTCCTCAAATCATCATACGCCAACGTGTTTGGGGATGGTCCCTATTCCACCTTCCTGACTAGCTCTCCCATCCGCTCCCGATCTCCTCCTGCCTGAGGCCACTTATCAGGGCCTGGAGCCCTGATGGAAGCCATAGGAACTCCAGAGTTGCCAAGCCATAGCTGAGAAGCCTGGTGGTTTTCCTCTCCCAGTGAAAAAATGGGTTCAGGGTCTTGTCCTTAGCTACTAGCTCTAGAAAAGTCCCAAAAGCAGCAGAAGGTGAAGCAGGAAGCACTTGGTTTTCTCCTTCCTGATATAGTCACCTGTTGGAAGTGTTAAAATTTCCTCGACAGGCCTTAAATTTACTACTACATTAGGGTACCACATTTTAACTTACCATGACTTTGCTCCTTCCTTTCCTGAGAAAATATTTCCACTGGATTTTTTCCACCAGTCCCCTTACAGCCCTCATTGTTTTAGGAATCTCTCTCAGGTTTTTTCTGACCTAAACCAGCAGGAAGTCGTCCTGGGCTGTAAGCACCATCACTTGCTTTTTTTTTTTTTCTGATTTCACAAGTGTGGTGTTTTCCCAAGGCTCCCTTCCCAAGCTCAGTGCAAACCTCTCACTCCCAAGTTTCTTTGAGGCCACTTGCCCCCAAGCACTTCACAATAGACCCTCGAGGGCTTGTGTCCATTTGGCCTTTTACAAGTGTAATGCCAATTTCATTGATTTTTGTTTCTTTTGGCCTGATTTGTATCTCTGGAATGCATTTATTCTTGAAATATTTGTGTGATTTTACAAAAAGCTTTTGTAATCAGTTATTTAAGGCTCCATTTGATGATTTCCTTTACCCAACCAGTCCTCATCCCTCCTCTAAAAAATGATTAAGTAAAATGCTGCAGGACAGCCAGTAGACATTTTTAAAGTACTTGGTGCCTGAAACATCAGGCTTCTCATTTCATTTTAGCTCAGGTTGGTGCTTTCACATTGTAATCAATGAACTGTCAGGAGGGAACAAACTGTAAGAAGGATTGCTTGGTGTTTTAGGGTAGATCACTTTAGCTATTAGGAAGAGGATGGGGTAGTGTACAGTATATATTTTTAAAATGTGAATTGGTTTCTGAATAAGAATCTGGGCCATTTTTGTTCACCATTTTTGTTCGTACTGTGCTAACCTCTGCCCTTCTGATTCTAGCTAGTATTGGCCTGGGTGGTCCAGTCTTCTCACCTCTCAGCCACTCTGACTCAACTCTAGAGAATTTCTTCTCTGTTCTTTTTTCTTCTGGAGACAGGTCTCTGTCACCCACACTGAGTGCAATGGCGGGAACATGGCTCACTGCAGCCTTGACTTCCCTAGCTCAAGCAATCCTCCCACCTCAGCCTCCACAGTAGCTGAGAGCACAAGTGTATGCCACCATGCCCATCTAATTTTATTATTTTTTGTAGAGACAGATCTCACCACATTGCCCAGGTTGGTCTTGAATTCCTGGGCCCAAGTGAACCTCTCATTTTGGCCCCCCAGAGTGCTGGGATTACAGGGGTGAGCCACCACACCCAGCCTTCTCTGTGTTCTTGAATCCACCTAGGCATCTGGATTTCAAAGACCAGAAATCTCTTTTCTCTACCAAATTTTGAGGATATTTATAGTTTCCAGCTTTCAGTTTTTCCAATGAAGGTAATTCCAGCTACCACTGCCAAAAAAACTAAGCCCATTTTCATACTCTTAACGTAAATAGACAAGAACTTATAATAGGTGAAAGACCTTCCCGAGAAAGGACAATTGACAAACTTCCACCAGCATGTATATATATCTGTATAACTCATTATTATTTTTGCCAAACTAGAGAAAACCTCAGTGCAGGGCACTGCTATGTAACTCTGGTGTGAGCAACACCTCTCTTGGAGTCCCTTGCTGGGACTCTGGGGACTCTTCCAACAATTTTTCTTTTTAAAATATTTTTATTACAAGAAGTCCAGGGAATTTTTAAAAACTCAGAAAATGAAAATTGTTCACATTGCTCATACTCCAGAGAGAATTCTTCCTACCTCAAACTGAGATCTCACGAGGTGGTGGACAATGGAAGGGTCAGAAAGTCTGGGGTCCCAGTTAGAGCCGTCTCTGGACAATTGTGACTCATTCTATTTTTATTGAGATATAATTCACATAAAATTCACTCTTTTTATTTTTTTGAAACAGGGTCTCCCTCTGTCATCCAAGCTGGTGAGCAGTGGCACAATGATGGCTCACTACAGCCTCAGCCTCCTGGGTTTAAGCGATCTCCTGCCTCAGCCTTCTGAGTAGCTGGGAGCACAGGTGCATGCCACCATGCCTGGCTAATTTTTGGATTTTTTTTTTTTTTGGTAGAGGCAGGTCTCATCATGTTGTCCAGGTTGGTCTCAAACTCCTGGGCTCAAGCCATCCTCCTACCTTGGCCTCCCAAACTGCTGGGATTACAAGCATGAGCCACCATACCTGGCCTAGAATTCACCCTTTTAAAGTGTAAATATAGGCCAGGCGTGGTCACTCACACCTGTAATCCCAGCACTTTGGGAGGCCGAGGCGGGTGGATCACCTGAGGTCAGGAGTTCGAGACCAGCCTGGCCAACATGGTGAAACCCTGTCTCTACTAAAAATACAAAAATTAGCCGGGAGTGGTGGTGGACGCCTGTAGTCCCAGCTACTTGGTAGGTTGAGGCAGGAGAATCACTTGAACCCAGGAGGTGGAGGTTGCAGTGATCCAAGATCACGCCACTGCACTCCTGCCTGGGCAACACGGCGAGATTCTGTCTCGAAAAGATAAAGTGTATATATAATTCAATGGTTTGTAGTATATTCACCAAGTTGTGTAGCCATCACCATTATCTAATTCTAGACCTAGTTTTTTCTTTTTTCGAAATGGAGTCTCTCTCTGTCACCCAGGCTACAGTGCAGTGGCACCATCTCGGCTCACTGCAGCCTCTGCCTCCAGAGTTCAAGGGATCCTCCTGCATCAGCCTGTGGGGACTATAGGTGCATGGCACTTTGCCTGGCTAATTTTTGTATTTTTTGTAGAGACAGGGTTTTGCCATGTTGCCCAGGCTTGTCTGAAACTCCTGACCTCAGGTGATCTGCCCACCTTGGCCTTCCAAAGTGCTGGGATTACGGCACCCAGCCAACCAATTTCATCACTCCCAAAAAAGAAACGCCATACCCATTAGCAGTCACTCCCCATTCCCCTCCCCCAGCCCCTGGCAACTAGTCATAAAGTTTCTCTGGCTCTATAGATTTGTCTCTTCTGGATATTTCACATAAGTGGAATTGTCCAACATGTGGCCATTCATGACTGGCTTCTCTCAGCATAATGCTTTCAAGATTGATGTTGCAGCGTATCATCAGCACTTTATTTTTATGGCCCCATAACATTCCATTATATAGATGTGGTGTTTCCTCCTGCCAAACAGGGCTGGTTGGGATTCCAAAGAAGCACTATGGCCGGGCGCAGTGGCTCATGCCTGTAATCCCAACGCTTTGGGAGGTCGAGGTGGGTGGATCAACTGAGGTCAGGAGTTCGAGACCAGCCTGACCAACATGGTGAAACCCCGCCTCTGCTAAAAATACAAAATAGCTGGGCGTGGTGGCTGGCGCGTGTAGTCCCAGCTACACGGGGAGCTGAGGCAGGAGAATCGCTTGAACCCGGGAGGCGGAGGTTGCAGTGAGCCGAGATCGAGCCACTGTACTCCAGCCTGGGGGACAGAGCAAGACTCTGTCTCAAAAAAGCAGCATTAAACCCAAAACATTTATTAGGGAAGCTTACAGAGTGGGCTGCAGCAATTCTCGCGACAGACAGAGAGAAGCGGTGTTTCACCTAGGTACATCCCCAGCGAGGGGTCAGGGTATGAAGTTTATATGAGGGTTTATGGAATTTGGCTAAAAGCAGGGGTCAGTTTCAGCGTTTTGGGCAATAACCTAGATATCCTTAGTGCCTAGGGATATGCAAGGCCCGTGTTTGGTTGCAAGTCTGCAGGAAAAAACTTGCAGCTGGCTGGGTCACAGGGCGGTCAAGGCACTCTGATACTTGGTCAGTGCACAGAAAGCGGGGGAACTCGGGAACCGCGCACATAGTACTATATTTTATTTATCCATTCACCAATGGATGGACGTTTGGGTTGCTTTCACTTTTTGGCTATTATGAATAACACTGCTGTGAACATTCATGGACAAGTTTTTATATATACATAGGTTTCATTTCTTTGGCGTATTTTATATATATATATATATTTACCTAGGAGAATTGCTGGGTCAAATGGTAATTGTTTAACCTTTTGAGGAACTGCCAGACTGTCTTCCACAGCAGGTGCTTCATTTTACAGTCCCATGAGCAGTGTATGAGGGTTCCAGTTTCTGCACAGTCTCAAGGCACAGACAAATTTTCAGCAGCCCCGGGGATTGGGAGCGGTGGTTACCTCTGCGGAACGTGCCCCGACAGCCAAGCCCTGCGCGCAGGCGCACTGGTGGGAGGGCGGGAACGCGGGAGCGTCGCCGGAGGTGGGGCGTGCAGGCGTTAGGGGCGGGGCTGTGCTGCGCGCGCGTCCCGGAAGCAGAAGCCTGTGTGGCCTTCCCGGCGGCTGATTCGAGGGCTTGTTTGGTCAGAAGGGGGGCGTCAGAGAAGCTGCCCCTTAGCCAACCATGCCGTCTGAGGGTCGCTGCTGGGAGACCTTGAAGGCCCTACGCAGTTCCGACAAAGGTCGCCTTTGCTACTACCGCGACTGGCTGCTGCGGCGCGAGGTGAGCGGTGGCCCCGGAGGACGTAGGCCTTTCCGGCCCCTCGCGACCGAAACCTTCTCCCTAGCCGTTGGCACGTTCTGCTCCCGGGAACCCGTGCAGTCTAACAACCTGCATTTATTTCTTGACTTCTGTGTGTACATCCCTCTGTCCTGGGGTTTCTGTCCTCTTCAGCCTATTTTAGCGTTTCGGGGAGCTCCCCTGACTTCACAGGTGCCCCGCGCTCTGAAGGCTTCATTGCTACCCTCCGCCAGTTGGGCGCCTTCTCCGTTCTGCTGTTGTCAAAGCAATCTCGGCCCCAGGTTCAGTTAACTTACTGTATGTCTCATGTGCTGGGAGCTCTAGAGTTTGCGACGAACGATTGACACGACCTAATCCATTGCTACTAGTGAAATGACCAAATTTTTAGATTGATTTGGCAGACCTGGAAAGTGAATGGGGGCGTGGTCACCGTACCTAGCATTTGCAAAGCTCTGCGCGAGAAGTGGAGGGATGTGGAGAGTTAAGGCCGAGCTCCCATTCCCGAGTCGCTGCTAGTTAGCTACAGATAAGGCGTTGTCCTGCATCCTCAGACTTCTTGGGAAACAATCCTAAAGTATTTCCCTGTCTTTTATGTTGTTGACAGTTTTGAAAAATACAGACCTTACATTCTGTAGGTTGACTGCCAGCATATGTGCTTTCAAACCACCAGACCAAGGTTAAGCATTCTTGGCAGGAATACCACAGAAATGATGCCATGGCTTTCTCAGTAAGTCACATGAGGAGGCACACAGATGTCAACCCATCCCAACACTGGTGATGCTAATCTTGATCACCTGGTTACGTTATTATCTGCCTGGTCTCTCCGTTTAAAATTCGTCATTTTTCCCTTAGTAATTGTTGGGAAGTAATAATACCAGTATCCTTTTTTCTGGGCAAACCTTAATCCTCCATGGCTTTAGCATTCATTGATGTTTTCCACATGAATCGATACCTCTATGACGTTGCCAGATCCTGTTTCTTTATATCCGCTATTCCTTCTGCATTTGTTAGTTGGCATTCTACTGTAAGGAGGTGCTTTCTATTTTATTCAGTGAGTTGTAATCCATTACTTTTATTATTTATTTATTTTATTTTAAATGTCCCAGATTTTGTAAGCTTGTATCAAAATAATCACATGCAAGGCTAGGCGTGGTGGCTCAGGCCCGTAATCCCAGCACGTTGGGAGGCCGAGGGGGACGGATCACTTGAGGTCAAGAGTTCGCGACCAGCCTGGCCAACATGGTGAAACCGCATCTCTACTAAAAATACAAAATTAGCCGAGCATGGTGGTGCATGCCTGTAATCCCAGCTACTCGGGAGACTGAGGCATGAGAATTGCTTGAACCCTGGAAGCAGAGGTTGCAGTGAGCCGAGATTGTGCTGCTGCACTCAAGCCTGGGTGACAGAGTGAGACTGTGTCTCAAAAAAAAAAATGTAGCCTTGTAAATATGTACAACAATTATGTATTCATAAGAATTAAAAAGAAAAATGTCCCAGATTTGGCTACTGGGCACCTCATTAAGTTGGTTCCTGTGTTCCTGTGACATATTTCCATCTTTCATTGACATTTCTTTACTTTTTGACACAAAAAGATGTCCCAGGTGCAAGTTTCCCTGTCTTAATCCTGGAATCAGCTATTTCTCCAAAGAGGCTGACTCTTTTGAAGTGGAGGATGGTGCTGTATTGGCAAACCAAGATCTGGGAGTTGAGTGTGTTGAGATTCTTGATTGGGTACCATTGCTTCTAGGCCTTCTCAGTAGACAGAGCTAGGAAATAATACATATCTAAATATGTACACACATCACCACACACACATTTATGTACTGTCTATTTGTGTGTACATATATATTATAAAACCATGACTTCATACTGATAAATGCCACTTCCAACCCAGCACTTCACTTTTCTTTCTAATCTTACCCCATCCATGTTTGTAAATATGTTACCTAGCAGTGAGAAGTTTGGCTCCTGTTATTCTCAATATGTTTACTTATTTGCTCAATCAGTTTACTTTATCTCATTGTAGCAATCTCTGAACTACTCTAGTTTTTTCATTTATTTATTATATCATAGGTAATCAGTACTTATTTTCTCATACAAAGATGTTCCACGCTCATCTTATATTTTTCTGCCTCCAGTTCTGGAACTTACCTTTTCTGCAGAGACCCCTGGTTTCCTTTGATTTAAAATTATATTTACAAACCAAGATCTGGTACTAGATATGCTCATTATTACTACTAAGGGTGTATACATACATATCCATATCTATTTCTATTTTTTAAAATATTATTAGGCTGGTTGTGGTGACTCATGCCCATAATCCCAACACTTTGCGAGGCTGAGGCAGGACGAGTGCTTGAGGCCAGTTCAAGCTGGGAGCCAGGCTTGGTGTCTCACACCTGCAATCCCAGCACTTTGGTAAGTCAAGGTGGGCAGATCACTTGAGCCCAGAAGTTCGACACCAGCCTGGGCAATGTGGAGAAACCTCACCTCTACAAAAAATACAAAAAAATTAACCAGGTGTGGTGGTGCGTGCCTGTAGTCCCTGCTCCTTGAGAGGCTGAGGTGGGAGTATTACCTGAGCATGAAAAGTTGAGGCTGCAGTGAGCCGTGATCACGCCACTGCACTCCAGCCTGGGGAACAGAATGAGAGCCTGTCTCTCAAAAAAAAAAAAAAAAAAATAGTCGGGCGTGGTGGCTCACGCCTGTAATCCCAACACTTTGGGAGGCTGAGGTGGGTGGATCACCTGAGGTCAGGAGTTTGAGACCAGCCTGGCCAACATGGTGAAACCCTGTCTCTAGTAATAATACAAAAATTAGCCGGGTGTGGTGGTCGACACCTGTAATCCCAGCTGCTCGGGAGGCTGAAGCAGGAGAATTGCTTGAACCCGGGAGGTGGAGGTTGCAGTGAGCTGAGATCGTGCCACTGCACTCCAGCCTGGGTGACAGAGCAAGACTCCATCTCAAAAAAAAGGCTGGGCACACAGTGGCTCACGCCTGTAATCCCAGCACTTTGGGAGGCTGAGGCGGGTGGATCGCCTGAGGTCAGGAGTTCGAGACCAGCCTGACTAACATGGAGAAAACCCCGTATCTACTAAAAGTACAAAATTAGCCAGGCATGGTGGTGCATGCCTGTAATCCCAGCTACTCAGGAGGCTGAGGCAGGAGAATCACTTGAACCTGGGAGGTGGAGGTTGTGGTGAGCCAAGATCGTGCCATTGCACTCCAGCCTGGGCAACAAGAGCGAAACTCCATCTCAAAAAAAAAAAAAAAAAAGACCAGCCTGGGCAACATATCAAGACTCCATCTCTATAAAAAATGAAAAAATAATTAGCTGAATATAGTGGCGCATGCCTGTACTCCCAGCTGCTGGGGAGACTGGTTGAGGTGGGAGGATAGCTTGAGCCCAGGAGGTCAGGCTACAGTGAGCCATGATTAGGTCACTGCACTCCAGCCTGGGTAACAGAGTGAGACCCTGTCTCAAAAATAATTAATTTTAAAAATGAAAAAATATATACATCTAGGTTTGTGTAAGGATGCTTTACGATACTCGCACAATGACAAGATCACCTAACCCTGTGTTTCTCAGAACTTACCCCCATTGTTAAGTGACTGACATTCTACTGATTGTGTATACAGTAGCTTACTTCAGAATTCCTCGTGTTCTGTTCAGTGCTTTAGATTGCTTTCACATATGCTTTAGTGGGAATCTTTGTGCATTGTCCCTTTTTCTGTAGTTAGGGTTATTTAGTCTGATTTTCATTAGAAGGATAGTAGTCTAGGTCATTATCAAGAAACCACTGTACTTTGTTTTCATCTGATTGTTAATACATTACTTTGGGTCTTTGATGTTTATTTATTTAGGCCTTCTTAGATGTTCAGTAAGGCATGTAGTGGATTATACTGAGAACAGTTGACGTGTAAGTTGAGCTTAACCCTATTCTTTTCTCTAGGATGTTTTAGAAGAATGTATGTCTCTTCCCAAGCTATCTTCTTATTCTGGATGGGTGGTAGAGCACGTCCTACCCCATATGCAGGAGAACCAACCTCTGTCTGAGACTTCGCCATCCTCTACGTCAGCTTCAGCCCTAGATCAACCCTCATTTGTTCCCAAATCTCCTGACGCAAGCTCTGCCTTTTCCCCAGCCTCCCCTGCAACACCAAATGGAACCAAGGTAAGGTTGTGATCAGCTTAAGACAAAAGACATGGTGGCTGCAAAGTCAAAATGTTTAATATTGTCATATGACAGTGACCATACCCTAGGGGAAATAATGATTGCTCATTGTTGTAGCTGTTGTAGAGACAATGTTGACAGCACCATTCAGTGTTCTCTTTAGACAGATCCAGAGGGAGAAAAATCCCCTCTATTCTTAGTACCGAGAATAGTATAACTAATTTCATGAGCAATTGGATTTTTTTTTTTTTCTGATGAACGCTGCGTCTGTTTAACTGATATGGTCTCCCTTTTTGTGTTATCTGCTGGAAGAAGGCTTAGAGTGAAATGTATACCTTCTCTTTAAGTTTACATGCCTTCTCTCATTGGTTCTGTAGGAGATTTTACCCTATTCCTGGCTCTGTTTTGTCCCTGCCTCTGTTTTTTTGTTATTTCTCCCACTTAAAAATGCTAAACTGGGGCCATTTCCTCTCAGAAGACCCCTCTCTCTCACTAGAGAGAGAACTATTTTCCTTTCTCTTTCTCTTGCCTATTAAACCTCCACTCCTAAACGCAAAAAAAAAAAAAAAAGTTAAATTGGACCCAACACAGTGGCTCATGTCCATAATTCCAGTGCTTTGGAAGGCCAAGACAAGAGGATTGCTTGAGCCCAGGAGTTCAAGACCAGCCTGGGCAACATAGTGAGACCTTGTCTCTCCAAAATACTTAAAAATTGGCTAGGCATGGTGGCTCGAGCTTGTTGTCCTAGCTACTTGGGACATTGAGATGGGAGGATCACTTGAGCCCAGGAGTTTGAGACTACAGTGAGCTGTGATCAAGCCATTACATTCCAGCCTAGGCAACAGAGTGAGTCCCTATCTCAAAAAAAAGTTAAATTTTGGAAGTTTTTTAAAATTACTTTTTATATACTTCTAGAGGTAGTTTGTGTATATACAAATATACGTGAACATGTCTTCTTCTTCACCCTCCCTTTTTTTTGAGCTGAGGTCTGTCTCTGTCAACCAGGATGGAGTGCAGTGGCATGAACATGGCTCACTGCAGCCTCCACCTCCCAGGCTCAATCCACCCTCCTGTCTCAGCCTCCCGAATAGCTGGGACTGCGTGTGGACACCACCATACTTGGCTATTTTCTTTTTCTTTTTTTTTTTTGAGACGGAGTCTTGCTCTGTCCCCCAGGCTGGAGTGCAGTGACGCAATTTCAGCTCACTGCAACTTCCGCCTCCCGGCTTCAAGCGATTCTCCCACCTCAGCCTCCTGAGCGGCTGGGATTACAGGCACCCACTATCACGCCCGGCTTATGTTTGTATTTTTAGTGGAGATGGTGTTTCACCATATTGGCCTGGCTGTTCTCAAACTCCTGACCTTATGATCTGCCCACCTCGGCCTCCCAAAGTGCTGGGATTACAGGTGTGAACCACCACACCCAGGCTTTTTTTTTTTTTTTTTTTTAAGATGGAGTCTAGCTCTGTCACCCAGGCTGGAGTACAGTGGCATGGTCTCGGCTTACTGCAACCTTTGCCTCCTGGGTTCACGCGGTTCTTCTGCCTCAGCCTCCCAAGTAGCTGAGATTACAGGTGTGCGCCACCATGCCTGGCTAATTTTTGTATTCTTAGTAGAGACAGGATTTTGCCATGTTGTCCAGTCTGGTCTCAAACTACTGACCTCAGATGATCTACCCACCTCGGCCTCCCAAAGTGCTGGGATTATAGTCGTGAGCCACTGTGCCTGGCCAGTTTTTTTTTTTTTTTTCTTTTTTACATAGAAAGTATTTTTTTTCTATCTAGTAGTTCATCTTTTAAAATATTAGTCTTTAAAAAATATTCTTTGTGGCCACGTGTGGTGGCTCACACGTGTAATCCCAGCACTTTGGGAGGCTGAGGCAGGTGGATCACTTGAGATCAGTAGTTCGAGAGCAGCTTGACCACAGTGAAACCCTGTCTCTACTAAAAATACAAAATTAGCTGGGCGTCGTGGCGCACGCCTGTAATCCCATCTACTTGGGAGGCTGAGGCACTAGAATTGCTTGAACCCGGGAGACGGAGGTTGCAGTGAGCTGAGATCATGCCATTGTACTCTAGCCTGGGTAACGGAGCAAGACTCAGTCTCAAAATATATGTATATATAGAGACTGAGTAAATAATAACAACAAAATAAATAATATATATATTATAAATATACATAAATATATATATTTATGTTGATTTTGTTGTTGTTGTTGTTGCCAGAAAAGGTCTAGGTACTTTAAAATATATATTTTTAGCAACTGAACGTCTTAAGGAAAAAAAGGAACCTCCACCTAAATGTCATACCTTATATAAAAATTAACTTGGCCGGGTGCAGTGGCTCACGCCTGTAATCCCAGCACTTTGGGAGGCCAAGGCGGGTGGATCACTAGGTCAGGAGATCAAGACCATTCTGGCTAACACGGTCAAACCCCTTCTCTACTAAAAATAAAAAAAAAAATTAGGCGAGTTGGCGGGCACCTGTAGTCCCAGCTACTCAGGAGGCTGAGGCAGGAGAATGATGTGAACGCGGGAGGCAGAGCTTGCAGTGAGCTGAGATTGCGCCACTGCACACCAGCCTGGGCGACAGAGCAAGACTCCATCTCAAAAAAAAAAAAAAATTAACGTGATCATGGACTTAAACATAAAAAAAAAACTGTAAGCCTTTTAGAACTAAAACATAACCAGAATCTAGGGCTGGGTGAAGATTTATTTCTTTATTTATTTTTGAGACGAAGTCTCATTCTTGTCCCCCAGGCTGGAGTGCAATGGTGCAATCTCGGCTTAATGCAACCTCCGCCTCCCAGGTTCAAGTGATTCTCCTGCCTCAGCCTCCCGAGTAGCTGGGATTATAGGCGCCTGCCACCATGCCTGGCTAATTTTTGTACTTTTAGTAGACGGGGTTTCACCATGTTGGCCAGGCTGGTCTCGAACTCCTGTTCTCAGGTGATCTGCCCAACTTGGCCTCCCAAAGTTCTGGGATTACAGGCGTGAGCCACCAGGCCCGGCCTGGGTGAAGATTTATTTATTTAACATTCCTGAATTAGCAGAACTGTAGAGAAGGAGAATAGCTTAGAGATGAGGGATGGGGGAGGAAGTGGTGAGGCTATAAATATAGGTGTGACATGGGGTGGTTGGTGGTGATAGAACAGCTTTGTATCTTGAGTGTGGTGGTGTTTACATGAATCTACATGTGATAAAATTACATAGAACTATACATAAGCACAAATGAATGCCTTTAAAACTGGTGAAATCTGAATAAGCTCTGTGGATTGTACCAATATCAATTTACTGGTTTTGTTATTTTATTGTATTTATGAAAGACATTACTATTGGGGGAGACTGGGTGAAAAGTACATGCGACCTTCCTGTATGTATTTTTGCAACCTTCTGTGAACATTAATTATTTAAAAATTAAAATTTTTAAAAAGTATTTTTATGAGCAGCTTCTTGGCAACAGATTCTGATCTGATCCTGCCAATATTGTGGCGTGCCCTCAGGTGGGCCTCTTTTCCTCAGTGGACTTCAGTGTCTTTATCTGTAAATCTCATTCTGGACCAAATTGCTGAGGTCTTTTTTTTTTTTAATATGGAGTTTCGCTTTTGTCGCCCAGGCTGGAGTGCAATGGCGTGATCTCGACTCACTGCAACCCCAGGTTCAAGTGATTCTCCTGCCTCAGCCTCTTGAGTAGCTGGGATTACAGGCACGCGCCACCATGCCTGGCTAATTTTGTATTTTTCGTAGAGACGGGGTTTCACCATGTTGGTCAGGCTAGGTGACCTCAGGTGATCCACCCGCCTTGGCCTCCCAACATGCTGGGATTACAGGCATGAGCCACCGTGCCCAGCCCGAGGTTATTTTCACGTATAAAATTCCGTAATTTTTGGAGCCACTGCGCCTGGCCTAATAAATTATTAAATGGTTTTATGTAATGGATTGTCACATTATTTAGGAATTTTTGGTATTTACGTAAGAAAAACCCAGTTTGGCTTAAGGGACTGAGGGAAGTATTAATTAGTTCATGTAACTAGGAAGTCTAGGAGTGCATTTGGAATCACCTAGATCTAGGAACATCTACATTCTGCATCTTTCTGCTTGACATTATTTATTATTATTTTTCAAACATCTCCCCCACATAGGATTGATTATTTTTGACTCAATCTAGTGTCCCAAACATGGGGCTTTGCCTCTCCATTTCTCAGTTATTGGTTTCATTGTTGAGATAGATTAGGTGGCAAGATGGCTACTGGTAGCCCTGGACTCAGCATCTTCTTAGGTTAGCATTCCCAGATAGCTTCATCAGAAAAGTTCAAAGATATCCATGTCAGGTGTGTTAATGAAAATAAAAAAGCTGGGTGTGGAATCCCAGGACTTTGGGAGGCCAAGGCAGGTGGAACATTTGAGCTCAGGCATTCGAGACTAGCCTGCGCAACATGGGGAAACTCCATATTTACAAAAAAATTACCTGAACATGATGGCTCATGCCTACGGTCCCAGCTACTCAGAAGGCTGAGGTAGGAGGATCCTTGATCCTGGAAGGTCATGGCTGCAGTGAGCCTAGATAGCACGACTGTATGCCAGCACGGGTGATAGAGTAAGACCCTGTCTCAAAAAAAAAAAAAAGAAAAGAAAAAAGGCGGGGTGCGGTGGCTCACGCCTGTAATCCCAGCACTTTGGAAGGCCAAGGCGGGTGGATCACGAGGTCAAGAGATCAAGACCATCCTGGCTAACATGGTGAAACACCATCTCTACTAAAAATACAAAAAAAATTATCCTGGCGTGGTGGAGGGTTCCTGTAGTCCCAGCTACTTGGGAGGCTGAGGCAGGAGAATGGCATGAACCCGGGAGGCAGAGCTTGCAGTGAGCCGAGATTGCGCTACTGCACTCCAGCCTGGGCAACAGAGTGAGACTCCATCTCAAAAAAAAAAAAAAAGAAAAAGAAAAAGAAAAAAAATAGGCCAGGCATAGTGGCTCATGCCTGTAATTGTAGCACTTTGGGAGCCTGAGGTAGGAGGCTTGCCTGAGACTAGGAGTTTGGGACCAGCCTGGGCAACATGACAAAACCCTGTCTCTACAAAAAAATACAAAAATTAGCCAGGTGTGGTGGCGTGCGCCAGTGGTCCCAGCTACTTGTGAGACTGAGGCAGGAGGATCAATTGAAGCTGGAAGGTCCAGGCTGTAATGATCCGTGATCACGCCACTATACTCCAGCCTGGGAAACAGAGTGAGATCTTGTTTCAAAAAAAAAAAAAAAAAAAAACTTAGAAAAGTTCAAAGATGAACTCTGGCCTTCAGGTCATATTTTTCATTCCTCAAGTCCATACTGGGTGTAGGAGGATAGCAGACTTTTTTTTTTTTTTTTTTTGAGACGGAGTCTCTGTATCCCAGGCTAGAGTGCAGTCGTACGATCTCTGCGCACTGCAAGCTCCACCTCCCAGGTTCACGCCATTCTCCCGCCTCAGCCTCCCGAGTAGCTGGGACTACAGGCGCCCGCCACCATGCCTAGGCACGTGCCACCATGCCCGGCTAACTTGTGTATGTTTGGTAGAGACAGAGTATGTCTTGTGTATGTTTAGTAGAGACAGGGTTTAGTAGAGACAGGGTATGTCTTGTGTATGTTTAGTAGAGACAGGGTTTCACCATGTTGGTCAGGATAGTCTCAAACTCCTGACCTTGTAATCCGCCCACCACAGCCTCCCAAAGTGCTGGGGAAAAAGGTGCCTGGCCTTTTTTTTGAGATGGAGTCTTGCTCTGTCGCCCAGGCTGGAGTGCAGTGGCGCGATCTCAGCTCACTACAGCCTCCGCCTCCTGGGTTCAAGGGATTCTCCTGCCTTAGCCTGCCTCCTCAGTAGCTGGGATTATAGGTGCGTGCCACCACGCCTGGCTAATTTTTGTGTTTTTAGTAGGGACGGGGTTTCACCATGTTGGTCAGGATGGTCTCGAACTCCTGACTTTGTGATCCGCCCACCTCTGCCTCCCAAAGTACTGGGATTACAGGCGTGAGCCACCACACCCGGCCTGAGGATAGAGTACTTTGATAGCCAGCTTTCTCCTGAAGCCAGGAGGATGGAAGCTTAGGGATGTAGGTTGGGGATACTCCATCCAAAGCATCCCAGGATAAATGGACACTGATCTGAAGAAAGGGGAAACATTTTCTAGGCAGAGTAAAACAAACAAGTCAAAAAAAACATAGAAAAACCCAAAAAATCACCCAAAGTAACAAACATCAATTTATTAAAGAAAACAATTAGAACAAAGTCAATGTCATTCATGAAAAGCACACTAGTTCTGACCTAAATTTTTTTTTTGCTCTTGTTATTGGTGGTTGTTCATAAGTTGGGATGTGGTCTTTGTCTAGAAGAGATAACACCAACTTTACCATATTAAAAACTTATTTTTTAATTATTTTTCCATTTTCTGCTCATATAGGGCAAAGATGAGTCCCAGCACACAGAATCTATGGTACTTCAGTCCTCACGGGGGATCAAAGTGGAAGGCTGCGTCCGAATGTACGAACTGGTACACAGAATGAAAGGAACAGTAAGTGAACCCATGAAGGAAGGCAGCCTTGATCCTGCGAGCCACATTTAACTGCAGTTCCCCAGGGCGTAGGAATGGGCACTGTATGCTACTCATCCTTCCCACCTACTGTTTAGTTTTGGGGGTAGTGTAATAGAGGTCAGGAGTGAGTGCTCTGAAGTCAAGTCTGGTTTCAGATCCTGGCTGTTACATTTTACATGTGACTTTGGGAAAATTACTTAGCCTTTTCTGGCTTCCATTTACTTCTCCAAAATTTGGAAATGGTCTGGGATTGTTAGATAAGCTTATTCTGAGAAAATGGGACCTTAGCCTCTTTTTTTTTTTTTTTGAGGTGGAGTTTTTGCTCTTGTTGCCCAGGCTGGACTGGACTACAGTGGTGTAATCTTGGCTCACTGCAACCTCCACCTCCCAGGTTCAAGTGATTCTCCTGCCTCAGCCTCCCAAGTAACTAGGATTACAGGCTCGCGCCACCACACCCAGCTACTTTATTTTCTATTTACTAGAGACGGGGTTTCACTATGTTGGTCAGGCTGGTCTCGAACTCCTGACCTCAGGTGATTCACCTGCCTCAGCCTCCCAAGGTGCTGGGATTACAGGCATGAGCCACGATGCCCAGTCAGGACCTTAGCCTCTTGAAAAAATAGCAGCACTATTTTAATTAATTTATTTGATTGTATTTTGTTTTTGTTTTTGTTTTTGAGATGGAGTCTTGCTCTGTTGCCCAGGCTGTAGTACAGTGGCACCATCTCGGCTCACCGCAAGCTCCGCCTCCCAGGTTCATGCTATTCTCTTGCCTCAGCCTCCCAAGTAGCTGGGACTACAGGTGCCTGTCACCACGCCCAGCTAATTTTTTGTATTTTTAGTGGAGACAGGGTTTTGCCGTGTTAGCCAGGACGGTCTTGATCTTCTGACCTCGTGATCTGCCCGCCTCGGCCTCCCAGAGTGCTGGGATTACAGGCATGAGCCACCGTGCCCGGCCTGTTTTTTGTTTTTGTTTTTTTGAGACAGAGTCTTGCTGTTGTCAGCCCGGGCTGGAGTGCAGTGGTGCAATCTTGGCTCACTGCAACCTCCGCCTCCTGGGTTCCAGCAATTCTCCTGCCTGAGCCTCCCAAGTAGCTGAGATTACAGGCGCCTGCCACCACGCCTGGCTAATTTTTGTATTTTTTAGTAGAGACGGGGTTTCACCGTGTTGGCCAGGCTGGTCTCAAACTCCTGACCTCAGGTGATCCACCCACCTCAGCCTCCCAAAGTGCTGGGATTACAGGCATAAGCCACTGCGCCCAGCATGTATTTTTTTTTAATTAGGAAAGCAATGCATGATCTTGTAAAAATGTTTCAGAGTACAGGAATTTAGAAAATGAAAGTCTTGGCCAGGCACGGAGGCTCATGCCCGTAATCCCAGCACTTTGGGAGGGTGAGGCAGGTGGATCACCTGAGATAAGGAGTTCCAGACTGGCCTGGCCAACATGGCGAAACCCCATCTCTACTAAAAATACAAAAATTAGCCGGGCATGGTGGCACATGCCTATAATACTAGTTACTGGGGAGGCTGAGGCAGGAGAATCACTTGAACCCGGGAGGCAGAGGTGGCAGTGAGCCAAGATTGTGCCACTGCACTCTAGCCTGGGCAGCAGGGCAATACTTTATCTCAAAAAAAAAAAAGAAAAAGAAAATGAAAGTCTTCTAACATCTTGCCTCATTGGTCATTGAGTCAATAAATATTTGCTGAGCACCTATGTGCTAGATGCTGTTCCAGGTCTAGATAAAACAGTAAACATTATAGACATAGAGCTTATATTGTGGTGGGAAGAGACAGAAGTAAACAAGAGAAATAAGTAAAATATTTGGAACATTGTTGTAATCTGGGTGAAAGATGGTGGTTGCTTAGAGTAGGGTGGTAGCAATGGAGATGGTGAGAAACGACTAATTCTGCATATCAGAGTTGTTTTAATTCAAAGATTTATTTCCTGCATCTTTGGAAATTTTTCCCCTTGATTAGTTCACCTCTCCATTGCCTAAGTTAATCCTCTATATGTCCTATTCTTTCTTTCATTTTCCTTTTGTCTTATTGTTTTGTTTTCTAGAAGATTTCTATATTTTATTCTCCACCTGTTGATTGAAAAAATATATATGTATTTATTATGTCTAATTTTCATGAGTTTTTTTGTATTCTCCACTTCTTCCTTTTTCAGAGCATCTTATTCTCATTTCTTATCATATTCAGAGCTCTTTTTCAGATTCACTTGTGTTCCTTGATATACATGTCCTTCTGGATTCATTATTTTTTATTTGTTCATCTTGATCCCTTTTAGGATATAGAGATTCCTCAGTTATCTAAAGATCCTTATTGCTAGTAATCAGATCAGAGATTCAAGGGGAATAATCAGAAACAAGGTTATTAAGCTTTAGGACTTCCTAAGTGCCAGCATATTGTTTTGGAATACTAGTTCCCATACTGATTAGCTGTTTCTGGACAGTTTATTCATTTTCTTAAAAAAAACTCACGTGCCTGGCCTATTTTTTTTTTTTTCCGTATTCTGTTAGTCACGGTAGTCATAAAGTCCACTCAGGTTGAAGTAGAGGGTATGGAAGGATTGTCAGACAATTTGCAGATCTGTTTTAAAATCATTACAGCACAGGGCCGGGCCTGTTGGCTCACACCTGTAATCCCAGCACTTTCGGAGGCCGAGGCAGGCAGATCACTTGAGGTCAGGAGTTTGACACCAGCCTGGCCAACACAGTAAAACCCTGTCTCTACTAAAAATACAAAAATTAGGCAGGCATAGTGGTGCACGCCTGTAATCCCAGCTACTCAGGAGGCTGAGGCTGGACAATCACTCGAACCTGGGAGGTGGAGGTTGCAGTGAGCCAAAATCGCACCACTGTACTCCAGCCTGGGTGACAGAGTTGAGAATCCGTCTCTAAAAAATAAAAAATAAAAATAAAATAGCTGGACATGGTGGCTTGCACTGGTAATCCCAGCACTTTGGGAGGCCGTGGTGGATGGATCACGAGGTCGGGAGTTCGAGACCAGCCTGGCCAACATAGTGAAACCCCGTCTCTACTAAAAATACAAAAATTAGCCAGGCATGGTGGCAGGCACCTGTAGTCCCAGCTACTTGGGAGGCTGAGGGAGGAGAATCGCTTGAACCCAGGAGGCGGAGTTTGCAGTGAGCCAAGATTGCACCACTACACTCCAGCCTGGGCGACAGAGCGAGACTCCAAAAAAAAAAAAAAAAGCTGGGCACTGTTGCGGGAAGTCAGGGACCCCAAATGGAGGGACTGGCTGAAGCCATGGCAGAAGAACATGGATTGTGAAGATTTCATGGACATTTATTAGTTCCCCAAATTAATACTTTTATAATTTCTTATGCCTGTCTTTACTGCAATCTCTAAACATAAATTGTAAAGATTTCATGGACACTTATCACTTCCCTAATCAATACCCTTGTGATTTCCTATGCCTGTCTTTACTTTAATCTCTTAATCCTGTCAGCTGAAGAGGATGTATGTCGCCTCAGGACCCTGTGATAATTGCATTAACTGCACAAATTGTAGAGCATGTGTGTTTGAACAATATGAAATCTGGGCACCTTGAAAAAAGAACAGGATAACAGCAATGTTTAGGAAACAAGAGAGATAACCTTAAACTCTGACCGCCGGTGAGCTGGGCAGAACAAAGCCATATTTCTCTTCTTTCAAAAGCAAATGGGAGAAATATCGCTGAATTCTTTTTCTCAGCAAGGAACATCCCTGGGAAGGAGAATACGCGCCTGGGGGTAGGTCTATAGATGGCCCCCTGCATGTGGCCGTCTTTTATGGTCTGTAGACTGTAGGGGTGACATAGACCCCAGTCTCCCATAGCGCTCCCAGGCTTATTAGGAAGAAGAAATTCCTGCCTAATAAATTTTGGTCAGACCGGTTGCTCTCAAAACCCTGTCTCCTGATAAGATGTTATCAATGACAGTGGTGCCTGAAACTTCATTAGCAATTTTAATTTCACCCTGGTCCTGTGGTCCTGTGGTCCTGTGATCTCGCGATCTCGCCCTGCCTCCATTTGCCTTGTGATATTCTGTTACCTTGTGAAGTACTTGATGTGTGTGACTCACACCCTATTCGTATACTCCCTCCCCTTTTGAAACTCCCTAATAAAAACTTGCTGGTTTTACGGCTTGTGGGGCATCACAGAACCTACCGACATGTGATGTCTCCCCCGGATGCCCAGCTTTAAAATTTCTCTCTTTTGTACTCTGTCCCTTTATTTTTCAAGCTGGCCAATGCTTAGGGAAAATAGAAAAGAACCTACATGACTATTGGGGCAGGTTCCCCAATAGGGCACCCGTGGCTTACACCTGTAATCCCAGCACTTTGGGAGGCTGAGGCGGGAGGATCACAAGGTCAAGAGATCGAGACCATCCTGGCCAACACTGTGAAACCCCGTCTCTACTAAAAATACAAAAATTAGCTGGGCGTGGTGGCACATGCCTGTAAACCCAGCTACTTGGGAGGCTGAGGCAGGAGAATCGCTTGAACCTGGGAGGCGGAGGTTGCAGTGAGCCGAGATGGTGCCAGTGCACTCCAGCCTGGGTGACAGTGTGAGACTGTGTCTCCAAAAAATATATATATATATGTATATATGTGTGTATATATATGTGTATATATGTATATATGTGTATATATGTATATGTGTGTATATGTGTATATGTGTATATATGTATGTGTGTATATATGTATATATGTATATGTGTATATATGTATGTGTGTATATATGTATATATATGTATATATGTATATATATGTATATATATATAAAAAATACAATAAAATCATTATAGCACAAATGCTTGGCTCTTGGCTGTTTTGATCTAATGACTAGGGGAAGACAGCAAGAGTTGACTGTTTTGTCTACAAACATTTAGCCGGTAGCTCCGTTTTCAGCCTGATGAGGCCCACCTATATGAGTCGTGGCATTTCCCAGTCTTGAGACTCTGCAGTTCGGCTGGTAGATTGGCTTTCTGCTCCCGTGAGGCATCGTCTGCTTCTCACACACATCGTGTGTGTGTGTGTGTATCCTTGGGTTTTCTCAGCTCTGCTCTATCATTTATTGCTTCTCCACTATTTTTTTTTTTTTAAAGACAGGGTCTCGCTCCGTTGCTCAGGCTGGAATACAGTGGTGCAATCACCGCTCCTTGCAGCCTTGACCTCCTGGGTTCAGGCATTCCTCCTACCTCAGCTCTTTCTGCTTTCTAAATAACTGGGACTGCAGGTGTGCACCACCACAGCCAGATAATTTTTAAATTTTTGGTAGAGACGGGGGTCTCTCTGTTGCCCAGGCTGGTCTCGAACTCCTGGGCTCAAGTGATCCTCCCACTTTGGCCTCCTCAAGTGCTGGGATTACAGATCTCAGCCAGTGCACCTGGCTATTTCTCCACTGACTGTTTTCCAGAAGTATGTAGAAGATTTTTCCCTGCTGGTGACATCTCTCATGCTCTATGTGGTGTTATGTCTTTTTTTTCTTTCCAATTCTCACTTTAACAGAGTCCCAGAGGAGAGGACATATATGCTTGTTTAGTTTGCCTTCTTTCGCTGGAAGCTTTAAAATAAGTTTTAAGACTGGGTACAGTTGGCTTATGCCTATAATCCCAGCAGTTTGGGAGGCCAAAGTGGGAGGATAGCTTGAGATCGGGAGCTCTAGACCATCCTGGGCAATATAGTGAGACCCTGACTCTATAAAAAATTTAAAAATTAGCCCCGTGTGATAGTGGACACCTTTAGTCCCAGCTACTCAGGTGGCTGAGTTGGGATGATCCCTTGAGCTCAGGAGTTCAAGGCTGCCGTGAGCTATAAGTGTGCCACTGCACTCTAGCCTACATGACAGGGTGAGACCCTGTCTCAAAAATAAACAAATAAACAAAATAAAATATAATTATGTTTTAAAATAAAATAACATAATGTCTTAACAGTAGATTTTGACATATCTCCATGCTAGCTGGCATCTCGTCATCTTTAAGGGCTGCATAGTATTCTGCAGTATGACTGTACTATAATACGTGTCGTCATTCCCCAGTTAAGTGGTTTTAAATGTATTGCTGTTATCAACAGGGCTCCAGTGAGCATTCTTGTACATATATCTTTGCACACACATACAAGCATTTCCTCAGGATAAATTCCTGAAATGGAACAAGTGTCAAAGGATATAGACACTTCAAATTTTGATAGTTAAAATGTCAAATTGCCTTTAACCATATGTGAGTACTCTCATGAAATGATAAATTCAATATCTGATACCCTTAGGTACTAAGGAAAAGGACTTTCCTTAGTGGAGGTCCAGGAGAAAATCTTCGAGGCAGAGATTAACAAAATCAGTGAGATAGGAATGTGTATAGCTTGTTTATGGAATTAGAATGAGGATTTCCGTAAATTACCAATGAACCCCATAAGACTACACAGGATGGAAGCTTAATAGTGCATGGCTGTTTGATGTCATGTTGCTAAATTCCTGTCCGTTCCCAACTTGTACTGGAGTGACATAAACCATATGGGGCAATTGGAAGAGCTTTCCAAAACAGCTGAGCTTAAAGATCAAGCAAAAGGAGAAAGGATATTCCTGCAAAGGTTCTGATTCCATGCCCTTAAGTATCTCTGATGGTGTTAGGGGCCGATGGGCAGGTAGCCCGCAGGGGTAAATGATCAAGGTGTTGAAGGCGCTCCAGAGAGCAGGTGTTAAACATTTTCGGCCGGGCGAGGTGGCTCACGCCTGTAATCCGAGCACTTAGGGAGGCCAAGGCAGGCGGATCACAAGGTCAAGAGATCAAGACCATCCTGGCCAACATGGTGAAACCGTCTCTACTAAAAATACAAAAATTAGCTGGGCATGGTGGCAGGCACCTGTAGTCCCAGCTACTTGGGGAGCTGAGACAAGAATCGCTTGAACCCGGGAGTTGGAGGTTGCAGTGAGCTGCACTCCAGCCTGGCGACAGAGAGAGATTCCATCTTAAAAAAAAAAAAAAAAAAAAAAACCTTTTCAGGAGGGCCTGAGGCTATGGCAGGAGGAGCAGGAGAGGAAGGTGCAAGCCCTCTCGGAGATGGCATCTGAACAACTGAAGCGGTTTGATGAATGGAAGGAACTGAAGCAGCATAAAGAATTCCAGGACTTGCGGGAAGTAATGGAGAAGAGGTGAGTCTCCCTGAATTATGACTGGGAATGTTGATGTGTTCAACTGGAACTCTTTCCCAAGAGGAATTCCAAAGGGAAAGAGTTGAACAACTTCTGAGTCCTTAAATATCAAGGTAAAATAGGCAGAGAATTTTATAACCTGGAAAAAAGACCAAACTTGGAGAGACAACCAAAGGAACACAAAGAGGGAGGCTTTTAGGAGAGGTAAAACAATTTTACGGGCGTGGTGGAACACAGCTGTAGTCTCAATTACTAGAGAGGCTGAGGCAGGAGGATTGCTTGAGTCCAGGAGTTTGAGGCTGTGGTGAGCTATGCTCTGCAGCCTGGGCAACATAACGAGACCCCATCTCTAAGAAAAAGGGAAGGAAGGGAAGGGAGGGCAGGGAGAGGGAGAGAAAAGAAAGAAAGAAAAACAATTTCAGGAAGTATCCCTGACTATTCCTCCCTGCCATTTTTCATGCAGCTCCAGAGAAGCCTTGGGACACCAAGAGAAGCTAAAAGCTGAGCACCGTCACAGAGCAAAGGTCAGAGCCTGGCAGAATTGGTGTGGGTGTTTTGGTGTCTGTCTGTAACCTGCCTGGAGAGCCAGGTTTTGGCAGATGGCCACCATGGAGGATCTGGGCCGTATTATGCCTGTGTATGACTAACCTTGGGATGTCCTCTTCCTGCTCTGAGCCCATCTGTGAAAATATGTAGCCCACGTAGAATTTGAGGACTGTAGAAAGAAGAAGCCCAGGAACCCCTCAGAGAGAAGTCACTCAGCCCTTTTCTACAGATTCTCAACCTGAAGCTGCGGGAAGCAGAGCAGCAGCGCGTGAAGCAAGCAGAACAGGAGCGGCTTCGGAAGGAAGAAGGCCAGATCCGCCTGCGGGCCCTCTATGCTCTGCAGGAGGAGATGCTGCAGCTCAGCCAGCAGCTGGATGCCTCTGAGCAGCACAAAGCCCTGCTTAAGGTCGACCTGGCTGCCTTCCAGACCCGAGGCAACCAGCTGTGCAGCCTCATCTCAGGGATCATCCGGGCCTCTTCAGAGGTGAGGGGGGCTTCAGAGTGACTCTTTGCTGTCTTTGAAATGGAAGCCTTTAAAAGCAAAACTGTTTTCTGACTTAAAAAGTAATACCTGCTATCTGCTTATTGGGGGAAATACCAAACATTACTTGTTATCTCCATATCTCTTTACCTAGAAGTAACCACTGTTAACATTTTATTTTGTTTCTTTTATTTATTTCTTTATTTTTATACCTGCTTATTCTGGAGTCTTTTTTTTTTTTTTTTTTTTTTTTTGTGATGGGGTTCCCCTTTGTCACCCAGGCTGGAGTGCAGTAACACAGTCTCAGCTCATGCAACCTCTGCCTCCCGGGCTCAAGTGATCCTCCCACCTCAGTCTCCTGAGTAGCTGGGACTACAGGCGCATACCACCATGCCCTGCTAATTTTTGTATTTTTTTGTAGAGACAGGGTTTTGCCATGTTGCTCAGGCTGGTCTCTAACTCCTGGGCTGAAGTGATCCCCCTACTTCGGCCTCCCAAACTGCTGAGATTACAGGTGTGAGCCACGGTGCCAAACTTTTTTTGTTTCGTTTTGTTTTTAAATTAGCAATAGAGATCTCACTATGTTTCCCAGGCTGGTCTTGAACTCCTGGGCTGAAGTGATCCTCCCACCTTAGCCTCCCGAAGTATTGGGGTTACAGGCACGAGCCATTGTACCTGCCCTGTTTCTTTGCTTTGCTTTTTTTTTTTTTTTTTTTTTTTTTTTTTGAGACAGGGTCTCACACTCTTGCCCCGGCTGGAGTGCAGTGGTGTGATCATGGCTCACTTCAACCTCCGGCTTCCAGGTTCAAGCGATTCTCGGATTACTTGAGGCTAGGAGTTCGAGACCAGTAGGTTTCAGCCAACATGGTGAAACCCAGTCTCTACTAAAAATACAAAAATTAGCTGGGTGTGGTGACGCACACCTGTAATCCCAGCTACTTGGGAAGCTGAGGCACGAGCAGCACTTGAACCTGGGAGGCAAAGGTTGCAATGACCGAGATCTTGCCACTGCACTCCAACCTGGGCAATGGAGATTCTGTCTCAAAAAATAATTATTATTATAATAAAACAGTATTATTTTTGTCTAACATATTGTCACAAACTTTTTAAAAAATTACGCTGGCCCTTGTTGCTGAGAATACAGACCAATTTATACTTAGAAACTATGGATGTGACAGTAAGTTGGAATTATTAATACCTTTAAGAGAACAGGGAAAGAAGTATCAATTCGTTGAATGTGGATACTCCATTGGTGCAACAATTCCAATTGCAGGAAATTTATTGACTTGTATGAGGTATGATTTACCTAGGGAATGACCACTAAGCACCATCTCCGTCACTCTGACAGAGCAGCTATCCCACAGCAGAGAGTCAAGCTGAGGCTGAGCGAGCTCTGCGGGAAATGCGGGACCTCCTGATGAACTTGGGGCAGGAGATCACCAGAGCCTGCGAAGACAAGAGGAGGCAGGATGAAGAAGAGGCCCAGGTAAAGCTGCAAGAGGCACAGATGCAGCAGGGACCAGAGGCCCACAAAGAGCCCCCAGCTCCCAGCCAGGGCCCAGGAGGGAAACAGAATGAAGGTGGGTTTCAGTATGGATGTGGTCCTTTAACTCGTAAGTTTCAAATGTGAAGAGAAACAAGAGCATGTTTTGAATGTTGTGTTAAACTGTAGGACAGTTAACCAGAATTTTATGTAATGTATTTCATTCAGTTTTGGTTGATGTAGAGTCTGATTTACGATTCCAACACTTTGCGTGAGGACTTGAAATTCTGTATAACTCTAGCAGATACATTATTTCAATTATTGCTGCTGCTGAGTATTTTAAATAAATGCGCACAGATATGTGTTGGTGTAATACGTATAAGGGGTCAGGAGTTCGAGACCAGCCTGGCCAACATGCCGAAACTCCCATCTCTACCAAAAATAAAAAAATTAGCTGGGCATGGTGGCACGCACCTGTAGTCCCAGCTACTCGGGAGGCTAAGGCAGGAGAATTGCTTGACCCAGGAGCTGGAGGTTGCAGTGAGCTGAGGTGGTGCCACTGCACTCCAACCTGGTGACAGAGTGAGACTCCGTCTCAAAAAAAGAAAAAGAATCAGTGTACCATAGTGTTTGAGAGTGCTGACTCTGGAGCCAGATCAGTGGGAGTCTGGTTTTTGTTGTTGTTGTTGTTGTTGTTGTTTTTTGCGGGGAGGGGATGGAGATTTGCTCTTGTTGCCCAGGCTGGATTGCAGTGGCGCGATCTTGGCTCTCTGCAACCTCTGCCTCCCGGGTTCAAACAATTCTCCTGCCTCAGCCTCCCGAGTAGCTGGGATTACAGGTGCCTGCCACTGTGCCTGGCTAATTTTTGTATTTTTAGTAAAGATGGGATTTCACCACGTTGGCCAGGCTGGTCTCAAACTCCTGACCTCATGATCCACCCGCCTCGGCCTCCCAAAATGCTAGGATTACAGGTGTGAGCCACCGCACCCAGCCTGGGAGTCTAATTTTTCTTTTTTGGTGTGTTTTGTTTTTGTTTTTGTTTTTTTTGAGACAGAGTTTTGCTCTTGTTGCCCAGGCTGGAGTGCAATGGCACAATCTCAGCTCACTACAACCTCCGCCTCCCAGGTTCAAGCGATTCTCCTGCCTCAGCCTCCTGAGTAGCTGAGATTACAGGCATGCACCACCACACCTGGCTAATTTTTTTGTATTTTTAGTGGAGACGGGGTTTCTCCATGTTGGTCAGGCTGGTTTCGAACTCCCGACCTCAGGTGATCTGCCAGCATTGGCCTCCCAAAGTGCTGGGATTATAGGCATGAGCCACTGCGCCCAGCGTTTTTTGTTTTTTGTTTTTTTTTTGAGATAGGAGTCTCACTCTTGTTACCCAGGCTGGAGGAGTACAGTGGTATGATTATGGCTCACTATAGCCTCACCCTCCCAGGCTCAAGTGATCCTCCCCACTCAGCCTCCCAAGTAACTGGGACTACAGGCATGCGCCACCCTGCCTGGCTAATTTGTGTATTTTTTGTAGAGATGGGATTTCACCATGTTGTGCAAGCTGGTCTCAAGCTCCTGGGCCTGTCTTGGCCTCCTAGAGTACTGTAATTATAGGCGTGGGTCACCACACCCAGCCTTAGTTTTTCTACTTAGTAGTAATGTGACCATGGCAAATCACTTAACCTTTTTGTGCCTGTTTCCTTTTCTATAAAATGGAGATAATAATAGTATCTATTTCATAGTTATGGTGACAGTTAAAGCAGTCAGTACATACATAAAGTGATTATAACAGTGCCTGCCTCATATTACATGTTCAGTAAATACTAGCTATTACTAAAACCTCTCTTTTATTTCTCAGACCTCCAGGTGAAGGTACAAGACATTACAATGCAGTGGTACCAGCAGCTGCAGGATGCTTCCATGCAGTGTGTGTTGACCTTTGAGGGCCTGACCAACAGCAAGGACAGTCAGGTAGGGGAGAGGTATATGGCAGTAATTTTGTGGACTTGATGGTTCTCAGAGAATGATCACTTCGTGTCCCAAAGGAATGTAGCTGGCATGTCACTTTACCTGATTCTAAGTGACATCTACTCAGCTCTTCAGAACACTGCTTTCTCACTGTTCTCTTCTGGCAGGCCAAAAAGATAAAGATGGACCTCCAGAAGGCTGCTACCATCCCAGTGAGCCAAATCTCTACCATTGCAGGTTGGTCAGAGGGGTTGAGAACATGACCTTTCATTTCATTGTATTATCTTTCAGACTCCAAATCTATGTATCTGTAAGGTTCCTATAAAAGTATATTCAAACAAATGTTTACAGTTGGATCGGGTACATATAAGTGACATACATCTTGTTTCCCTGATATAATCATGGCTGGGCTCACGCCTGTAATCCCAGGACTTTGGGAGGCCGAGGTGGGCGGATCACGAGGTCAGGAGTTCAAGAGCAGCCTAACCAACATAGTGAAACCCTGTCTCTACTAAAAATACAAATACTAGCTGGGTGTGGTGGCTCTCACCTATAATGCCAGTTACTCAGGAGGCTGAGGCAGGACAATTGCTTGAACCCAGGAGGCGGAGATTGCAGTGAGCCGAGATCACACCACTTCACTCCAGCCTGGGTGACAGAGCGAGACTCTGTCTCAAAAACAAAAAAAGAAGACTCTTTTTTTTTTCTTTTTTTCTTTTTTTTTTTTTTGAGACAGAGTCTTGCTCTGTCGCCCAGGCTGGAGTGAAGTGGCGTGATCTCGGCTCACCGCAAGCTCCGCCTACCGGCTTCACGCTGTTCTATTCTCCTCCCTCAGCCTTCTGAGTAGCTGGGACTACAGGCGCCCACCACCATACCCGGCTAATTTTTTGTATTTTTAGTAGAGACGGGGTTTCACTGTGTTAGCCAGGATGTTCTTAATCTCCTGACCTGGTGATCCACCTGCCTCGGCCTCCCAAAGGGCTGGGATTACAGGCGTGAGCCACTGTGCCCAGCCCCCTTTTTTTTTTTTTTTGAGATGTAGTCTTGCTCTGTCACCCAGACTGGAGTGCAGTGGCGCAATCTCGGCTCACTGCAAGCTCTGCCTCCCGGGTTCACGCCATTCTCCTGCCTCAGCCTCCCAAGTAGCTGGGACTACAGCTGCCCGCCACCACGCCCAGCTAATTTTTTGTATTTTTAGTAGACACGGGGTTTCACCGTGTTAACCAGGATGGTCTCGACCTCCTGACCTTGTGATCCGCCCGCCTCAGCTTCCCAAAGCGCTGGGATTACAGGCGTGAGTCACTGCACCCGGCCTTTTTGACTCATTTTTAACAAGCTACCTTTTATGGCAAATTATTAGGATGGCTCTTAGCTTTGAAGTTGCAGTTTACTGCTGAAAACATCACTCAGGGAACCTAGGCTGTGACTTGCAGGCTTTGCTTCTGTCCTACAACATTAGCTTTTCCAAATTACTCCAAGCTCGCCTTGTTCATCCTCCAGGACTCCTTTTCTCTCCAGAGACTGAGGTTTAGAAAGTGAGAACCAGACAAGGAAGAAACTTCTTTAGAACCAGAGGTTCATTTGTATGGAGCTGTAGATGTGGAAGCCTCCAGATTATAGACTGAGCTGCCAGGTGGCTGGGGAGTGTGTGTGCAACTGGAACACTCCTCTGACGCATCGTGGGTTCCGTTCCCCGACTCACTTCTCATTGCCTGGAAAGCATAGGAAAATTTCAGTTCCTGCCCTTGATAGGCAGTCCAGCAAAACTTACATATGACTTTGCTGCCTGAAATTCTTTCTGGAACAGGGCAAGGTATAAATAAATAAATAACATATCACTTTTTGGAATTTAAAGTGCTGTGTCCTTTGATAGCAACAGCAAAGCAAGAGAGGTTGACTGGACAGCCACTCCACACCTCGATGGCCGTTCCCAGTTCCCCTCTGTTGACTGCAGACAGGGTCAGTACCTCCTTCATCAGGAAAATGGAGACATCCAGTGTGAGCTCCTCAGAGCCCCTCCACCACTGCACAGTGACATTTACCTCTTAGTCTCCTGTGTCACTGGATGAGGCGTCCTTGCTGCTGGGCTTACCCTTCCACCTCTGCCCTTGTTCCCTTTCCTTCCTGTCTCCTGTCAGACTGCCTCATCGTTTATTGCCTTTCCTGTTTTCTGTGATTACTCCTTTTTATAGGCTCCTCTCTCTCAGCCTGTAAATATATGTGAGCCCCTCACATCCTAACATGAGTCTCCCTTGATCCTATGTCTTCTAAGTGTTTGCTGATCTTCCTGAGGTTTCTGTTCGGCACTGTTGCTGCTTTCTCTGTGCAACTCTACTCCTTTGGCCTCCATGGTGCCATTACTTTCCAGGTTCTTCTCCTCCCTCCCTCACTACCCTTTCCTCTCTCTCTCTCCCTCTCTCCCTCTCTCTCTCTCCCCTTTGTGGGTTTCTTAGTCTTCTACCCCACTCTAATTGTAGGTGATTCCTAGGGATCTACTCTTTTTTTTTTTTGAGAGTCTCGCTCTTTCGCCCAGGCTGGAGTGCAGTGGCACTATATCGGCTCAGTGCAAGCTCCACCTCCCGGGTTCACGCCATTCTCCTGCCTCAGCCTCCCGAGTAGCTGGGACTGCAGGCGCCTGCCACCACGCCCGGCTAATTTTTTGTATTTTTAGTAGAGACCAGGTTTCAACGTGTTAGCCAGGATTTCAACGTGTTAGCCAGGATGGTCTCGATCTTCTGACCTCATGATCTGCCCACCTCGGCCTCCCAAAGTGCTGGGATTACAGGCATGAGCCACTGTGCCCGGCTGGGATCTACTCTTATCCTGCAGTTCTTTTCGTTCTCTCTACTTACAGGGCTTCAAACATTACCTGAATGCTGATGACTCCCAAACCTACCTCTGGTTTATTCCTTTCTTCTGAGCTTCAGATTCTCCAGCTTCAGCTACCTGAGGGACATCTCTGCCTATATGTCTCTTAGCTGCCTCAAGTTTAATGTGTTCAAATCCAAACCCATCATCTTCCTTAGCCCTCTTTGTCTGCTGTTTTCTCTTGAGTAATCAGTAGCACCATTATCTACTCAGTAATCTTAGCTGGAAACCTGGGAGTCATCTTTATGACTGCTGCCTCTCTTTCACTCACCACATCGAATTAGTCTATATCTTTGCCTTTTTTAATTTTTCTACACATTTCCTGACTCTCCCTTTGTCTCCATCAAGACTTTAAGTCCTTTAAGATCTTGTAGTCCAGCCAGACACAGAACATGCTCTAGTTAGTGCTCAGTAAGCGTTTAATGAATAGGAGGGAAGGATCACCTAATTCTTCTCTTTTTTAAAAAGGTGGGCCGGGCGCGGTGGTTCACGCCTGTAATCCCAGCACTTTGGGAGGCCGAGCCTGGCGGGTCACCAGGTCAGGAGATCGAGACCATCCTGGCTAACACGGTGAAACCCTGTCTCTACTAAAAATACAAAAAATTAGCTGGGCGTGGTGGCAGGCACCTGTAGTCCTAGCTACTCCGGAGGCTGAGGCAGGAAAATGGCATGAACCCGGGAGGCGGAGCTTGCAGTGCGCCGAGATAGCACCACTGCACTCCGTCCTGGGTGAAAGAGCGAGATTCCGTCTCAAAAAAAAAAAAAAGGTGGGCCGGGCACAGTGGCTCACGCCTGTAATCCTGTAATCCCAGCACTTTGGGAGGCTGAGGCGGGTGGATCACAAGGTCAGGAGTTCGAGATCAGCCTGACCAATATGGAGAAACCCTGTGTCTACTAAAAATACAAAATTAGCTGGGCATGGTGGTGCATGCCTGTAATCCCAGCTACTCAGGAGGCTGAGGCAGGAGGATCTCTTGAACCCAGGAGGCAGAAGTTGCGGTGATCTGAGATCACGCCATTGCACTCCAGTCTGGGCAAAAAGAGCAAAACTCCATCTCAAAAAAAAAAAAAAAAAAAAAGGTGGATGTCAGCTGGGCCCAGTGGCTCACACTTGTAGTCCCAGCACTTTAGGCGGCTGAGGTGGGTGAATCATAGGAGGTCAGGAGTTCAAGACCAGCCTGGCCAATGTGGTGAAACCCCATCTCTACTAAAATACAAATATTAGCCAGATGTGGTGGCAGGCGCCTGTAATCCCAGCTACTCGGGAGGCTGAGGCAGGAAAATCACTTCAACCCAGGAGCGGAGGTTGCAGTAAGCCAAGATCGTGCCATTGTACTCCAGCCTGGGTGACAGAGTGAGACTTCATCTCAAAAAAAAAAAAAAAAGTGGATGTCGCCGGGTGTGGTGGCTCACACCTGTAATCCCAGCATTTTGAGAGGATGAGGCAGACAGATCACTTGAGGTCAGGAGTTTGAGATCAGGCTGGCCAACATGGTGAAACCCCGTGTCTACTAAAAATACAAAAATTAGCCGGGCGTGGTGGCACACACCTGTAGTCCCAGCTACTTGGGAGGCTGAGGTGGAAGAATCACTTGAACCCGGAAGGCAGAGGTTGCAGTGAGGTGACATCGAACCACTGCACTCTAGCCTGGGTGACAGAGTGAGACTCCAGCTCAAAAAAAAAAAAAAAAAAAAAGATGGATGTCCATGAGTGGTTAGAATTAGAAGAAATCTTAAATAAGGACATGATGTTGCTGTGGCATGGGGAGGCCACGTCAGTCTAGGGTTGGAAGCTAACTAACTTTCCTCCTACCTAGAGAGGTATGGAGAGAGGCTAGATGCTAGATGGGGCATTCAGCCAGTGGGGTCCACATGGTTGGCTTTTTTTTTTTTTGATAAGAGAACTGAATGACAGGATATTTCTGAAACTTTTGTGACATTTCTTGAAGTGATTAGGAACTTGACAGGGTATTTCTCAACTGGAGATGCTGTATTAATTAAAACATTGACTTCAGGACTTCAGGTAATGGAAAGTAATTCAGATCTGCTTTGCTTTTTTTTTTTTTTTTTTTTTTTTTTTAGGGAGGAGATGGAGTCTTGCTTTGTCACCCAGGCTGGAGTGCAGTGGCACAATCTCGGCTCACTGTAACCTGCGCTTCCTGGGTTCAAACGATTCTCCTGCCTCAGCCTCCCCGAGTAGCTGGGATTACAGGCACCCGCCACCACACCTGGCTAATTTTTGCATTTTTAGTAGAGACGAGGTATCACCATGTTGGTCAGGCTGGTCTCGAACTCCTGACCACAAGTGATCTGCCTGCCTTGGCCTCCCAAAGTGCTGGCCCAGATCTGCTTAAGCAAAAAAAAAAAAGCATTTATTGGAAAGATAAAGAAATATCCTACAGAACCCAGTGGCAGGAATGAGGTGAGGTCTCAGGAGCTAGAAACTTTAGTTCTTTTTTCCTCTCTCATCTCATCTGTCCTCTCTACATCTCCATTCTTATTTTATAGATTGCCGTTCTTTGGTCTTCATGGCAGGTACGCAGCCCCCACTGCTTGTGAGTGTATGTGACACAGGGCCAGCTACCTCAAGGAAGTGACTCTTAGTTGACTGACTGGCTCAGCTTGACTGCCTCTAATCTAACTGTAGCTAGTGTGGGGGTGGAGCACACAAAATCTTTGGTACAAATATAGCTGTTACGAATCCACTTCTGTGTCTCTGAGGACGGAAGAAGGCAAGTCCTGAGAAGGGGGCATATCATCATGAGCTGGTTAGATCCTTTAGAAGGTTTTTCCTAGAGATGTGACTAACTCCTCTAGAGATACCAACCACAGTCCATGGGGTCTGTAACAAAATGTAACACCTCTTTCTATACTGTTTATCCCTTCATTTTATGTGTACAGTAAGGGATACTGTTTATCCCTTCATTTCTGTAGGGCAGCACAGCTGGGTTTTTGTAGATGCTTTGTAATTACAATGATGAAACAGGCTGGGCATGGTGGCTCACGCCTGTAATCCCAGCACTTTGGGAGGCCAAAGCGGGCGGATCACTTGAGGTCAGCAGTTAGAGACCAGCCTGGCCAACATGGTGAAATCCCATCTCTACAAAAAAAAAAAAATACAAAACTTAGCCCAGTGTGGTGGCGGGCGTCTGTGATCCCAGCTACTCAGGAGGCTGAGGCAGAGAATTGCTTCAACTCGGGAGACGGAGGTTGCAGTGAGCCAAGATTGTGCCACTGCACTCCAGCCTGGGCAGTAGAGTGATACTGTCTCAAAAAAAAAAAAAAAAAAAAAAAAAGGAAAAGAAAAAGAGATTGATCTGTGGTTATATCTTTTAATTTCTCTCTATCATGCTCAGGCTCAAAACTGAAGGAGATCTTTGACAAGATCCACAGCCTGCTCTCTGGAAAACCTGTTCAATCTGGTGGGCGCTCTGTGTCTGTCACACTTAACCCACAGGGGCTGGACTTTGTTCAATACAAACTGGCAGAGAAATTTGTGGTGAGAAACCTTGTTGCTAGAGGTATGGGAAGCAGAGGCTGGTGTACAAGATTTCAGCCTTTTTCTGGTATTAAGTTAAAATTGTACCCACCTCTATGTTCTCAGAAACAAGGCGAGGAGGAAGTGGCCTCTCACCATGAAGCAGCATTCCCCATTGCAGTTGTGGCATCCGGGATCTGGGAGCTCCACCCCAGAGTGGGGGACCTCATTCTTGCTCATCTACATAAGAAGTGTCCTTACTCTGTTCCTTTCTATCCCACTTTCAAGGAGGGAATGGCTTTGGAAGACTATCAGAGGTAAAGTTGTTTTTCTCCCTACTCACTATCCCTAGAGTGATTAATGAAATATAAATAGAATTGGAATTTGTTTTTCCCTCCTCACAGCTCCTATTACGTACCTTGAATGTTCTATCAGAAATATAATGTCTTTCGGCCGGGTGCAGTGGCTCATGCCTGTAATCCCAACATTTTGGGAGGCCAAGTTGGGTGGATTGCCTGAGCTCAGGAGTTTGAGACCAGCCTGGGCAACATGGAGAAACGCCATCTCTACTAAAAATACCAAAAATTAGCCAGGTGTAATGGTGCACACCTGTAGTCCCAGCTACTCAGGAGGCTGAGGCACGAGAATTGCTTGAACCCGGAAGGCGGAGGTCGCAGTGAGCCAAGATCGCACCAGTATACTCCAGCCTGGGTGACACAGCAAGAGTGTGTCTCA